>NC_000002.12:7282727-7585757 GCF_000001405.40 Homo sapiens | reverse complement strand
CTCGGAGAGCTCGGCTCTTGAGACAGGAGTCTTGCCGATGCCTTGGGCCGAATAAACCCCTTCCTTCTTTCACTCGGTGTCTGAAGAGTTTTGTCTGCAGCTCGTCCTGCTACAAATGGAAGCAGCAATCTCATACACCCAGACATTGGGTTGTTTGGGAAGAGGCTGCCAAAAAGTAGCATGAAAATAGTAGAGCCCTTTGCTATATATTATTTGTACATTACACTAGAGAGTTTGCAAGTGAGGAAGCAATGGGATGATGCTAGTTGGTCTGCCCAAGCATTGAGGTGAGGGACAGGGCAATAAAGTCAGCAACTTTAGATGATGCTAGGTCCAACCTTGGGATCAAATTTAAGACCATTCCTCCTTTTCCCATTATTCTGCACCCAGCAGCAGGGAGACTTTCTAAAAAGATAAAATCTGATTATTTCATTGCTCTGGATAAACCTCTTTGCTTTTAGGCTTCTAAACCTAAATTGTTGACACAGCTTCTGTCATCTGGCCTCTCATGACTTCTGCATTTTGTGCAACTTTCTCATCTTTGCTGTAACCAAAGCAGTCTTTCATTTGCTTAGAGGATCTTTTTTTGTTGCAGAGCTATTACACAGGCTTGACTCTTTCTAGAGGGTTCTATACTCTTGCAGTTTAACTAAGGCTTCTCCACTCGTCAGATCGCATATGAAAGAGCACATTACAGGAGACTTTTCTCACTCTCAGCCAAGATCTCATCACTTCTTATTTTTTCCTTAACAGCTAACAGTTTACAATTACATATTTGAAATACTGGAATATTGTAGGGTGATTACTCTAATTGTCTGTAACCTTCACTAAGCTCTATGCCTCAAGAGGCTAGGGTTGTATTAGTTCGTTCTCATGCTGCTAATAGACATACCCGAGACTGGGTAATTTATAAAGGAAAGAGGTTCAGTGGACTCACAGTTCCACACAGCTGGGGAGGCCTCACGATCCTGGCAGAAGGCAAAGGAAGAGCAAAGGGATATCTCACATAGTGGCAAGGAAGAGAGTTTGCGCGGGGGAACTCTCATTTATAAAGCCATCAGATCTCGTGAGACTCACTCACTAATACAAGAACAGTATGGGGGAAACCGCCCCCCATGATTCAATTATCTCCACCTGGCACCACCCTTAGCATGAGGGGATTAATACTATTCAAGGTGAGATTTGGATGGGGACACAGCTGAACTGTATCGAGCATCTTGCCAGTTTTACTCACGTCTTTATCCCCTGTGTTTAGGACAGAGCCAGGCACAGAAGCAAAATGGTTTTTTCTGTCCTTTTTTACTGACCCTGATGATAAATGGATGGCGCTGTCTGAGAGAACCCAGGTAGAGAAAGTTAATCAATGAATACTTTTGAATGAAGTAATTCATTCTAGGACATTCTTTCTTGCCTATATGATAGTTGGTAAAAATAGGCAAAACAGAGAACCAAGGGAAAAAGACATTTGACTAATTCTCCCTTTGACTTATTTCTGTGATTTAGTGGCTGTGTGGGAGTTTCTAGACTTAGGTGATGAGAGCTAAGAGCAGAGCTTTCATTTGCTCCAAAAGGAGATGTTGGTTCATTTTGCCCAAAGAAGCAGGGACAGAATGTAAAGTACTGACACCTAACAGTAGCAAAATATGTTTAGCCTCTTTCCTCCTCTTTAAAATGTAATCAACATTAAAAACAAAACACTCAGATGAGTTTCAAATAAAATTCCAATCATGTGTTGTGGCCAGAATCACCAGCATCAGCGAGAACCACTGTCAGTTTCAGTCATTCCAATGTGCAACGTCATGTTCTCTTCCTCGTTCGTCTTCAGGGAGTGATACCAACCCATATCTTGTGTTAATTCTGTTGGCCATACATTTGTTGTCCTTTAGCACACTAAGATGATGGAAAGTTGGTTTCTCTGGTCTTCGTTAATGCCCGGGATGATGGTCTTTTGGTGCTAGAAATAGTTTTAGTCTCATGTAGAGTTGATTAGCAAAGTGATTTGAAGGATCAGGCATTTTTGGAAAGAGCAAATTACAGAGAAGATTGAATAGATTGGAGAACATTGAAGAGATCTGCCTTTATTTCTAGGATACTATACAGATTAATCACTTATTGTTTGCCTCATTATAGTTCAGGCTGTAGACAAAAACCAATAAACAAATATGCTGTAAATTACTCAATGCTTGAAACTTCTTTATCACTGGTTACCTCATGGCACCCCTTCCCAGCTCAGCCCAGCCCTGCCTTTCCCTTCTTTTTCCTTTTCCTCCCTCCCTCCCTCCTTCCCTCCTTCCCTTCCTTCCTTCTTTCCTTCCTTCCTTCTTTCCTTCCTTCCTTCCTTCTTTCCTTCCTTCCTTCCTTCTTTCCTTCCTTCCTTCCTTCTTTCCTTCCTTCCTTCCTTCTTTCCTTCCTTCCTTCCTTCTTTCCTTCCTTCCTTCCTTCTTTCCTTCCTTCCTTCCTTCTTTCCTTCCTTCCTTCCTCCCATTCTTTCTCCTGTTTCTTATGCCATAATTATCCCCACTTTCTCTCATTCTCCCACTCTCCACTTTCTCTCATTCTCTCACTCTCTCTGCTATCATTTAAATGTCTGTCCTTCCAGAATTCATATGTAAAAAGTCAAAAACCAAACTGATGGTATTAGGAGGTGGGGCCTTTGGGAGGTGATTAGGTCACGAAGGCTCCACCTTGGTGGGTGGGATTAGTGCCCCCATAAAAGGGCTGGAGAGAACAGTGAGATCCTTTTGCCCTTCCATCTGTCCCCCCATGTAAGATCACAACATTCATTTCCTTCATTCCTCCCACCATGTGAGGACGCAGAGAAAGCACAGTCAATGAGGAACAGACCCTCACCAGACACTGACTTTCATTCTCTACAACTGTAAGAAATACATTTCTTTTCTTTATAAATTGCCATCTAAAGTATTTTGCTATAGCAGCAGAAATGAACTGAGTCTCTCTCTCTCTCTCTCTCTCTCTCTCTCTCTCTGTTGCCTCTCTCTCTCTCTCTCTCTGTTGCTGTCTCTCTCTCTCCAACTTCCATCCTTGGAAATCTGTTTAGGAAAATTAGGAAGCATCAAGAACAGAAAAGTGGGTTCAAATATTTAACCTTACTGAACGGCAGTTACCATAGGATGAGGTAGGTTTTGTTTCAGAAATCAAACCTATTGAGGTAAAATGCTGGAAGCTAAATTTCATTGATTATAAAACAAAAATACAAATAATAACATCAAAGGTTAAAGTAACAAATTTGCTAAAATAAAAACAAACACAGAAATAATTAAATTTACCTCACAATCCTCTCAGGTCACATATTATATATAAACTGCTTTAGGAGGGCTGCCTGTCATATTACTTATAAAATTAATTATACATTTCTTGAAGATAGAAAACATACTATATTTACTTTTCATCTTTTAGTGTAGGATTGGTCATAGAATACAATTGCTGCCAAAGTTAGTTTAAAATTGAATATTATAATGAAATACATGTTTACAGTGATTAAAACCATGTTTTTTTTTTGTCTGAATTAGTACAGCAACATGGTATGGCCCGACACTACCTTCCATCCATGACCAGGGGAGAAAATGATTCCCTTAATATCATTTCCTCATTCATGGATATAAAATAATTGTGAAATATCAGTTGGCACATGAGCTTCTCTAGTATAGAATATTTACTTAAAACAACTTTTAATGTAAAAATAAACAAAGAAAAACTGCAGATGAGTAAAACTGCTCCTAACAAGGAGATCACAGACTTTTAAAAGTTGTATGGATCATATTGAATTCCCCAATGTCCAGTTACATAATTTTCTTCTAAAATTTTGAAACAAAATTATGGAGAAAATATTAAAATGTTTTAAATAAAATAATACATAATATGATAAATATATCCAATAACAAATAAATAATAATGAAATAAATGAAAAGGGAACAACATCAGTACTATATTCATTGTTTAAAGTATCTTTAACTTTTTTTCTTATTGTAAATAATGCTTGTAAACATTTAGAAGATACAGAAAGTAATTTAGAAAATAAAATCTACCAAACCCCATCACTGGGGGCTATCCATTGTGAAGATTACACTGTATTTTTTTCAATTCAGTATGTCAGGAGGCACCTTGGCACAGGGATCAGAATGAAACCAGCCCATTTCTCTGATCCCTGAAGATCAGAGGGATTGACAACTCGAGACAGATGGTCTGATGTACTGGCCCCAAGGTGAGGCCAGAACTTGCACCTAGGTGAAAATTCTCCTTGCCAGGACTTCATTGGGGCTTTCCTGCAATGCACTTCAAGCATCTCTCTGTTGGAGGAATTTTGATAGCAGGTACTTGGGGTTATGGATGGGGGAGGTATCTGAGCCTGGCATTATGACCTTCAGGTAAGACCTGGGGCTGACTTGGATGGAATGGGAGTATTCCAGTAGGCTGTGCGTTGGCTGAGTCTGGTAGGCATGGCTGGGGGCAGGACAGCTTCTGTTTCTTTGGCAGAAACACATGCTAGACTTGCTTTCTGCTTCAGCACTTCTTTTCCCATTAATCAGATTAAAAAGATCTGAGATACCTCATTTGCTTTTTTGAAAATCTGATTCCTGATCATACAAGGAGGGGTCCTACTACAGGATATTAAAACAAATAACAGAATGAAGTCAGAAATATAACTACCTTCCTAGGGCTTGCCATTACTGATGTAATTCCCTCTTCACAGTATAAAATAATAATCCAAGAATGTTCTGTGTACCAACATATGACAATATTAAAAAGCTTGTAACATCTTCTAAAGAAAATGCGATAAAGACATTTGAGGAATTGCCATCAGTCCCCAGACTTTCTTATAGTATACTTGAGGTGGGCAGATGCTGAAGGAATAACCTAGAAATAAATATGGTTTTTATGGTTAGAAGAGGGGATATATGACAGCATCTTACCACAGTGCTCAGCCAGAGTAAGCTCCCGGTAACAGGCCAAAGAAATACACACTAAACCTCAGAACAAAGAAATCGCTGGGCAATATTATGTCTCAGTATCAAAGCCCATGGTGTTTGTTGTTTAAAAATGCTCTTCACTTTCATTATCCACCTGGCTAATTCCTTCACTTATTCAGAATCTGCTCTAAGAAGCCATCTCTGACTTCTTCAGGCCCAGTCTTCAATACACTCAGACAGACCTTTCCAACTTGCATACCTTCTCGCCACTCTAGTGGTCAAAACATTGTGTTCTTTTTGATTATTTGTTGCTTATCACCCTATCATACTTTAATAATTCTATTTCTGAGTGAAGATTTAAATAATTTAATAGAATTTACCTGAAATTTGACATCAAAAGAAGAGAGATCTGGCCACCCTTTAATATATTATCCAATTTAAATTAATTTTTGTATGTAGTAACAGGTAGGGGTGAAGTTACTTTTTCTCCCATGTAAATATCTAGAGGTTCCAGCACCATTTGCTAAAAAGGCATTTTGTTATGCAAGTATGACATTCATTCAAGAAAAATTTGAAAAGAAAGAAAAAGATATGTGGAAACTTACCACTCTATAGTAGTTACCATTTTACTGAAGTTTATTTTGTGAGTATGTATGTAAGTGTATCTTGTTTTCATGTTATCCTGTCTCCTTCTCTCTTATAATAATACCATCTCTTCAGTTATAACATGCCAAAATATAAATTTTAATATCTATGAAACAGATCTTACAATTGTTTTACAAACAATAAACAAACCTTTTTGTAGGCCAGATAGAGAAACAGGCTATGACTTATCCTAGCCAGGGCACTGTGGACTCGGCCATGTGTGAAGGTTTCTGTTTACTTTACTGGCATCTCAGCTGAGTTCTCATTGGAAGTGTCAAATGTGGTTAAAATTTAAGTTGAACGTAAATCTCTATTTGTCTAAAACAATTTTTAAAGGCATTAAAATAAAAGATCTAAGAACTTTCATTTTCAACAATGAAGGAGTTCTTGGTGTTAGTTTTATCCTTCCACCAGAAACAAGTAGAAAAATGAACAAATATATGGCAAAGTTCTTTCAGATAATGGCCAAAGGAAAAAATTAAAACTGTGATCCTGGAGATCAGGAAAACAAACAAGTTGAGCCCTATGATTACTGTGTGTTTTTTGTTTGTTTGTTTGTTTTGGTTTTCTTCTGGAGGCATTTTATGGATCTTGTTGCAGAGAGGAAGAATTCAGGCAAGGAATAGGAAAACTGTTGAGCTGAGAATGCAGAAATGGTAGTTTATGACAGCTCAAGTGAATAAAATTGGAAAAACAGAGTACCAAAGAGAAAAGAGCTTTTTAGACAAAGAGATTCTATATATGTATGTATGGGTCCCACTGAGTCTGTTGCTGAAGTCTAAGTTTTGCATGCATAAAGTAAAATTTTACAAAATTGGCCAAAAAAATAAAAAAAGAGAAACTATAAGCTAATCAATTCCCAAAGCACATACATGCTTGGAATAGAAGGTAAACCAACCAGAGTAAAAAAGACCTTATTGAGCACCCAGATTATTCATTAGAAGCTCCAGAAAAATCACATTTTATACGTGGGTTAAATTAACCCTTGAGTAAAGGCTTATCCAGACCTTCCCCCAAAAAACTTAAAATCTAGCTTAAAATAATCATGGTGATCCACAGATCACTTAAATCTCTCTCAAAACAAAGTTTTTAGATAGTCTTTAAAGAAAATAAAAAAGTGTAACATTAAATACTGAATAACAATGTCGTAAGTCCAGACTTCAATCAAATATCACTAGCTTACAAAGAAGCAGGAAACTGCGGCACATACCAGACCAAAAAAAGTTAGCCAATGCAGATGAAACTAGTAATTACAGAGATTATGGAACTAGTTAACCAAGACTGTAAAACTGTTAGTACAAATATGCTAAAGGATGTAAAGGATAATATGAACATAAGGATGTTTATGGAACCTCCTTAGAAAAGAACCTTATGGAACTTCTAAACCTAAAAGTTATCCAAAATAAAAAACTTACTAAGTGATCATAATTCAAGATTAAATAGAGTGGATTACAATATCAAAGAATTTGAAGTCAGGCAATAGAAATTATAGAAATCAAAGCACAGATACAGATATAAAAAATACCAAAAAAGTTTTAATAAGCTCAGTGCCCTGTGGGACAATATTATATACATCTATTTTGTGTACAGAAGTAGAAGAGAAAAATATTTTCAGAAATAATGACACAAATTTTCAAAATTTGATGAGAATCATAAAATTGTCTTTTAGATATCTGAAGATATAGGATGGATCCCAACTCAAAATTTTGTTTAAATGTTAAGACTGATGATGCCTCACACATACTACTATGAGATTGTGAAAAGATTTATTACTCACAGAACAAGGCACCTGGGAAGAGGAAGGTAGGTTTCCAAAGCTGGTCTGGAAATGGTTTGGGAGAACAGGGAAGAAAAGGAAGCTGACTTGGGGTTTTAATTGTGTTTAAGAAATGAGGAGAGGTGAAGGTTCACCAAAGAAGGGAACACTGGGCTTTCTTGTCAATTTTACTAGAGGCAGGCAGAAGGAGAAGAGGGACTCCAAGGGATTAAAAGCTGTCAGCACTGAAACTTCAAAAAGTAAAGTCAAACTCTTTATTACAATTCACAAAGCCAAGAAACTTAAGAAAACCCAAGCAGGATAAGCCTAGAGAAGGCCATGCAGAAGCACATTGTAATCATATCTCTATAGAACAATTTGTGAAACAGAACATTTTTAAAAAGCAAGAGAAGAAAGGCACATTATAAACAGAGGGGCAGATATATAAGAATGACTGCAGATTTCTTGTCAGAAGCAATGCAAGATAATATACAATGGACCAAGACCTTTAAAGAATCAAATGAAAGCAAAACCCACCCCAACCCAACCAAAACAAAACAAGCTAAAATTCTCCTTTCAGCAAAAACTTCTTTAAAAAATGAGGGCAGAGGAAGACATAGATCTGTTTTTGGTAATGGCCAAGTAGCATCATACGTAACCAACTTTCCTGTAACTGACAAGTATAAACTCTGAACATAACACAAAAGCACAGATACCTGAAGGCATTGGAGAATTCACAGAAGCACTCAGATTAGGAGGGGTAGTACACAGCCAGTGCAGAGAATTATAATGGAGAGTTGCCATTATTACAGTTTTTACCATGGACCATGGGGAAATCAGATGCAAATGGAAAATGAGAAGAAGAAAAGAGAAGAGAAGAGAGACACAGAAGAAAAGATGTCAGTTAGAAATTCCCCACATTGTATCTGCCCACATCTCTGGCTGAAACACCCAAAGCAGCTCAGCCAAAGAAAAAGAGTATCTCAACTGGGATCAGAGCTAAAGAAAACAAAACAAAACATAGTTTTCAAATTGAGTACAGCTGAGAAAATTTTTTGCTGGAACAAACATGACATATTGAGGGGGAAAAGATAACAGAAATCAGAATTTCTTTTTTTAAAAAAAATCTTATATATATATATATCGTATAAATCATATATAGGTATATATTTTTTAAGACAGAGTCTTGCTCTGTCACCCAGGCTGGAGTGCAGTGGCATGATCTCAGCTCACTGCAAACTCTGCCTCCCAGGTTCAAGCGATTCTCCTGCCTCAGCCTCCCCAGTAGCTGGGACTACAGATGCCCGCCACCACACATAGCTAATTTTTGTATTTTTGATAGAAACAGGATTTCACCATGTTGGCCATGTTGGTCTTGAACTCCCAACCTCAGGTAATCCTTCCGCCTAGGCCTCCTAAAGTGCTGGGATTACAGGCATGAGCCACCGCACCTGTCCAACAATATTTAACTTTAAGGCATTGCCATGAAGTAGGTGGCAATGTCTTAACTGTATGCATGTTGTCAGGCCAAGCGTCCCTTCCAGCATTGTCAAGGGGAGTGCTAACCTTCTCTCCTTTCATATGACACAGAAATCAGATTTTCACAACTCATTAATCATAATACCTAGAATAGTCCCCCCCAGCTAAACTGATGAAGAAATTAAATATAAGATGCAAATTTTAGTAATATCTGCAATGAAAGAGAGGACATCATGAAAAATACTACAGAAATTAAAAAGGATAATAGGAAAATATTACGAGCAATTCTATTCCAATACATTTTTAAAATTATATAAAGTGGAAAAATTTCTTAAAGAACACTAATTTAAAAAACTAACCTAGGAAGAAATAGAAAAAAAATAGACTTCTGTCAATTAAAAAAATCATATTCATAATTAAAAACCTTCTGAAAAAGAAAACTCCTGGCCCAGATGGCATCACTGGTGAATTCTATCCAACATTTAAGAAAGAAATAATTGCTATGCTACAAAAATTATTTCAGAAAATAGAGGAGTAAGAAACACGTCTCAACTAATTTTATGAAGACAGAATTACCCTCTATCAAAACTAGACCAAGGCTTTACAAAAACTAAGAAGTATAGACAAATATGCTTCAAGGACACATACCACATATTACATACTTTAAAGCTTATAAGCTAATTCAGCATGTGCATGTGTCTGTATATATGTAGGTATATAAAATGCCATATCATGGCTAAGGAAATGCAAAGATTTAGCAAGTAAATGAGAAGTTGATTTAGCAGTCAAAAATCAATCAGTGCAATTTACCATGTCAACAGAATTAAGAGAAAATGCATATGGGCATCTCAATAGATGCAAAAAAGTATTTGACACAATCCAATACCAATAGAAAGCAATAAACGAATCAATGGAAAAATCACCACATAAGATGGATGCTGCAATAATAAAAGAAGATGGAATGAAAAACAAAAAAGAATGAAAATGTAAGGTGAAACCAGGACAGTGAGAGGGTGAGAGGCTACGAAAGGGATCCAGAGAAGGTGAGGGAGATCCGGGAGTTGCTCAAGAAGCAAAGAAAAAAGTAAAGAGAAAAAATGTGAGAGTTTAGGAGAGACAGTGAGGCAGGGAGAAGGGAGAAAGATGAAGACTAAGGGAATTAAAGAGGCATCTAAAGGATTTGAAGCCTCTGATCTGAATATCTAAAAGGATTTTTGTTTTTATTTCATATTATAGTATCTAGTGACAACTGCAATTAAAAAAAAAAGCACAATGCTGACTGTTCGCACTTTCTAATATGCAATTTCCCAGGTGTCACTATCTTGATAAAACCTGTCCCGCAGCAGTGTTTCTTGAAGTATGGTCTTCACACACTTGCAGCAGAACCACTTTGGCTGCTATTGTTAATGGGTCAGATGCCCCTGCTTCCACCCCATCTCTCCTGACCCAGAATCCCTGGGGTGGAATCTGGTAATTTCAATGTTAATGTGTATCCCATGGAATCCTGATGCACATGAATGCCTAGAGAAGCAATTTAAACACATAAACACATGCAGAAAATACACAACAACAAATCACTTAATATGGCCTCCTTAAAGGGTTTCTGCAATCCAAGTGAAATGTACCATTTGATCTGTATGCTGCAGACAGATTCTACAGGAAAGGTAAACTCCAATCCTTACTGCATGAACACACTGACTGCCTCAGGTGTCCTCCCATCTTCTAAGCTTACGGCCTTTCCAACTCCTGCATAAATCTAGCCCCTGGTGAGCATTTCTCTCCTGATCTCCTGTAGCACTCATTGCCTGTGTTCCCCCTCCAATCCCCTCAAAAAGTAGGTCCCAGGTGTGGTTGGAGGGTTGTTTGTGTTGCTTTGCTCTCTCCTGACCTGTGTGGAGGCTCCTTCAGCCTTGAAGTTAGCTGTTTTGCTCTGCATTTGCTCACCTCCCCTCAAAATGTAGGGACCCGGGAACAGCTGATTGATTCTGAGAGATAGCAGATCATCGGTAGTCATTGTTAGCTGTTCTGTTTACAGAATCTTGGCTATAGGTCATTCAATTCACCAAGTCTCCCGACCAGGCAGGAGGCTGGCATTTCTCTGAGTCCTCTCTCCTCTGCCCAAGTCACGTAGCTCGTTAATGCTACATATTTTGCAAATCAGTCCTCCATATATCATCTCCACAGAGTTGCCTTTATTTAACTCTCATTGCTTATCATCAGGATAGAAAATTCCACCTATTCTCTCAGCTTTCCCTCCCTCCAAGGTATTCTTCACCAATCCTGTCTGCGCAACTGCTACAAAAGGAATCTTTTGCAAACATCCCTATGGTCATCTCACTCCCTTGCTCACAGTGCGATAAACACTCCACTTATCTGTGTATGGCAGCTGGAGGGTCCCTGCCTGATATGGAGTGTCTTTTTATCCTGACTCCACACCTCCGCGTCATGTACCATGTAGCAATATGGCATCAGGAGCTCAGTTTCAGGAAAAGAAATAAAAAATAAGACCTGAGTTTGAGTCCCACCTCCATTACTTATTAGCTATTTGACTAGAACACATCATTTAATTCTCAAAGCCTCAGTTTATCATATATTAAGTAGGCATAATAATAGTACTTGTGTCATTAAGTGATTTCAATGAGTAATTGAAATAGTGCTTGAAAAGTGCTTAACCTAGCCCAGGCATATAGTAAATGCTGAATAAATACAAGTTATTATTATTATCTCATGCTGTTGTGTCTTTATGCAATTCCTTCTGCTTAGAATGCCCTTCCTATCCTGGCCCACCTAGAAAACTCCTACTCTTTGTTTCTATTCAACTACTATCTGTTCAACTCTTGCCTTCTCTGAACAGCCTAGTGATCATCCACACCATTCGGCATTTTAAGTTCAGTTTTCTCAACCATCTAACTCGCTCCAGTGTTAAGAATGCTAAAATATATGCCTTCCCTGATAAACAAGGGAAAGCCCCCCACCCCCCATATTTATTTCTGTATCTCCAAAAGTTAGGACAGTAATCCTGTGACTTTGCATTTTCAGTCAGTTGGCTGACAGAATGGATGAACAGTTGTTCAATGTCCTTGTCTGTTTACCAAGGGTCATTCCCATCTCTTTGAATATATTTAAAGTAGCATTAAAACACACAAGATATTCAGGGCAGAGGGAAATTAATCATTTATTTCCTTCAAAATACAGCTTAATTGGAGGATTGGGTAAGTAGAGAAATAATAATCCAAGTGAATTTCTTTGTTCCCTGGGGAATGTTCCCTCATCCATACAGATCCCAACCATCCCCCGCAGTGTGTCCCACACAGTAGAGTCTTACATTCGTCTTTATGTTGTGGGAATGATGCTGTTGCCTGAGGATACGTGTGAAAGTGAGACTCATACTTCAATTCCAGATTGGAGGAAGCTGCTATCCAGCTTGTGAAAGCTCTTCTAAAAGATTCTTCTTTTTAATTGGAGCACAGAAAACTATGCTAAGCTTTTCTTATTGTAGGTTTCCTAATATGTTGGACCACGACAATTTTGGGAAATGTGTTTATCACCCAGTTTGGGGCAAAGCATGAGGTTAAAAGACCTATTGTTTGTGACTTGGAAGCACGGTTTTCCCAGGCCTCTGCAAGCAGGCAACCCTCTGAAAACAGTTTTTGTCTATTGCCACACTGCAATCACTTGCTTCATTGTTGAAATTCAGTTTGAGAAGAAAAAAAAAAGAGGAAAGAAAGAACGAAAAGAAAAGGAATTGTCATCTGCAGCTGCAAACTCCAAAATCTTTTGGGGCTCAAGACACATTAGAATTGCTGAAGCCATTAGAAGAGTCTCTTTTCATTGTGATTCGACTTTTTCACCTTCAGTTCACTTCTCAAGTCTGCTCAGATCCATGAGGATTATGCTTTGTGTTATCTAAACCATATCCTAGAATCTATGATTTTTAGCCTTGAAGCAGGTGTTTTTTTTGAGAAATCCAGCACAAGTTTATCGTGTTACTCTACTGATCTCTTCTTTATAACAGTTTTTCATATTTTAGCAAATAACTGGATTTGACATGAATTTTGGAGGCTAATAACTGATATCTCAGCAAAATAAGAATTAGCCAAAATATTTAAATTGCACACCAGATCCTTCTCCTCGCTGTCATGCTAATTGTAGATTTTCCTAATTGAGAATCTGTGGGTGGGTATCTGCCCCGGAAGCCTCCTATGTGTCAAGACATCTGGTTCACTAACCATCACGCTGCCTTTCAGTGGCAACCAACTGCAAACACCACTTCTCCCTGGGACCTACGGCTGTGAGGCAGGCTTGCTTAGATCTGAAGCTGGCTGACTGCGATGTGAGGGAAATGGGCAAAGAAGAGTGCCAGGCTGCTGGCTTTTATGTTTGCAATAGAGTTTGGCTGCGGCAGGGTAGTCCTTCTAAGCACACAGCCTGCGAGTTATGTCATCCCATTGCTTTTTTTTGAATAACAATTTTCAAAAGGAAAATGCTTTGTTGCATGGAATATGCCTGTCAAGTTCAAGAAAAACTGTGTTTGAATAAAGGTGTTCAAAGGCAAACAATCAGTCCTCTCCTGTCCTCACCATTGTGTAGGGAGGGTGCCAGGCTGGGCCACAGACCACAAAACACATTAGGGTGAATGACATTCAGGGAAAAGAAATTCATTGTTATTTAACTAAAATATATTGTCTTGTTTGAGTTAAAAATATAATTTTAAACTCAGATGAAACTGTACTTGTTTCACATTGCTCTACCTACATGACATTATACAAATAATTTAATCTCTTTCCCCATCTTCTCCCACATGCAAATGGGAATGACTTGTCTATTTCAAAGCCATAAGATGGAGAGAGGAGAGAAGGAAAATTTACTTTGTGTCTGACATGCAGGAGTTCCCAAAGAATGGAGCTTTCTCCTGCATTTTGCAGAAGTTTTACCTGAATGAATAAAGAGATCCCTATCACTTAAAAGTAATAGAAAAAAACAAATGGCTTAGGTTAGATTTCTCTGAAATGGCCTAAAGCACACCAGGGCAGAGATTACAGGAAAGTTGAAAATAATGTATTCAACACTGATACAATCAGTGTTTTCCACCCTCTGTTGCTCATCAAATGCAGCAATGGACACTTATTGTTGAAGATAATCCTGAAAAATAATTTAGACAGAAATAACAGAGATATATCGGCATAGAGCTACAGAAACTTAGTCACAAATACTCACCAAACAAACAGATATGCCACCATGTAAGCCTAATACCCTCATAGAATTTAAAGCCCTACTAGCAACTTTGCAAAATTCTTCAGTGAAAGTACTATTTTCCTGATCTCTGTGAGTATTTCAGGCAACTGCTTGGTACAATTTTGTGAAAATAAATTTAAGCAACAGATCACAGGATTGGAGAGATGACCCATGGAAGCTGACACTAAACCCAGCCAATGCCTTGGTTTCATGGACACTATAACATATACTTTGCATCTTCTGGTTCCTTGATTTTGACATCAAGTTCCACACAGTTGCATTTTTCCTTGCCAACCCCCTTCCTCCACCAAAATAAACAGCACCCTTCAACAGATGAATAAAAAATTGTGAACAATACTAGTCAACGTTTAAAATGAACAAAGTAGCACTGTATGAATCAACACCAAAATGTCAAAAACATGTTGCTTTAGAAAAAAGATAGTGGAAAAAAATATGTATGCAATGTGATATCATTTATAAAAAGTTTTCAAATCTAAAAATGGTTTAAAATTTTATCGCGATAACTAGAAATGATTTTAAACACTTGGGTAGGAGTAAGAACACCAAATGCATGCTAATGATTATCTTCATGGGAGAATCAGGAGAGAAGGATTTCATGCAGTACGCAGGGGCCACACCAGCTGTATAATAACTTCCCCCAAAGTCATCTGCAGCAAACATAACATGGCACAGATTGGAAGTTGATAAAGTTGGGAGTGGTACCTAGACACTCACTATTTTAATCTCTTTTTTTGTTTTTTGAGAGGGAGTCTTACTCTGTCACCCAGGCTGGAGTGCAATGGTGTGATCTGGGCTCACTGCAACCTCCGCCTCCCAGGTTCAAGTAATTCTTCTGCCTCAGCCTCCTAAGTAGCTGAGACTATAGGCACGTGCCACCACAGCTGGCTAATTTTTGTATTTTTAGTAGAGACGGTGTTTCACCATGTTAGTCAGGCTGGTCTCGAACTCCTGACCTCATGATCTGCCCGCCTCAGCCTCCCAAAGTGCTGGAATTACAAGCCTGAGCCATTGCGCCTGGCCTTACTCTCTGTTCTTACAAAATGTTTATAATGTTTTATAAACCAAGAAAAAAGATACAAATAATGTAGTTTTAAGACATTGAAAAAGGAAGTTTTACTTTTGGCTGCTACAAGAAATGTGTAAAACTCCTTTCTAGTCCAACCTTCTTGCTGCTGCCTGCCCTGCTGTGATGATGAAACTCTGTGCGTCAATTCTTCTCTGCTAAATTGATTTGGAGGCTGCCCCTCGCCTCCAGAGAGCACATTATCCACTCAAAAGAAACTGGGTAAATGTTTTTGTTGGATTCAAAGCTCTATTGTAGCATGACATTTGGATCCTTTTTGATCTAGCTCAAATCTCCTCTACGAACATAGAGTCCTGCCAGTTGTCAACATCTGTGACCTGCTCAGTCTCTTGGAGCTCCTCACTCATCTTGGACACCTGTCTGCTTTATTCTGAAATCCCCACTGGTAAATTTCTCTACCTAGGGCACCTATCAATGGCAAAACAGTGTTACATGCATCCCTTTTGAAAAGACCAGGCCAGTGGGTCCTTCCATCTCAGGGTGCCCCTAACTGAAGGAACATTTATAGAGCACTTGGTACAGTGTACATGAGGTGTCCGGTTGCTCACCAGTGTACTCTGCTACTTTCCAAGCTGTGAGATCATCGTGGGCATCACCTTGTTTATCCATTTGGTCACATGCTGGCCATATAAGAGCTGATTATAAAATACAGAACAAAGTAATGTTTACTTGTGATATGGCTCATGTTTTGATGACAAAAAGTGATAATTCTAGAGATTCACTAACATGGTTCAATTAAAAAAAGAAAAAGAACACATGTGCTAGAATGCATTACAGCACTCAGAATGACAGCCAACATGTAATGAGTGCTGTAGAAGTGATGGTATTATTGGCCCATGAGCACTACATTGTTATATGCATAAATCTGGTTTGGGAGTGCCTCCCCAGGGCCTTGGAAAGCTTGAGAAGCCCCTGCTCTTTGGTACAATGCCTGAAAATCAACTGACATGTTAGCGGCTGTGTGGGGAGCACAGTGATTCAGAGAGCAGCTTTGGAGGCAAAGCTGGGTGATGCTGGGACATGGCCGATCTTCCCTGCAGTTCAGCTTTGATGGCCCCAGCTGTGATGGCACCTTGAAGAGTTATTCTGAAGAAGAATGAAACAATGTAGGTATAGCCCCCAGCATGGCAACATCACTCATACGTGTGGGACAAATTGGCCAGGCCCCAGCTCAGTGGAATTCCACTAGGCATGTTGGCTGAGAGTGAAGAGAATAGCCCAGCAGTGCTTACCTCCTGTGGACTAGTGTATATTTCTTTTTTTTTTTTTCTTTTTTTGAGATGGAGTTTTGCTCTTGTTGCCCAGGCTGGAGTGCAATGGTGCAATCTCGGCTCACCATGACTTCTGCCTCCCAGGTTCAAACAATTCTCCTGCCTCAGCCTCCCAAGTAGCTGAGATTACAGGCACGTGCCACCACGCCTGGCTAATTTTGTATTTTCAGTAGGCATGGGGTTTCTCCACGTTGGTCAGGCTGTTCTCAAACTCCCGACCTCAGATGATCCCCCCGCTTCGACCTCCCAAAGTGCTGGGATTACAGGCGTGAGCCACCGCACCCTGCCGGCTAGAGTATATTTCTCACTATTGGAAGAGAACGATGGCTTGGTGGAACAGCATCGGGCTTAGATTTAAGGGTCTGGGTTGAAACTCTGGCTGCAACACAAATGTTGAGCCTTTTGTGGAGTCACTTAAACTCTCTTAGTCCCCATTTCTCTGTCAAACGACTATCATAAGACCTACTTCTCAGAGTGACCATGAAGCCTAAAGGAAGTCATATATGTGAAAGCACCCAGAGTGTGCCAATGAATGTATTAGAGTTGACACTTCACACTAGAGTAGCCTTTTTCTGTTGTTTTTTAAATCACTGCTACTACAGACCAGAGAATAGTTATCTATTAGTTGTGTATTTTCTTGCATAGCACTGAGCTAGGAACTGATGAAGCAGAGGCCAACCAAACAGACATGCTCCCTGCTTGTCTGACTTTTCATCTATGTAATAACTTTGAATAACTCCTTAAAATAAATAAAGATAAATGCTCACTCTTATATGGTAAAGAAACTGAGGTATAACAACTTTAAGACAAAGACAAACAATATTTTGACATGTCATGGGGTCTACCAAAGTACCTTGACTATAACATGTATAGAATTAAAGATGCATCAAAACATGCATGAAGAATTCCGAGACAGAAAGAAAAGTTGTCGGCAGTGGGGGGTTTTCTAAAGAGAAATGAGCAGCAGTCTCCCAGGAGCCACACCCTGTCTCTCAGCCATGTTTTATTTATTGAACATGGGACTCTGGCAGGAGGACATGTGTCTTCTCTTTAACCTCAATGAGAGAATGCGGGGAATGGCCCCAAGCAAAGGAGGTCCTGCCCATCCTTGGGCAAGAGTCATATGTGCTTCTCCTCCATCACCCCAAGCCGATGCCTCATTTTCCAAACCAGCCTCCTCTCTACACCCCTGTCCCTACAAATGCTTGACTGGCTAAGAGGATGGATGGGCATTTGGCAGATGAATTCGGGGCTGCTCAGTATACTTGGACTTTGGCCAGTGCTTTGAGATTGAGGTGGGCATAGAAAAGTGTTAGCTGGAAGACAGCTGCAATTCTAAGTTGGGAGAGCACAGGGCAGTGCACTCTCTTTCCTCTGAACTTGTAGCTGAAAGAAGCTCGCTGCTGCCACACACCTGTGACTTTGTGTGAGATGTGAGCTGCCGGTCCCAGGGAGCCCCTCAGAGCTGGTGGGAGCAGAGGCACCCTGCACCCTCACAAAGTTCTCCACAGTTCAGCTGCACCTGGGACTGTGTAGGTGTGTTTTTCTCCTCTTGTTGATTTGGTTACCGAAAAGAGCTTTTGATGGAGACCACATCCTTTTACTGAGTATCAAGAAAGTTTATTAAAAGTAGCTCAGAGAACACAATAAAACCCCCAACTATCTGATTCAATAGTGCTCGCCTGACTTTCCTTTCTCTGTCACCAAGTTATAAACACACCTTCTGTAATCAGCTGTACTTTCCATCTTGAAAGGATATTTCAGAAAGGGAGATAAGACAAACGGGCAATGGCAGATGATAAATCAGAATGTATATTGGATTCTTTTAAAAAGATATGGTAAATTCTCATTCAAAGTATACAAAAGCATGTATTGCTGAGTTACAAATACTGATATGCTTTAACTCGTTCTATGATAACAGCCAGGAATGTATCTAAGATGGCATATAACTTTCAAAGAGTCCTTTCCCTTCCGTGCAAATGTTGTTGCTGAGAGTGTCTGCAGCCTGCATGAACTGGCATGTACTGCCAACAGGTACAGGAGCATTCTAAGCAGAGGGAAGATTTAAGTCTTTAGTCCATCTTGGATTAATTTTTGTATAAGGTGCAAGGAAGGGATCCAGTTTCAGCTTTCTACATATGGCTAGCCAGTTTTCCCAGCACCATTTATTAAATAGGGAATCCTTTCCCCATTTCTTGTTTTTGTCAGGTTTGTCAAAGATCAGATGGTTGTAGATGTGTGGTGTTATTTCTGAGGGCTCTGTCCTGTTCCATTGGTCTATATCTCTGTTTTGGTACCAGTACCGTGCTGTTTTGGTTACTGTAGCCTTGTAGTATAGTTTGAAGTCAGGTAGCGTGATGCCTCCAGCTTTGTTCTTTCGGCTTAGGATTGACTTG
Organism: Homo sapiens; assembly: GCF_000001405.40. Lineage (NCBI taxonomy): Eukaryota > Metazoa > Chordata > Mammalia > Primates > Hominidae > Homo > Homo sapiens. Next base: position 7,566,942 of record NC_000002.12, on the reverse strand, counting down.
GCAATGTGGGCTCTTTTTTGGTTCCATATGAACTTTAAAGTAGTTTTTTCCAATTGGTAGCTTGATGGGGATGGCATTGAATCTATAAATTACCTTGGGCAGTGTGGCCATTTTCACGCAGAGGGAAGAGCATGTGCAAGGGCAGAAAGGAGTGCCCAGTGTGGAGACTCTGCAGCTGAGAGGTTACACACACTCACTTCTCATTTTAGGCTTACAACAGTCAAGGGAGGTTGTAAGGGATATGTAGGTAATGTGGTTTAAGAGGTCAAAGATCAGAAAAATTACACATTGCAAAAGCCACGGCTTGAAAGGCAAAGAGAACAGGAACTCATAGCTTGGACACTTACTAGCCGTGAGGCATTGAGTAAGTGATCAGCCTCAATGTCTCTGTCTTTAGAATGGGCATGATGATGCCCACTTCATAAGACTTGCTTTAAAGATTGCATTAGGAAAAAAATGTAAATCCTAACATCATGTAGCAGATGCTCGAAAAGTGTCCTTTTTCTTCTCTTTTCCCACTTTCTTTTTACCTTCCCGTCACGTTCCAGTCCTGTCTCCTCCATCCACCATTCTTGGTGCTGTTTCTTCCCTCTGTGCTTTCCAGGAAGCCCTTCTGGAGCCTATTTTTGAAAGGGGTGAAATTTCTCCTGGCCCTGAGGCCTCACCTGACTTCTCCCTTTGGCACCCAGGCTGCTCTGCCTCCAAGGCTCCAGCATGTTCTTCCCCAGAGTAGGCTCTGAATTGTACATTTTTATTGTTTCTCAACCTGGTGCTTAATGGAGGTTTAACAAATGTTTGCTGCCGATCATGAAATAGTCTTTTTCAAGCCAGAATTATGGAACAATTACAGTGTCAAAGGGAAGGTTGGCTGCCATTTATGTGAAGGTTAATTGTTAATAGAGCCACCAAAAGAGGACATCTCACTGCTCTGAAGCCAGAAGTGAAGAAAAGGCTCAACATCAGAAATATTTCTCCTTTTTAACAAATCATTTTTAAGAGAAAGACTTTTGAAATACATCGTTCTTTGACACGAGCTAAGACATCAAATACACACAGCTGAGTCACTGAAAATTAATAAAGAGCAGACATGGGCAGAGATACAGATTACATTAGTAAATTACTGAGTTTATGTTCAGCATGTTGCCTTCCAGGTATGATCCCGTATAATCAATAATCTTTGGATGTTCTGCAAAAGAGACATGCTACCGACTGAAAGTCAGTATCCCCTCAAAATTCATAGGTTGAAGCCTTAATCCCTAACGTGATGGTCTTAGGAGGTGGGGCCTGAGAGTGGTGATCAGACCCTGAGGTTGCAGTCCTCATGAATGAGATTAGTGCCCTCAAAAAGAAACACAAAAGAGATGAGCTCTCTGCCAAGTGAGGACACAGCAAGAAGGTGGCCTTCTATAAACCAGATGAAGCCTCACCAGAACCCAACAAGGCTGGCACCCTGACTCCAGACTTCTAGCCTCCAGAACTAGGAGAGGTAAATGTTCTTGAAGCCATCTAGTCTGTGATGTTTGTCACAGCAGTTCATGCTGAGTAAGACAAGACATTATTTCATAAATCCAATGAAAGCTTATGCAAGGTGATACCAGCTGCTACAAAATCATGATTTACAAGGAATTAAATAGCCTAAAAATGAAAGTTTCATTGTATTATCATGGTTTTGTTCTACTGTTAAGAGTAACAAATAACCCCAAGTCCCTGTTACTTAGGAAGCTATGGCAGGAGTATCGCTTGAGCCCAGGTGTTTGAGTTCAGCCTGGGCAATATAACAAGAAAAAGAAATAATCCCCAAAGTTCAGAGGCTGAAACAACAAAGGTTTACCTTTCGCAAAGGTTGTACGTTGGCTGAGGTCAGCTGCTGCTCTGACAGCTATTTTTCCTTCCAAGACCCAGGCTGAAGGAGCAGTTCTTATCTAGGATATGCCCGTCCCCTGGCAGAGGGAACATGGCATGACCAGACGAGATGATGGCTATCACAGCTTCTACATGGCTCTTGACACTTTTGCACATTTATCTAGTTGAAGCATGCCCTGTGGTTGAGCCCATGCGAACGGGACAGGGAAGAATCTTCTTCCCATGGGGAAAGTGTGGTGGGGAGGTCACTGCAAACCACAAAGCAGTGGGCAGATATGATGATTCCACAGAGATGGTGAGTAAAACATTGGAAACAATATTGAATCTTATGGTGATGTTAGAAGTAATAACGTCTCCTGTCAGTTGAGGAGAATCACATGGCATTAAGCTCTACATACGATGACTTTCTCTGCTCCTCTCTGTTGTATATGCCCCAAGAAGACCAGCTAAGAGGATTTTTCTTCTTTGTTTATTTATCCATTTATTTTTAAGACAGGGTCGCCTTGTGCCATGCAGGCTGAAGTACAGTGGTACAATTATGGTTCACTACAGCCTCAGCCACCTGGGCTCAAGCAGTCTGCCCACCTCAGCCTCCTGCATTGCTGGGACTACAGATGCCCACCAACGTGCACACTAGTTTTTTTTTTTTTTTTTTTTTTTTTTTTTTGTAGAAATGGGGTTTTACTATGTTGCCTAGGCTGATCTTAAACTTCTGGCCTCAAGAAATCCTCCCACCTTGACCTCCCAAAGTGTCGAGATTATGGGTATGAACCCAGCATCAGACGCTTTTAACAATTTTCAGGGAAATGTGTGGAGAGCCTGAATGAAAGTATTGGCATAGCACAGATGAGAGAAGGATAGATTTGAAAAATACATAACAACCATAATGATTGAACATAATTTATATGTTATGAAATTGGTAGAGGCCCCCAAAAGAAGTAGAAGTTGTCACCACGGTTTTGGAATTGTTCACTAGCCATTGGACACAGCAGGCTTCATGGGAGTGGGAGTAACAGAGATTCCGCGTTAGTGCAGCCAGCTCATCGATAGTTCTTTACTGGTTAATTTGATTTCTGACCAGCATCTCTATTTACCTGTCTTCCCACAATAATGGAAGATTTCAATAAAGATAGAGATGGCAGTCATTTTGAAATCTGCATTCTCACATTTTTCATTCAGGAGAGAGTGACCATTAACGGACACAGCAGGTGGGGAGGCTCTGAGCACTCACCACCACACAGACACACTTGAACCTCAAGGTGTACTCCAGCAAGTTTGGTGCCAACTCACAGCAATTTAACAGCTGCAGGGAAAATGGCAGCTCTCTTCTTAGAGAACTATGTTTCAAGCTCACCAGAGATACTAATGTCTCAAAGTTAAAATGAGGGGCAGAAATTTGGAGTTTTAAATGGTATGGAAAGTGGTTTTCAAAATTTACTTCCAACAACAATTTAACTTGGCTAAAACAGCAACAAAACAATAATGTAGGTTAGAACTGCAGTCAAGGTTTAAGATGGTAGTTTTTCACCCTTTTTTACCCCCTAATTTTTTCCTTTAATTACAATTTGCTAAGATTTCTTATAAGAATGAAACCTATTGGGATCTAAGAATTTGCTCCAGCAAAAGCCACGTTTTAAATTAATTTCCGTAGAGGAAAGAAGGTCTCTGCATGGGTCATATTAGCCACAGAGGTTAGGATGTGTGAAGGTATTTTAAAACCCCAGAGCTAAAAAAAAACATCCTAGGGAAAAAAAGAGCGTTGTTGGAGGGGGGGCAATGATTTCAATTTCTTCCAGAATAGCAGTAAGGCAAAAACCTACCTAATGGGATTAGATATGGTTTTACAAAACTAAGCAGGTGGACTGAAGTTTATTCCAAAAGCTATCGAAAATGGGTAATTTACTTTAAAAAAAATCTGTCAAGTTCTCCTACATTGGACAGGGCTCTGTGTTAGGTGCTATGGGGGGTTACAAAGATTAAGGTAGATATTCTGCCCTCAAGAGGGAAATAATTTAGTTCAGAAGGCAAAGCATATAAAACAAAAGATCTTCATATCTGGTGGAAGTAGCCAAGTCTCAAGAGCTATTTCTAGGGCTTACGCATTAATTTATTTGTTCATTCCTTAAATATTTTAGGACACCTGCTGGGTCCAAGGCTACACTCGACACCGCTACACTGGGGATGCAGCATAAATAAGTGGGACTCCTCTTCTTACTTGGGAGCATGTGGCGGTACTTGGAGGTAATTGTCAATACAGAGGCATATGTGATATAGTCGTAATGACTACTGACTTAGATTTCCTGGGGTTTACCTTGTTTATAAAATTAAAATTATTTTACTTACTTCAAAGAGCTTGTCTAATGATACAATAAGACTGCATACATGCTATTCAGGCACATTCAAAGCCCCGGGCCATACTGAAAATGGCAGTATGTTACAGGACTCTGGAGGAGAGGGCAACCCTCCCTTCCTATTGGGTCAAAGCAAAGCACCAAGAAAAGAAAAAGAGCATCACGAAAACAGATGGGATTGGAAGGCGTTTCTCCCCTTCATCTCCTTGTAAAGTCCAATTTCATCTATCGAAACCTGCCTTGAGTGTTTCCTATCCTGGGAAAATGTTTCTTCCAAGAATAGTCAATGTCCCCTCCATTTTTCTTCCACTGTACATGTCTACGGTAGCATTGATCATGCCCCATTGCTAGACAGTTAAGCTCTTTCCTGTCCTGTTTGCCTGTAATACTTTGGAGAGAAGAAACCATGCCTTTATATTCTTTGTGTCTCTTTCTTCTAGTTCAACTTAGAGTAATATAATGTTTGTTGAATAAATAATGAAGGAAGCAGACCCTCCCTGAGCTATTAGATACCTGAGGAAAGAAAGGCTCACAGGAGAAATAAACACATTGCTCATTCTGTTTTAGGAAATGCATGCACACCCTTGGCACTGAGTAACACAGGCACACTCTAGGCCCATGGTAGATGTTCTTCAAAGAAGGTGTATATTAAATCAGGTGCGGTCGTAGTTAATTTGTCCTTATCATTGTCAGCATGCTAGTCTCACAAACAAAATGTATCAGGCCATTGTTTTTCTTGAAATTGTTTATATAGGATCAAGCACAAACTCCTTTTCATCTTTTTCAATATCTTTTCCATACTTACTGTGACTTATTTTCACCTGCTTTGTCTGAAGCTCTTCCTATTATTTCTCCAGTTCCTGCAGTCTCCAAAACTCATATATCCTTTCAAATGCAAAATTATGTCATAGGCAAGAAAAGGCATCTCTGCCTTCTCTGTCTTATATGTTACAATTTGGTCTTCAAAATCCACTACAAACAAAAGTCTTAAAATTTTATCCAAGTAGAATTAGCTTCAGATGCTAGAGATTTTGCTTGTCATGTATGACATTGCTTCTTTCAAAGCTAGTTGTATCAATTATGCTATGAATTCTATGAGAAAAACAACAACGACAACATGGTATTGGTTTTTTACTTATTTCAGTGCCTAGTAAAATGCATGACTCATCTTAGATATTCAAAAATGTTAGAAGAAAGAAATGAAAGAGAGGGATGAAAGAAGTAAGGAGGAAGAGAGAAAAATGGAGGGAAGAGAAGAAAGGAAGAACCATTTATAAAGGAAACATGCCATGAATCTTTGATAATAACACACACACTGGTGTAATTTTATTACATTACCTGTTAGGTTCTGAACCCCTGCTATATGCCAGGCACTGTTCTAGAAATTTTACAAGTATTATCCCATTCACTACACACATATCTCTTAAAATATTTGTAAGTTGAACATTTACATCTCCATATACTTTTCATAAAACTTAAGGACTCTGTCTAACTCAACTGGCAGAGAAGTTTTGAGGATTGAGTTACTATAATGAATTGGTTACTATATGTCTTTTCATTTCTATCAGCTCCTGTATAGGTCTTTTACAGTTAAACTACATAACCATTAAATATATGTTGACTAAATGCTCAATATAAGCAACACTACATTGAGTCCCCAAGGGAGACAGAGAAATGGTTACATGTTTGTTAGGATTCAGTTTGCCCATGTGTTTTATTCTGAGGTTTCCAATGGTCCCAGCAATGTGAGCAAGTTTGTAAGGTTGCCACTCTGTAATTATATGTTTGCCCATTCAGTTAATTATTGCTGTGGTTACTATAACCATTTCTGGAAGTGAAACTGCTTTCTAAAAAGTGTGAACATTTTAAAATTTTTATATATAAATTGAAATTGTCCTCCATAAAACTTTTACCCACACCAAGTGGATAATAAGTTTCTGCACACTCACAAACCCTTAGCATTTTCAGTTTAATGATAATGATAAATTTATGATTAACCTGAGATGATTATTTTCTAATCAGTGGCTAATGATTATAAGTCATTGTATTTTTATGCATGTAATTTGAAGAATCTTTTAGTTTTTAAAAATGGATATATACTAGTTGTACATATTTGGGGCATACATGCGGTAGTGGAATATCTATCTGAATAAAATCCGTAATGACCAAATCAGGGTGACTGGTATATTCATTACCTCAAACATTTATCTTTTCTTTCTGTTGGGACTATTCCAATTTTTCTATTCTGGAGGTTTTGAAATACACAATAAATTATTGTTAACTATAGTCACCCTACTATACTATTGATACTAGAACATATTCCTTCTATCTGACTGTATTTTGTATCCCTTAACACATTTTTCTTAATCTCCCCCTCCACCCTACCCTTTCCAGCCTCTTGTAACCATCTTTCTACTCTCTACTTCCATGAGACCCATTTTTTAGCTCCTGCATATAAGTGAGAGCATGTCATGATTGTCTTTCTGTGCTTGGCTTATTTCATTTAACCTGATGACTTTGAGTTCCATCCATGTTGTTGCAAATGGCAAGGATTTCATTGTTTTTAATGGCTGAATAATATCCCATTGTGTATATATATACTCCATTTTCTTTATCTGTTCATTTGTTGATGGACACTTAGGTTGGTTTCATGTCTTGGCTATTGCGTAGTGTTGCAATAAATAGGAGAGTGTTCCTGTCTTTTTGACATACTGATTTCCTCTTTTTTCTTTTTTGGATATATACCCAGGAGTGGGATGGCTGTATTATATGGTAGCTCTATTTTTAGTGTTTTTGAGGAACTTCCACACTGCTCACCATAGTGGCTGCACTTTTCATTTCCATCAACAGTGTATGAGCATTCCCCTTTCTCCATATTCTTGCCAACATCCATTATTTTTTGTCCTTCTTATAATAACCATTTTAACATGTGTGAGATAATATCTTGTTGTGGTTTTTATTTGCATTTCCCTGATGATTAGAGGTGTTGAGCCTTTTTTCATATGCCTGTTGGTCATTAGTATGTGTTTTTTTAGAAAATATCTATTCAGGTCTCTCACCCACATTCAAATCATTTTTGTGTGTGTGTGCTATTGAGTTGTTTGAGTTCCTTATATATTCTGGCAATTAATCCCTTGTCATATGGATAGTTTTTAATTATTTTCTCCCATTCCATACATTGTCTCTTCTATTTGTACGTTATTTTATTTGCTGTGCAGAAGCATTTTAGCTTGATGTAATCCCATTTGTCTATTTGAAGAACTTTTTTATATCTGTTGAGCATTTGTGTTTCTCATTGTGAATTATATTTTATATGCTTTGTCTATATTTATATTATTGTATTTCTGTTTTCTATCATACATTTTGGATTTTTTGATCTGCACTTTGCAATTTTCTTCACAGCTTGCTATTTAACTTTGTTTATAGTATTTTTGACATATAGATGAATTTTAAAAAATGTAATCAGTTCTATCACTCTGCATTTGGTGTTATGTTTACAAATGATAAATCAATTTAATTTTAGATTCAATGATAGAAAAAGCTATACCAGGGAAGAATTATGAAATATTTTATTTTGAGATAAAATCTTTAACCATTTTCATATGTCAGCAAGTGACAAGGTATATTGATTTGAAGGTGCTCATAAAAAGATAAAATAGTGAGAGAGACCATACTGAATAACAAAGCTTATTCGAGGTTATTCCCTAAACTTCAGACTGAAAAGCAACAAATCCAGTTACTCCAAATTTTTCTGACCCTTAACTGTACTTGGGCACTTTGACCTTTGTCTGGGAAAACATCATATTTGAGCATATTAAGATGGACATTTCCAAATAACTCAATGTATTTAGATAAAATGCCTTCTGCTAGCAACTTCAACAACAGATCACGTGGAACTAGAAGTTTGGAAACTCAGCAGTAGTTTTGACTTTGTTTAATGTTAGGCCTCAGATTATTTTATTTCTCAACAAAGAGGTAAAAACCTAAGTGTACCTGGGATCTGAATCTGTGAACTTTCCAAAATTGATATTTTAGATCATTTTAAATACACATAGAATGCAACTATAAATTTTTTGTGGCCTGGGAGAATGAAGAGAATTGGTTATTCTCCCTCAGCTTATCTCCCTCAGCTTATCTCCACCCCTGCCTGAGGACATTGCTCTGTGTGGAGTGTGTGGGTAGGTGGAAGACAAGAGTTTGGAGCCAGAATTATTTGAAACTTACTTCTGCCTCTTGTGACTTTGGGAAGTTGCCTAAACTTTACTTTGATCCTCTCTGTTAGTGGAAGCTAAGATATTGCCCTAGTAAGGTTAACAGAAATGTCAGGTGCTGAGCAATTGGCAGATCCTAAGTAGATCCTGCACCTAGAGGTGTGGCCTTGTACAAACAAAAGGAACATGGCCCCCTGCTTACTCTGCCTTCTCAGCCCCAGGTTTAGACCTATAACTCTAGTAAAATGATACCTATCTTGTAGGAATGCTTTGAGGAATAAATGACATACGTACATTTGTCACAAATCCCAAGGGACTGTAAGTCCTACTAGGCTATGCTACTGCATTGCCCTTAAGTAATTAGCTTTGTCACTCAGCAAGACAACAATTTCAAACTTCTACTCTCTACTGTAACCTTCAGCAATTATTTGTACCCTCTTCACACCCAAGTAATAACCTCACTTCTCATTTCACTGATGAAGCTGAAATAATTAAATGAGAATAGTATCATTTTTCTGACATTTAGAGTACCAGTATACAGGCACTGCCCCCCATGCTTTTACTGCCCCACTTTTTACCATGAATGACCTTTTCTTACCCCTATCTGAAGACAACACTTCTAAATTTTCACTAGATCTGATTCAAAGGTACCTCAAAGCTTTGCTTTTTTATTCCTCTCCCTCTCTTATTCAATTACTATTTCCTTCTCTTCTTCATCACTATTTCCCTTTCTAATGGATATTCCCATCAACATTCTTAGTGCTAAGGGTGCACACACACACACACACACACACCCCTTGCATTACCCAACACCTTCTCTAGCTAAGATGCCTTTGCAATTCTCTACTTACATTTACAATGAAATTCCTGGAATGGGCTGTGTATAAACTCTCTGCATTTTCCACCTACACAGAAACCATCCTAGTAAAGGCTACAAGTGACTAATAGTGCAAGCTACTATCATGTCTGGGGCTGGACATAGGCAACAGCTTCCTACAGGTCTGCATGATTTTATGTTGGGCTTCTGAAGTCTGTACTCTAAAGACCAGTAGATGATATTTTCCTTTTTAAAAGTTCTAAATTTTGGTAAAATATACCTAACATAAAATTCACTATCTTAGCCTTTTAAGTGTGCAGTTCAGTGGCATTAAGTACATTCACATTGTTGTGCAACATCACCACCATCCATCTCTACTTCTTCACCATCCTGAACTGACACTATGCAACCTTTAAATAACTCTCCTTTTTCTCTTCCGCCAGCACTTGTCTACCTCTCTTTCTATGAAATTGACTCTTCCAGGTACAGCATGTAAGTGGAAACACAGTTTGTCTTTGTGTGATGGTTTTCTTTTGTTTTTTACTTAGCACAATGTCCTCATTCCTGCTCAGCACATGTCAGAATTTTCCTCTCTTGTAAGGCTAAATATTTCATTGTATGCATATACAACATTTTGCTTATCATTAATTCATCAGTGGACACTTAGCTGCTTCCCCCTTTTGACTATAGTGAGTCATGCTGCTATGAACATGTACAAATATCTCTTTGAGACATTGTTTTTTATTCTTTTGTGTATACATCCAGAAGCGGATTGCTGGATCATGTGGTAATTCTATTTTAAATTTTTGAGAAACTGCTTTTTGTTTTCCATAGTAGCTGCATCATTTTACATTCCTACCAATAGTGCATAAATCCTTGTTCCAGTTTCTTCACATCCTTGCCAACAGCAAATGATCTTTATAAGAGGGAATTGATCAAAGCACTTTCCTGCTAAAAATAATTCATATATATATATACATGTGTTTCTATTTTTCCTACAATGTACCATAAGGACTGATACGGTTTGACTGTGACCCTACCCAAATCTCACCTTGAATTGTAATAATCCCCACATGTCAAGCGGGAGGGGCACGTGGAAATAATTGAATCATGGGGATGGTTTCCTTCATACTGTTCTCATGGTAGTGAATAAGTCTCAGCAGATCTGATGGTTTTATAAATGTTCCTCTGCACAAGCTCTCTTTCCTGTCGCCATGTAAGACATGATTTTGTTCCTTATTTGCCTTCCATCATGACTGTGAGGCCTCCCCAGCCATGTGGAACTGTGAGTCCATTAAACCTCTTTCCTTTATAAATTACCCAACCTCGGGTATGTCTTTATTAACAGCATGAGAATGGACTAATATAAGAAACTATACAGTGTGACCTTTGCTTACATCTCCACCCTGAGTCCCATGCACTCCCTCCCTTTTCTTTTTCACCATACGTGAGCCACGGTCGTCTTGCTTATCAACTTTAAACACCCTGTCTCCTGACTCACTATGCACTTGCTATAATCTCTGGGTGATGCCCTTTCCAAAATTCTTCAATTCCTAAGGCTTCAGGTAAAAGGTTTCACTTCTTTCTAAAACATTAGCCCTTACTCTTACAGTGTTTTATTTTCTTTTTGATAATATTCTAGTATCAGAAAATACTTATTTTATGAAAGATTCTGTATTGACTGACTTCATTAAATGAATGCTTCATGGGAGTAGGAATATATTCTACCTAATACACCACTGTATTTTCTACTCTTAGAACAGTGCTTGGCCTAGAGTAGACACTCAGTAAATACATGTTGCATGTTGAAAAATGCATGTAAGAAATTTACTTTCACCATGTCTTTAGGAAGGTAAATAATACATGATAGCCATTTTAAAGAAGAAGGAAATGATAATTATTCGAGCTATTCACACCCTTCCATGTTTTTGGAAGACCAAGAGAGATGCAATCATGATGAAAAATTGCCATGTCTCAACCTCTGCTCTGAATTTATAGGGGAAATAAAGCCAAGAAAACACAAAATAAGAATAAAATTTCACTGGAACTATGCAACTCCCATTCAGATTAATTGGAAGTAAGCACAGGATCTGAAATAGATGGGGGTTTACAACGTTGAAAAGCTTACAGTAGCTTTTGAATGGTCATCACCAAGGAAGACAGACTCCAACTCAGCCATGGGCTGAAGCAGGTCTGTGTGTGGCCGATTCCTCCTCGCAGCGCCGGGCCGATGTGCAGGAGGGCTGCAAAATGAAGCCCAGCCAGGTGGAGGCTGCCAAAGTTCGGGGCACATCCCAGGGAACAGCCTGGTAGCAGTGATGCCATAAATCACTTCCGGGCCCATGCAGGTGCAGGCGAGGCAATTTGATTCTGATCGCTTTTCTTTCTAATAGTTAGTAAACAAAGTCATAAAATTAAGGAGCTGGAATAACCTGAAATGCTAATGCAAAATTAAGCAGTGACATGCTCCTGTCCTTGTCCTACCCCCTTTTTATATTCAAAATCGGCTTGAAAACATCTTGTCCACACAAAAACCACAAAGGCAGTCCAAGAATACATCACACTGATTAAAGAGAGAGCCAAAGGAAGAGGGGAAAATCAGCTCGCCCTAGCTCATTAGCGAGGAAGGATGAGCCGCACGAACCTGACAGGAGTCGTTACCACTCCTGCCCGACAGTCATTTTCATTAACTTTTAAATTTCTTATTTATATGGAAAAGTTAAGATGGTTCAGTGAAATAACAAAATTCCCCACCTACATGGAGAACTTGATTTCTTAAAGCCTACTTGCTTCTCATTCAACGTTAGCTGCCATGCTGCCTGTGCTTCAGCTGCTGGCAGAAGGTTCCGATGACCCTCTTGGCAGCTTCTCCACTGGCTACTTGTCGCCCCACGATTCTAGCAGCAATTCAACTGACCACGCTCTCTTTGAACTCCTACTAATATGCAAGTCAGGTTTCCTGGGTATGTGGTATGCAAAGACCCCTAAGGCCCTGTGATGATTTTATACAAGGAAATCCTGGAGATAAACATGTGATATGTCAGAAAAAACTAATAAATAGACATCCATGTGTTTTCTTCTCTTCTTTCCCAAATCTCTAATGGAGGTCTGTGTACTTGGTTACTGAGGCTCTTGTCGTAATGACAAAAAGTTTTCTAGGCCGGGCGCGGTGGCTCATGCCTGTAATCCCAGCACTTTGGGAGGCTGAGGTGGGCGGATCAGGAGGTCAGGAGATCGAGACCATCCTGGCTAATACGGTGAAACCCCGTCTCTACTAAAAATACAAAAAAAAAATTAGCCGGGCGAGGTGGCGGGCGCTTGTAGTCCCAGCTACTCAGAAGCTGAGGCAGGAGAATGGCGTGAACCCGGGAGTCGGAGCTTGCAGTGAGCCTAGATTGTGCCACTGCACTCTAGCCTAGACGACAGAGCGAGACTCCATCTCAAAAAAAAAAAAAAAAAAAAAAAAAAAAAAAAAAAGTTTTCTTTCCAGCCTTCCCCTCATAACCAAGAAGAAAAAGAAAAGAAAAAGCTGATGAGACTGGGTTGATTTAAAATAAAATAAAGAGATGTTTATTCAAGTCATCGTTGTATGTTTACCCCCCTGGAAACTGCCCTTCTGCCTGAAACACAGAACAGTCATCAATGAGAGATGGAAGTGTCACTCTGAGTCCATAGAACCTGGAGGCAAAAGATGCCCCCATCATCTTCTCAGAGGAAAAAAGGGATATATTGCATCTATGAGAAGTGAATTTTCTGCATCCACAAATTTAGAAGTGGATGATATTTAAACTTTAAACAACCAAGAATAAGAAATAACATACACACATATTTCAATCTCAGTGGAAGATAATAGAGTGGACGTCTAACAAGTAAAACAACAATGACAAATACAAATGGAGACAACAGGGAGAACAGACGAGCGAATGCTAAGATTAATTACCAAGCCAAGGGGAAGAGGCTGTATCAAACTTTTGCTTTTGAACAGAACATAGTAGCTTGGAGGCCAACACTCCCATGGGAAAACACTAAAGAAGTACAAGTTTATTTTAAAAAAATAAAACTACTTAGAGGCATCAGAGAACTACTGAAGAAAAAAGACAAGGGAGAGGAAGAGAAATTTCAGAGGGATAAACCCAAAGCAGTAAACTGACATCCTAAAGCCACTTTCCTTCTGAGGGAATTTCTTTGCTGATTCTGGACACAAGGCAAGAGCTGGGAATCCAAGTTCCGGCCAGCAGTGGATCACAGCTGCTCAGGATACAAGATCAGGAGCAGTCTTGGTGGTCCTGTGGGGCTCAGGGACATAGGATTAAGAGGATAAAGTGGTCATGTGGAGCTGGAGAGAAAAACTAAAGACTGAAAGTGAAAGATTGTGATGAGAAGAAAGTGATTGAGAGGTGAGAAAGACATGCAGCCAGTTTTCCCATGAAGCTCGTCACTGAATTGTGAAGCGTCTTGGGGTAGGAAACTAAGAAACTAAGCTGGAAGATTATGAAAGCTCTCTAAGTGCTGATAAGGCAAGGATTAGGCTTCAACATCCACCCATGGTCAGGGCCTTGGCAGATACACAAAGGTTCTCAATGGAAAGTCCTGGAGAACTTTGCGTTAAGAGTCTTGCCTTAGATATCGTATAGTACATTAAAAATGCAAGTACAAAGTGGAGCTAAACAGATCCTTACAGAAATTGAAACCTAGCCTACTCTCTAACTGGGTTAGGATGATCAACCCTGATTTTTTGTGTCTGGTATAAAAATGTGGTGACTCTTTTGTGGTGGAGAGTTTATATCACCTGGAGCCTGTATCATTTTTTAAAAAATACACAATGTCTAGCATTCAGTAAAAATATACTAGGTATTTCAAAACATAAAATTAATGATGTTTCTAAAGTACAAGACACAGCAAAAGCAAATCATTATGTATTGCCGATATTAGAGAAATTGTAGATCTACATACAAAACACATTAAATAAAATAAAATTTGATTTATACCTTCCAGCATGTAAAAACTTAACTCCAAATGCATTATACATATAAATGTCAAACTTTAATCCATCAAACATCAAGAAAAAATAGGAGAAAAATTTTGCGACCTTAGTTAGGCAAAATTTTCTTGGACCTGACACCAAAAGCGTGATCCATGAAAATAAAAGTAAATTTATAAATAGTGCTTCAGTAAAATTAAGAGCTGCACAGACTAAAGAAAAATATTTGTAAATCATGCATCAGATCCAGGAAAAGTATCCAGGATACAGAAAGAATGGTATATAATTTAATAATGATAAACAATACAATACAAAAAAAAAAATGGGCAAAAGATTTTAATACCTAGTTCAAAGACATAAAGATGTCAAATGCATTCAAGGATGTTAAACAGAATTGATTGTTAAGAAAATGCAAATTAAAATCATAACAATATACTTACACACACCTGTTAATATATCTACAATTAAAAAGACCACACCAAATGATGAAAATGCAGAGCAACTGGAATTTTCATTCACTGCTGCAAACAAAATGGTTTAACAACCCTGGGTAACAGTTAACAGTTTCTTTAAAAACCAAATATATACCCACCACTTGACTGAGCCATTCTACTCCTAGGTATTTATCCAAGACAAATGAAAACATGTCCACAAAAAGACTTGTATGTGGATATTCATAGTTTTATTTGTAACAGCCCAAAACTGAAAACAAGACAATGGCTATATTAACAAGTGAATGGCTAAGCAAATTGTGGTATATTTATACAATGTGACGATATTAAGAAATAAAAAGGAAATAATTAGTGATAGATGCAACAAAATGGATTAATCTCAAAATTAGTATTCTGAGTGAAAGAAGTCAAAGAAAGAGGGCATATTCTATATTTCTGTTGTATAATATCTAAACAATGCAAACTAATCCTCAGTGAAAGAATTTAGATTCATAGTTCCCTGGAGAGGGGGTTGAAGAGGGGTGGTATGGGGGATAAATTGTAAAAAGGCTTAAGTAAACTTTTGGAAATGATGGATCTACTCATTATACTGATAATGGTGATGGTTTCACAAGTATATTAATATACGGAAAATATAAAAATCACATACTTTACATTTTGTTCGATTATATACTAATGAAATTGTTAAAATAAGTACAATGTTTTAAGGTGGGGAAATAGAATATATAAACAACATAATTAAGAAACAGAAAGACAAACATCACATGTTCTTACTTATTTGTGGGATCTAAAAATCAAAACAATTGAATTCATGGACACAGACAGTGGAAGGATGGTTATCAGACGATGGGAAGGCACTGTCGGGGTGGGGAGGTGGAAATGGTTAATGGGTTAAAAAACGTCAGAAAGAATAAATAAGACCTAATATTTGATAGCACAACAGGGTGACTACAGTCAATACTAACTTAGTTGAACATTTTTAAATGACTTAAAGAGTATAATTGAATTATTTGTAATTCAAAGGATAAATGCTTGAAGAGATGGATACCCCATTCTCCATGATGTGCCTATTTCACATTGCATACCTGTATCAAAACATCTCATGTGTCCCATAAATATGAACACCTACTACGTACCCACAAGTGTTTAAAATAAAAAGATAAAAAATAAATCAACAATCTAACGAGCATATACAAGATGTGACACGTTTCTCCCAGTTTTGAAATTAATTATAAGTTAATTATGTTACTATTAATCATGAATTTAACATTACTATCTAGCTGCTTTTCTGAAAATTAAGCTCTTCAAGTCTTTCCTCTGAATATTTTAATCTTTCACTTCTCTCATTTCTCATTTTTACTATATCTGCTGTTTTTATCACAATAATTCTAAACACTTTCACCTCTGCCACATCATCATCCTTGAGTGAGATTCTCTTTCCTCTACCATCCATCTGGAGCTGGGATCAGCTGTTTCCACGGTTTGCTAAACAATCTTTCCTACCAAAAGCCATGCTCTCACCTGGGATTTTCTGTTCTAAGGTTGCCATCATGGACGGCTCATTCTGCTTGCATGATAGATACAGCCACTTCTTCTTGCAGTGCTCTAGTATCTTGGCTTTTGAGCTTTAAGACAGTTCTCATCTCATTTTGAATCTTTCATGGTGGAATCCTTCATGGATTCCTCTCTGAGTTACCCTATATGTCAGTATTCCCTTTGCTTCAGAGGTTGGCCTTCTGACCTTTTTCTTCAATGCTTATTTTTTGTTATTTTATGTAGCCTCAGGCTATTAGGGGCTACGTTAATAATCCCCAAATGCACATATCCAGCACAGGTCTCAGCCCTAGAGTTCAAATTAATAAATTCATCTCTGCTAGATATTTTCACCTGGAGCTATCAAATGCACATAAAATTCAACTCAATACACCAAATATACAAACATATTTTTTATTACCAAACATGCTCCTCCTTTGGTCTCTTTCATTTAGTATCTGGTCTGCTATGCCTAAGAGAGAAATTAGGCATTCACTCTTGACTTCTCCAATCTCTCAGTTTTCACATCAAACCAATTATCAAGTCATCTTAACCTGTCCTATTCTCAAGTAATAACTTGGTTTCTCTTCTATTAATTTCTACACCTAGAAGCAAATGCTTTCACAGAGAAAGTATAATAGAACATCAAGCTCACTAAAAAGTGATTCATTTTCCTATAGTCTATAGTTTCGGAACTTCTTACTGCCATGGTACTTAATACAAGTCTTTTGTTTTCACGCTGTGAGGCAGCAAAAGACTCATCTCAATTTTCCAAACACTTGGATAGTACATTCTTCTCAGTTTATTAGCCTACAAGCCCCAGATAAAACCTACAGTAGCCAAATGTATCATCTCAAGGGGGAGGATGTTGCAAAATGTTAAGCTAACTTATATAAGTTCTACAATAATAGTTGGAGACTTCAATTAGCTACCTTGAATGATAGACAGAATATCTAGACAGATCAATAAGAAAATAGACGAATTTAACAGGACTGTAAACCAGCTAGAACTAACAGAAATATAACACTGTACCCTATGTCAGCAGGATACACATTTTTCTCAAGTGGACATGGAACATTCTCTAGGGTAGGCCATTTATTAGGCTATAAAACAATTCTTAATATAAGTAAAAAGGTTAGAATGATATAAAATATCTTTCCTGACTATAATTGAATAAAGCTAGATATTAATAAAAGAAGAAAAACTAAAACTTCACAAATATGTGGAAATTAAATGGTGCACTCTTAAGTAAAATATTAAAGAGAAATCCCAAGAGAAATAGAGAAATATTAGAGACAAATGAAAACAAAACCAAAACATACTAAGTTTTATAAGATGTAGTGAAGGAAGTGCTCAGAAACTCATAGCTATAAATATGCACGTCTGTACTATAAAAGATGAAATATCTCAAATCAGCAACCTAACTTTACACCTTAGGGAACCTAAAAACCAAAAAGCAAAACATAGCCACAGATAGCAGAATAAATGAAATAATAAGGATGAAGGTGGAAATAAATGAAATAAAGAATAGAAAAACAATAAAGAAATCAACAAAACCAAAAGCTGGATCCTTGAAAATACAACAAAACAGAAAAATCTCTAACTAGACTGACAAAGAATAAATAAACAAATAAAATAGAAGACATAAATAACCAAAATTGTAAAAGAAAGTGGAGACATTACTACTGATCTTACAGAAATAATAATGATTATGGAAGAATACTATAAACAATTGAATGTCAAAAAATTCTACCATCTAGACAAGGTGGACAAATTTGAAAAAACGTTCAAATTACCTACAATAATTCAAGAATAAACAGAAAATCTCACAGGCTTGTAACAAGTAAGGAGATTGAATCAGTAATCAAAAATATCCTGACAAAGAAAAGTCCAGGACAAAATGACTTCGTTTGTAAGTTCTTTCAGACATTAAAATACAAATAACATTGATGCTTCTCAAACTCTTTCAAAATATAGAAAATGAATGAATACTTCCAATCTCATTCTATGAGAAAAAAATTATCCTGATACCAAAGCCAGGTAAAAAAATCATAGGCCAGAAAAGTATAGATCATTACCCCTTAGTAATACAGATATAAAAATCCTTAACAAAATACTTGCAAATGAAATGCAATAGCATATTAAAAGGGTTATATATCATGATCAGGTGAGTTTTATTTCAGGAATGCAAAGGTGGTTTAACATAAGAAAGTTAATCAATGTAATACATCACAATAATAGAACAAAGAAACAAAAAGCGAAACACAATCATTTCAATTGACACTGAAAAGTCATTTGACAAAATCTAATATCCTTCCATGATAGAAAAACAGTCAGAAAAGTAGGAATAGAAGTGAACTTCCTCAATAAGATAAACGACATTTGTGGAGAAATGCAGACAACTTCATACTCAGCAGTGAAAGACTGAAGCTCCCACAGCGAGAACAAGACAAGGATGAAGGCTTTCATCTCTCCTATCCAACCTGGTACCTAAGTTCTAGTCGGAGCAATTAGACAAGAAACATAGATATGAGGCATGAGAATTAGAACAGATAAGGTAAAAATATCTCTGTCTGCAAAGGACTTGATCCTACATTTAGAAAATTCCGAAGAATACACAAGAAATAAATTAGAATTCATAAACGTATTAATTAAATAACAAAGTTGCAGCATACAAAATAAATAGGCAAAAATCAGCTACATTTTTATATTCCTGAAAACAATTGAAAAGAAAATTAAAAAAACAATTCCACTTACAATAGCATCTAAAGGAATAAAATACCTAGAAATAACCTTAACCAGGGAGGTGGAAGAGTTGTACGTTGAAAACTACAAAACATTGCTGAAAGAAATTAAGAAGCTAAATAAATGGAAAAACATCCATATTCATGTATTGGAAGACTTCATATTGTTAAGATGGTATTTCTAGTTCTAGATCCTTGAGGAATCGCCACACTGTCTTCCACAATGGTTGAACTAATTTACAGTCCCACCAACAGTGTAAAAGTGTTCCTATTTCTCCACATCCTCTCCAGCACCTGTTGTTTCCTGACTTGTTAATGATCGCCATTCTAACTGGTGTGAGATGGTATCTCTTTGTGGTTTTGATTTGCATTTCTCTGATGGCCAGTGATGATGAGCATTTTTTCATGTCTGTTAGCTGGTATAGATATGTAACAAACCTGCATGTTGTACACATGTATGCTGGAACTTAAAGTATAATAAAAAAATATATCTATATATAGTTAAGATCTTAACTATGACATCTTAACTATATATATTATTAATTATATATATAACATATATACATATATACAAACATATACATATATAATATATACATATATATAATATATATTAACTATATATATATAGTAAAGATGTCATTACTAGCCAAAGTGATCTAAAATTCAACAGAATCCCTATGAAAATTCTAAGTCTGTTTTACAGAAATGGGAAAGCCAATCCTCAAATTCATATGGAATCTCAAGAGACTGCCAATAGCCAAACAATCCTCAAAAAGAACCAAGTGGGAGGACTCACACTTTCCAATTTCAAGACTTATTAAGAATTTGCAATAATCAAAACAATGTGGTCCTGGTACATGGATAGAAATATAGACTAATGGGAATAGAACTGAAAGTCCATGAACACATACACCTGTGACCAATTGATTTTTGATAAGGGTGCCAAGTCCATACAATGGGTAAAGAATATTCTCTTCAGCAAGAAGCATTAGAATAAGTGGAATTCCACATGCAAAAACAAAGTTGGACCCTCTCCTCCCTTCACATACAAAATTAACTCAAAGTAGATCAGTGACCTTAAGTATAAGAGCTAAAAGTATAAAACTCTTAGAAGAAAATGTAGGGGTAAATCTTCATAATCTTGGATTTGGCAATGGATTCTTATCTATAACACCAAAAGCATAAGCAACAAAAGAAAAAAACAGATAACTTGGATTTCATGAAAATTAAAAACTTTTGTGCTCCCAATAACGCTAGTATAAAAGTTAAAAGACCATCATGGCAATCAAGCCATGAAAAGATGTCAAGGAACCTTAAATCCACATCACTAGGTGAACGAAGTCAGTCTGAAAAGCTATACTGTATGATTTCAATTGTATGACGTTCTGGAAAAGGCAAAACTAGAGCCTGTAAAAGGATTGCTTGTCATCAAGTGTTGAGTGGATGAATGCAAGACCTTTTTCTTGCAGTGAAAATACTCTGTAAGATGCAGAAATGCTAGCCACATGATATCATAGAATTTGGCAAACACATGGAATATGCAACACAAAAAGGGGGCCTTGATGTAAAATACAAACTAACTAATAATCATGTATTGATACTAGTTCATCAAGTGTAAGAAATATAACATGCCAATGCAAGATGTTAATAATAGGGAAAATTGTGGGGAGGGGAGAGGATGGAGTGTATGAAAACTCTCTGTTTTTCCTATTTAGTTTTTCTCTAAACCTAAAACTACTCTAAGAAATAATGTAAATCTCTAAAACAACAAACAAACAAACAAAAAACAAAAAACAGCGAGTGACCTGAAGAACTATTAACCTGATGGTAATAATTCTTTCTTTGAGGTTGTTTGAAGTGACCCTGTGGGAGTCCCTTTGGGGAATGAGAAGGTGGGCCTCTGTCACCTTCTTTATTGGTTAGAAAAGCATAATGATTTGGGTCTTATCTTTCTTAAAATGTTAGCATTATGCCTAATTATGAGCTCTTTGTGATTTTTACTGTGCCTTTTTCTTCTTCAAAGTTTGATACTACTATAATTGCTAAGAATGTCAAAATGAGGTAAAAACAATGAAATACAGAGCCAATCAAATCAGAATGGTCTTTATCCAAACTCTATCTGCATTTTTGCCTCTTGCATTTACTCATATTATTGACTGTTATGTTTTATGTGCTTACTATAAAACTAATTTTGATCAAATATTTTGTTTTGCTTGTTTTTGATGTGGTGGCTTGATCTCTGATTTTATCCACTGTTTCCATTGAAATGATCCAAAACTCTGCTTCTGATTACACTATATAATTGTAGCCCAGCAAGTTATTTTGTCAATAGGGATTTTTGCTTCAATGAAGATTTATGTTTTCCTAGTAAAAGTCATTATAATGGAAAAGTTACGTTGTTCTTGGTGATCCATGTGGATTTGTAAGATTGGGGATAAAGTTATGGAATAATGGTCTCTTTTATGGGTGGATTGTTTACAATTGTTTAAACATTGCATGATATAAAAAATGTTCCATGTTTTAGCTAAACCTCCTTTAATAAAAACACCTCCTTTAATAAAAACTAGCAAGTTCACTGTTGCTGAATACAAACATGCAAATATCTGCAACAGAAGATGTTTCTCTATATGATATATGTCATCTGTGATTCAGCCATACATAAAAGGGAGAGCATATGAAATCTTTGTTTTATAAATCACTATGATTTCCTTAAAAAAAGCCAATGAATTTAACAAATATTTATTGAATGCCTACTTAATGCCGGGCACTATTTTAGGCATGGGAAATAGAATATACATAGTCATTCTAGTCATTCATAGTTATTCATAGCCACTACCCTCTCAAAGCACACATTCAATTGGAGAGAGATAGAAGATAAATACATACCCAAGAACTAATATAAGCAAACCACAAAGGCTACAGGGAAAAGAAAAATGTTCATGGGATAGAGGATGACTGAGGGTGAGGGGATATTGCCACTCTAAGGAGGTGACATTTAAGTATAGCCTGAATAATAAGGAGCTGTTGGTGGAAGCCTGGAAATAAACTTACTTACAAACCAATGTGTTAGCTTCCCATGACTTCATGGGTTCTAGAAAACAGCACGTTACTCCAAGGTCAGAGGTGGAGGACAGTACGTTATTTACAACAGTAGCAATACCAAAAGATTAACATTTTTTAGACAGTTACCCAAGCAACGATTCCCACAGAGAGATGCAAAGAAGGCCATATGATATATGAATAATCAATGAGTTGCATTATAGGCCAGAAACTCTGAGTTCAGAGAACCTACATCTTTTAAAACAGGCAGTAAGCAGGCCTGGCCTTATTATCTCTATCTTCCAAGTGTTAAATATGCAGACATTCTTGAAAACATACTTTTGAACAAAGTGCAGGCAGTTCCTTGCTCACAAGATGCGTAGAAATGGGAAAATCCATGGAGAATTGACTCCAACAGTATCCATACTCACTTCTATGGTCTTGAATTCTGGCCAATTTTTCCATGAATATGACACTCTGCCAGCTACCCTGATTAATCTGACCAGCAGAGTCTGGGACAAAATCCATTCAATATGTTCTATAGTTTATTTATTTAAGACTACTATCAACAGAACTCTAAGTAGCATAATCAGGTCAACCTAGAGAAAGTATTAAGCTCAAACATACCTCCAGATGCCTCAAATCTAACCAGCAAAACAAATTCTATATATTGTCAAGGTTTATCTAAAAAATCCCATGTGGCTTTCTTCCTAAATTTCTGTATTGACCTTTCTATTTAACCTGAGGCATTAATGTAAGTATAGCAGAACATATCAATAATTGTGCAGACTCTGCCTTGGTCTGCAAGGAAGAAGGCTATGGAAGATTTATCATTCATAGCAACTCTACTCCATGAATGAAGCTGAGTGGAACATCTTCCAGGGCTGAAGTAATATTATCAGCCACTTTAACCACAGCGAGGGACACGTCGTCTACCATGTTTTCTGACTGAATGACTACTGACTGCCTACAGGGTCACATAATGAATCAGTTATCCCTCCAGAAGTGTCCAACCTGCAGTCACCTGAGGAATACTAATCTATGGAAGTGTTTCCTGAGACACTCAGAGGTCTCTTATGACCGATTCTAAGTCACCAGGTTTCCATGAAGAAGGCAAGTTAATACCTGGGATCCACACAAATAAAATCCAGGAGTGCATATAGTGCCCTGAAAAGAATTATTTCAACTTATTGGAATCCCAAGTAAGACTTTCATTAGCTAGAGGGCATAGGATGAAAGTGATTCCAAAATGATCTCCCCCTTAGCCTGTAGGCCTCAGGCTACCCAGTTCAGTTCAGATAATTTAGCTTACTGCTCATTTTTGGAGCAAAGCATGATGGAAGTCGGTCTAACCCATTCTGTTTGCTATACTGCCAGAAGGGTGGTGTTTTTATGACCTCAGATCAACTGAGCAATGGCTGGGGAATGGGGGTAGGAAACATTCAAAGGTGTTTACAAATGTTTTGTTGGGGGTACAGGTGTTAGGGCACCTTTGTTATTTCTAGAATATTTCCCAGGAAAGGGTAAGGGAGAAGGCATTCAAATTATTTCAGGCACAGGTGACAGTTGGGAGAGCTCCATCAAGGCATTTAACTCTGCAAGGAAGGCTCCAAGGACAATTATGGAAGACAAAGGCCATTACTGTCCTTCTCTCCCCCATTTCCCTACGGTTTGAAGTATTCTCACCTTGGGTGCTGAGGTTGCTATTCTTAATTCACCATAAAAAATCTGCATATCCTGATCCAGTAGCTAAAACATTCCAGCCAATCTCAACAGAGACCAGGCCTTTATTATAATCATCTATAAGAGGATAAGGGAACAGGCTTCCTGCCAATGAGAGCTGCTACCTTTACATTAACAGCTGGGGCCAGGCCAGCTGTTTCTTTAATATACCATTTTCATGTGACATGCAAAAACTGTTGAGCTGCTATCCCTCCTCTTGCAAAAAGTTCTATTTCTGTCAACATCCTATTATTGAAACCAACACTGGCAAGGATGATAAGGGATTTGAGATCTTATTCTCCTTGCAGACTAACATGCTAGCCTGCCATGTTTTCACTGATGCTGTAAAAGAAACAGGATGCTCCTGGGTCAGAAAGGAAGTGTAGTTCTTACCCAGTAACAGTGTCAGAATATCAGTATTTTTTGCCAGTTGTTGAGGCCTTAGTTCTCATGGAGCAATGCAGAGAGGGGTGAGTGCTGCCTGCAAATGCAGTGGTTGACATCAGAGAAGAGCAACTCTGAGCTTAGGGAACCTAAATCTTTTATAATGGGCAGTAAGCCACCTGCTTCTTTCTCCAGAAAGAGACACTACCTGTATCTTCCTAAGTTGTTTGCTCTATAAATATCCTTGAAATGATAGTCCAAAGCAGGATAACCAAGTGTCTTGCTCATAAAATAGGCAGAAACACAAAAGCACCATGGAAAATTGTCTTCACCAAACCTCTTAGTCAGAAGGTACAGCAAGCACAAACATTTGAATGCTAAAGGATGGAAGAAACTCGGCAAGTTTTCAACCATAGAGGGAAGTCAATGTTTCCAGAGCTGTGGAGAAGGCGAGAAGAGGTGAGGCAGGACTCACACCACTGAGGGTCTTCAACAGCCCTGCAGTGAACCATGAAGAAAAAGAGAAATTCAATTTTCTGCTTTTAATTTTGTAAGGTGTAAGAATTAAAGAAAAAGATTTACTCTATTATGCAAAATGCCATCAATTTAACTCTTGATTGAATTCATGTTTTACTTTTTCTACTCAAATCAAAACTTGGGTATTCTTCTACCTATTATGTGAGAAGAAAAATTGTAGAGCCACCAAAATGAACATCCCGGGGCTTGAGTTTGATAAACTGCTGATGGAAACACCTGTTTTTTTATTTTAGAAAATTAATCAGTTAGAAAGAAAAGTCCAGCACCTCAAGGAAAGGGACTGGGAAGGATACCTCATAGCACTGATCATAAAAGTTTCTTGTGATGAAAAAGTGAAATCATTGGCTCCCCCTACTTAATTATGAAAGCAGTTTAAATAAAAGATTAATCATTATTTCTGTAGGCACTTTTAAAATAACAATTATTATAGCAAACATTTTGGGCAATAATTTATGCCATAACATAAAGAGTTATTACATTGCAATTGAATTGATTTCATCTATATTTTTTAACTTTCTAGTCATATTCTGCTTCTCTTTTTTAAAAAAATTAATGCACATACATATTTGAGAGTAAAGACATAAACTCCTGTATGTATGAATATCTCCAGTTAGAAAAATTATTTAAATGTGGCTGCTTGCCTAAGCTGCCAAAGTAGTCCCAACCCTAACAAAGATTTAGAAGGGCAACCAACCTTTAGAGCAGAAGTGAGGACTATTTTTGTACTGCAAAAGCCTTGGTTTTATGTTTATTTGTAAAATTCTGGCAGCTATTTTGAGATGTTTCTGCGTTGCAATAAGAAACATTATGTCCATGAATTTGAAAAAAGAGGGAAAAATTAAAAATAAAAATGATTTTAGCGTATGGATTTTTTTAAAATTTAAATTCATTATCAAACAGATTTTGATATTCTTGTGTGGGTTTTGTGTAGGGGGATGTGTCTCTTCTAGCTGGCTGTTCGGGAAGATGCTTCAGGGGAAAATAAAGATCTTTTAAAAAGATTCTATGTTCTAGTTTTCCAAAGTACATTTTTAAACTTGTAAGAAAGTTTATGTCTGCAAAGATGATGGTTTCACTCTGACTGCAGGGAAGCAAGCCACAGCCAATGGGATTCCCAGGTTGACTGGGCAGTAAGGAGGGGAGCTAAGAGCTCCCACAGGCTTGGGGGCCACACTTCTCTGGATCTGAAGCAGGATGGGCCACTGATTTGTGGCTTTGAACAAGTCATTTTGTCTTTCGAAGCCTTGATTAGACTTTTAATTTAGAACTCAGGGGTAGTCAATGGATTTACATTACAAATAAGTGTTATTTTTCTATGAAGCATTGAATATACTAAATCAAAACACATCTAGACTTAACTCCTCTAAAAATACTATTACTTCTAGTGTTTATAATAATATGAGCTATTATTTATAAACAACCTACTGTTCAATTTGAACACAATTAAGAATGTCAACTTGGTATCTACTCCACACTGTAGGGCTGTGGATGGGCATAAGTAGCCATATATTTTTTAATGTAAAGAAATAGATGAAAAAAGGTCATTTTCAAGTGAGAGACATGGAATTTGAAATCAATTCTGTCTGGATCCAAAATTCATGCTTGCTTTATTGCACTTTGTTGTGTATCTTTGTTGAGTCTTTGATTTATCTTTACCCTAAGTTCTTGAAACATAATGGATAAATGGAAGAAAAAATTAGATTGAGGTATTTGGCCATAATTCTGTTATAATCCATGACATTCTCAAATGCTTTAAGAGACACATTTGATACCATCATTGTGTGAGATGCCCTGAAAAATAAAGAATGAGGAAAGCAGGATTTTAAATGTAAATTTATTGGTAATGTAGAATGTTGTACCTGCCTCAAATCTATTGATTGGTTAATTGAAAGGTAAATAACAACTGATAGGATCTTTACCAATGTATTTAATTTAAAAACTGCATTGCTCTACACTATATACACTTTTCTTTTTAATACAAGAAAGAATTAGATACCAATTACTTTCCTCAATACACACAGATCTGGAATCTCTTGTGTGCTCAAAAAGTCAGAATAAAATCTACTGAGCACTTGCCACAATATGATCAATTTTATATAATGGGAATCATGAGGTTAAAATCAGAGATTGTGATTAATTTAAGATGGCAGATAGAAGGCAGGCCTAGCTTGCAGCTCCCACTCAGAGAGACAGAGCAGCGTGTGGAAACTTACATAGTGAACTTTTGCTCCAAGAACTACCATAGCAACATACCAGGAAAGCTGAGAGAACCCACAGACCCTTTGCGGGAACTGGATCACCGCTGTAGGCTCCCTGAGACACTGAGAAACTGTGAGTCAGCCTGCTTTCTCAGCGGGAAAGGCTGGTGGTCTGGGACAAGTATTCAGTCCTGGTGACCAGCTGCCTGGAAATAGACTCACTGCTGTTGTAGAGGCACAGTGGGAGTGAGACTGGCCTTTAGGACTGTGCGCTGCATGGAAGTGGGGTGAGGCCTGTGACTTCTGGCTTTCTCCCACTTCTCTGGTTACCTTTGTGACTCAGCAGAGGCAGCCATAATCCTCCTGGGAACATAACTCCATTGGACTGGGAAGCACACCCCCATCCCTCACAGCAGCTGCAGCAAGCCCCACTCAAAAAGAGTCTGAGCTCAGACACCCTATCCCTGCCCCCACCTGGTGGTCTTTCTCTACCTACCCAGGTTGCTGAAGACAAAGGACATAATCTCCTGGGAGCTCTATGGGTCTCCTCACCACCTGAGTTACCTGAATACTTAACCAGGTGTCCCTAGGGCAAGTTTGCTTCTTCCCTACAGGACCACAGCTGATGCGCTCTTGAAAGTGCCATCTCCTGGCTGGAGGCCAACCAACACAAAACCAGAGCACTAAACAAAAACACAACTAAAAACCGTTACAGAGTCCATTTCACTCCTCTGTTGCCTTCACTGGAGCAGATGCTACTATCGATGTCTGCAAGACCTGAAGACAGATTACATCACCAGACTCTGAAGACACTCCCCAGTACCAGCCTGCAACCCAGTAGCTCCATTGGCTGGCTAGAGCTGGAGGAGCAAAAACAATCGCTACAGTTCTGCTCTCAGGAAGCCCCATCTCTAGAGGAAGGGGGAGAAGACCACATCAATGGAGCACCCTGTGGGACAAAATAATCTGAACAGTAGCCGTTGGGTTCCAGATCATCCCTCTGATATAGTCTACTGAGATGAGGAGAAGCAATTCTGGTAATATGACAGAGCAAGGTTCTTTAACACCCCCAAAAGATCACATCAGCTCATCAGCAATAGATCCAAACCAAGACGAAATCTCTGAATTGCCAGAAAAAGAATTCAGAAGGTGGATTATTAAGCTAATCAAGTTAGAATTCACCAGAGAAAGGTGAACTCTAACTTGAAGAAATAAAAAACATAATACAGAATACGAAAGGAAAATTCCTCAATGAAATAGCACAAATAAAAACAATCACAACTTCTGGAAATCAAGAACACAGACAAATGTAAAATGGACTGAAATGTGTTAGCAATTGAACAAAAAAAGCAGAATAAAGAACTTCAGAGCTCAAAATAAACCTTTCAAATTAACCCCATCCATCAAAGACCAAGAAAAACAAATGAGAAAAATGAACAAAGCTTTCAAGAAGTTTGGGAATATGTTGAGCATCTAAACCTAAGAATAATTGGTGTTTCTGAGGACAAAGAGAAATCTAAAAATCCGAAAAACATATTCGAGGGAATAATCAAGGAAAACTTCCCCAGCTTTGCTAGAAATCTAGACATCCAAATACACGAAGCTCAAAGAACACCTGGGAAACTGATCGCAAAAAGATCATCACCTAAGCACATAGTCATCAGGTTATCTAAAGTCAAGACAAAGCAAATAATCTTAAGAGCTGTGAGGCAAAAGCATCAGGTTACCTATAAAGGAAAACTTATCAAAATAATGACAGATTTCTCCACAGAAACCCTATAATCTAGAAGTGATTGGGGTCCCATTTTTAGCCTCCTTAAACAAAACAATTATCAGCCAAGAATTTTGTATCTAGTGAAATTAAGCTTCATAAATGAGAGAAAGATACAGTATTTTCCAGACAAACAGATGCTGAGAGAATTCGCCACTACCAAGTCAGCACTATAAGAACTGCTAAAAGGAGATCCAAATCTTGAAACAAATCCTCAAAATACATCGAAATAGAACCTCCTTACAGCATAAATCTCACAGGATCTATCTAACAATAACACAATGAATATAAAACAAGATATTCAGGCAAGAAATAGTATGATAAATAGAATAGTATCTCACTTCTCAATATTAACATTGAATATAAATGGCCTAATGCCCCACTTAAAATATATTGAATGGCAGAATGTATAAGAATCCACCAACCAAGTTTCTGTTGTCCTCAGGAGACTCATATAACACACAAGCACCCACATAAACTTAAGGTAAAGGGGTGGAAAAAGACATTCCATGCAAATGGACACTGAAAATGAGCAGAAGTAGCTATTCTTATGTCAGACAAAACAGACTTTATAGCAACAACAGTTTAAAAAGACAAAGAGGGACATTATAGAATAAAACTACTAGTCCAATAGGAAATGATTACAATACTAAATATATACGCATCTAACACTGAAGCTCTCAAATTTATAAAAAAATTACTACTAGACTTAAGAAATGAGAGAGATGGCAACACAATAATAGTGGGGGATTTTAATACTCCACTAACAGCACTAGACATGTCATCAAGACAGAAAGTTAACAAAAAAAATGGAATTGAACTATATCCAGAAAAAATGGACTTAACAGATATTTACAGGATATTCTAGCCAACAACTGCAAAATATACATTCTACTCATCGGCACATGGAAAATTCTCCAAGATAGACCATATGATATGGCAGAAAATGACTCTTAGTAAATTTAAGAAAATCAAAATTACATCAAGCACTCTTTCAGACCACAGTGGAATAAAATTGGAAATTAAATCCAAAAAGAACCCTCAAAACCATGCAAACACATAGAAATTAAATAACTTGCTCCTGAATGATCACTGGGTCAACAATGAAATAAAGATGAAAATTAAAAAATTCTTTGAACTGAACAATAATAGTGACACAACTTACCAAAACCTCTGAGATATAGCAAAAGTAGTGCTAAGAAGAAAATTCGTAGCATTAAATGCCCACATCAAAAAGTCTGAAAGAGCACAAATAGATAATCTAAGGTCACACCTCACAGACCTGGAGAAACAAGAACAATCCAACCCAAACATAGCAGAAGAAAAGAATAACAAAGATCAGAGCAGAACTAAATGTAATTGAAACAAAAAAATACAAAAGATAAATGAAACAAAAAGCTGGTTCTTTGAAAAGATAAATTGATAGACCGTTAGTAAGATTAACCAAGAAAAGAAAAGATCCAAATAAGCTCAACTAGAAATGAAATAAGAGATATTACTACTGATACCAAAGAAATACAAAAGGTTATTCAAGGCTACTGTAAACACCTTTACATGCACAAACTAGAAAATCTAGAGGAGATGGATAGATTCCTGGAAATACACAACCCTCCTACATTAAGCCAGAAAGATATAGAAACTCTGAACAGACCAATAACAAGCAGCAAGATTGAAATGGGAATTTAAAAATTGTCAACAAAAAAAGTCCAGGACAAGACAGAGTCATAGCTAAATTCTATCAGACATTCAAAGAAGAAGTGGTCCCAATCCTACTGACACTATTCTACAGAAAAGAGAAGGAGGGAATTCTCCCTAAATCATTCTATGAAACCAATATTACCCTAATTCCAAAACCAGGGAAGGACATAACAAAAAAATAAACTGTAGGCCAATACCCCTGTTAAACATAGATGCAAAAATCCTCAAAAAATACTAGCTAACTGAGTCCAACAGCATATCATCAAAAAGAAAATCCACCATGATCAAGTGGGTTTCATACCAGTGATGTGGAAATGGTTTAACAACCACAAGTCAATAAATGTTATACACCACATAAACAGAATTAAAAACATAAATCACATGATCATCTCAATAGATGCAGAAAACACCTTTGACAAAATCCAGCATCCTTTTATGATTAAAACTTTCAGCAAAATCTGAATGGAAGGGACATACCTTAAGGTAATAAAAGCCATCTATGACAAACCCACAGCCAACATTATACTGAACAGGAGAAAGTTGAAAGCATTCCCCCTGAGAACTGGAACAAGAAAAGTGTGTCCACTTTCACTGCTTCTATTCAACATGGTACTGGAAGTTCTAGCCAGAGCAATCAGACAAGAGAAAAAAATCAAGGGCATCCAAACTGGTAAAGAGGAAATCAAACTGCTGCTCTTTGCTGATGACATGATTGTATACCTAGAAAACCCTCAAGACTCACTCAAAAAGCTCCTAGAACTGGTAAATGAATTAAGCAAAGTTTCAGGATACAAAATCAATGTACACAAATCAGTAGCTCTGCTATACACCAGCAGTGACAAAGCTGAGAATCAAATCAAAAACTCAACCTGTGTTACAATAGCTGCAACAAAAAATAAAATACTTAGGAATATACCTAACCAAGGAGGTGAAAGACCTCTACAAGGAAAGCTACAAAACACTGCTGAAAGAAATCATAGACAACACAAACAAACGGAAACACCTTCCATGCTCATGGAAGGGTAGAATCAATATTGTGAAAATGACCATACTGCCAAAGCAATCTACCAATTCAATACAATTCCCATCAAAATACCACCATCATTCTTCACAGTACTAGAAAAAAACAATCTTAACATTCGTATAAAATGAAAAAAGAGCCTGCGAAACAAGCAAGACTAAGGAAAAAGAACAAATCTGGAGGCATCACATTACCTGACTTCAAACTATACTTTAAGGCCATAGTCACCCAAACAACATGGTACTGGTATAAAAAGAGGCACATAGACCAAGAAACAGAATAGATAATCCAAAAATAAAGCCAGATAGTTACAGCCAGCTGATCTTTGACAAAGCCAACAAAAACATAAAGAATGAAAGGACACCCTATTGAACAAATGGCGCTGGGATAATTGGCAAGCCACATGCAGAAGAATGAAACTTGATCCTCATCTCTCACCTTATACAAAAATCAACTCAAGATAGATCAAAGACTTAAATCTAAGACCAGAAACCATAAAAATTCTAGAAGATAACATCAGAAACCCCACCCCCACCCCGCCCAGACATTGCTTAGGCAAAGACTTTGTGACACAGAACCCAAAAGCAAATACAACAAAAACAAAGATAAATAGATGGGACTTAATTAACAAAAAAGCTTCTGCACAGCAAAATAAATAATCAGCAGTTAAAAGACAACATACAGAGTGGGAGAAAATCTTCACAGTCTATATATCTGACAAAGGACGAATATCCAGAATCTACAAAGAATTCAAACAAATCAGTAAGAAAATAAATCAATCTGATCAAAAAGTGGGCTAAGGACATAAATAGACAATTCTCAAAAAAAGATATACAAATGGACAACAAGCATATGGAAAAATGCTTAACATCACTAATTATCAGGGAAATGCAAATCAAAACTACAATTCAATAGCACCTCACTCCTGCAACAATGGCCATAATAAAAAAATGAAAAGATAATAAATGTTGGTATGGATGTAGTGAAAAGAGAACACTTTTACACTGTTGGTGGGAATGTAAACTAGTACAAACACTATGGAAAATAGTATGGAGATGCACTAAAGTACTAAAGGTGGATCTACTTTAGTTGGATCAAAGGTTTGATCCAACAATCCCACTACTAGGCATCTACCCAGAGGAAAAGAAGTCATTTATATGAAAAAGATACTTGCACACGCATGTTTATAGCAGAACAACCAGCCCAAATGCCCATCAATCACCAAGTGGATAAAGAAAATATGATATATATATACACACACACACCATGAAATACTACTCAGTCATAAAAAGGAATGAAATAATGGCATTTGCAACAACCTGGATGGAACTGGAGACTATTATTCTAAGTGAAGTAACTCAGGAATGGAAAACCTGACATCATATGGTGGGAGCTAAGTTATGAGGACACAAACGCATAAGAATGATACAATGGACTTTGGGGACTTGGGGAAAGACTGAGAGGGAGATGAGAAATAAAAGACTACACATTGGGTATGGTGTACATTGCTTGGGTTATGAGTGCACCAAAATTTAAAAATCACCACTAAAGAACCCATTCTTGTAACCAAACACAACCTGTTCTTCAAAAACCTATTGAAATAAAAAACATTAAAAAATAAAATAAAATAAATAACATATCTACTGCCATCCATTTTAGAATTCTAGAGAAAATGATGGATTTGTAACAAATGCAATGCAATGTAAGAATTTAAAAAATGCTATGCAAAGAGAAATGTGTGATTAAGAAAAGGCACTTTACAGCTTACAAATGCTCTGCATTCTCTGTCTTATGTGAAACTGATAATAATCCTTTGGAGTAGACTGATTTCCCTACCTTACCCTGCTTTATGTTTATGAATATGTGGCAGAAGGCAGGGATATTGAGAAGGGTCCTTTTGGCCAAGTTCACAAAGCTAGGAAGTAGCATGAAGAAAACATCAACTATAGTTGGCAGAATTCTGAGATGAGGATCAAGTTTTCCCATCTCCCTGGTGTGTAAGCCCTGCAGGTCCTCAGTACTATAAATAGGGTGAGCTATACCTCCCAGGATCAGGTTTTATTATATGATGCAGTTGACCTTAAGATAAAGTGATGATCTGGGTGGGTCTGACCTAATGATGAGAGCCCCTTAAAGGGAGAGAGTTTTCTCTGTCTGGTTGCAGAAAAGGAAGTCAGAGACTCAAAGCACATAAAGTTCTGATGTTCCCTTGCTGGCTTGAAGAAGGAGCCTGAGGAGAAGGAATGCAGGTAGCCTCTAAGAGCTAAGAACACCCTACAGTTGGCAGTTAGCAAGAGAGCGGGACCCCAAACCAACATCTGGAAGACACTGATTTTTGCCAACTGGAATGAACTCAGAAGTGATTTTTTCCCCCAGAGCCTCCAGCCAGAAAGTTGGCCTGGCCAACATCTTGATCTTGTAAGAGCCTGAGGACCCAGTCTCATCTTGTTGGGCTTCTGACCTACAGAACTGTGAGCAAATAAATGGGTGTTATTTTAAGCCACTAAGTGTATGGCAATTTGTTTCACAGGAAGTGAAAATAATACAATCTACCCATCTTTGAACTCTAAGAAGTACCAGAATTAGCCAACGTTGAGTGACTGCATAGTGCCAGACATCATTCTGGACAATTTCAATATTATCTCATTTTAAAATTTTAATTCCTGGCAATCCTTTGAGGTCAGCACTACTATCTTCATTGTACCACTGGCAAAATTGATGACCATGTTAAGACACATTCCCAAGATCTCACTTAATGGAGTTTAGGGGTGGGTGGAATTTAATCCAGTTTGCCTGAATCTTCATCCCTGTCTCTTTCTAATTCCATTTCATCTTCTCAAGTGGCAGGATCAGGGTTATCTCCACTGCACCATGGTGATTATTTGCCATGTAACGTGCAAATCTTATTTAGATAGAAAAATATGAATATTTACACACTTCTGCAAGAATGACATGGCAGAAATCAATGTCAGTATTAAACACAAAAATGCATTTTGCATATACATTTTTTTCCATTATTTTTGTATTCAACTGACTTCTTTACCAGTGCTAAATATTCATCAGTTATTGTAATTAGAACCATTTCACCGATGACAGTACTGAAGTTCAAGAAGCTTAGAGTATACAAATCTTGATAATTGATCTCTTGACTCCTAAAAGGTTATATCACAACTGATATGGTTTGGTTCTGTGTCCCTACCCAAATATCATCTCAAATTGTAATCCCCATGTGTCAAGGGAGGAACCTGGTGGGATGTGATTTGATCATGTAGGCAGTTTCCCTCATGCTATTCTCGTGATAGTGAGGGAGTTCTCAGGAGATCTGATGGTTTTAGACATGGCAGTTTCCTATGCTCTCACTTTCCCTTCTGCCTTGTGAAGACTTCCCATTCACCTTCCACCATGATTGTAAGATTCCTGAGGCCTCCTCGGCCATGAGGAACTGTGAGTCATTTAAAACTCTTTTGTTTATAAATTATCAGTCTCAGGTAGTATCTTCATAGCAGTGTGAAAATGGACTAATACAAATAATTGGTACCAGGAGTGGAATGCTGCTATAAAGATAACCCGAAAATGTGAAAGTGACTTTGAAATTGGTTAGAAACAGAGGTTGGAACAGTTTGGAGGCCTCAGAAGAAGACAGGAAGATGTGAGGAAGTTTGGAACTTTGCAGAGAGTTGTTGAATGGTTTTGACTAAATGCTGATAGTGATATCAGTAATAACATCCAGGCTGAGGTGGTCTCAGATGGAGATGAGCAACTTATTGGGAAATGGAGTAATGGTCACTCTTGCTATGCTTTAGCAAAGAGACTGGCAGCATTTTTCTCCTGCACTAGAAATCTGTGTAACTTTGAACTTGAAAGAGATGATTTAGGGTACTGGCAGAAGAAATTTCTAAACAGCAAAGCATTCAAGAGGTGACCTGACTTATTCTGAAAGCATTCAGTTATATGCATTCACAAAGAGATGGTTTGAAATTGGAACTTATGTTTAAAAGGGAAGCAGAGCATAAAGGTTTGGAAAATTTGAAGCCTGGCTGTGTGGTAAAAAAGAAAAAATAACTTTTCTGTAGAGGAATTCAAGCCAGCTGCAGAAATTTGCATAATTAATGAGAAGCTGAATGCTAATAGCTGAGAAAATGGGGGAAATGCCTGCAGGACATATCAGAGACCTTCATGGCAGCCTCTCCCATCACAGGCCTGAAGGCCTGGCAGGGAAAAATAGTTTTGTGGGTCAGGTCAAGGGCCACACTGCTCTGTGCAGCATTGGAACTTGGCACCTTGCATTGCAGCTGCTCCAGCTCCAGCCGTGGCTAAAAGGGGCCAATGTAAAGCTCAGGCTGTTGTTTCAAGGGGTGCAAGCCACAAGTCTTGGTGGCTCCCACATGGTGTTGGGCCTTGCATGGTGTGGGTGCATGGAAGACAAGAGTTGAGCTTTGGGAACCTCTGCCTAGATTTCAAAGGATATATGAAATGCCTGGATGTCCAGGCAGAAGTCTGTTGCAGGGGAGGAGCCTTCATGGAGAACCTGTACTAGGGCAATGCAGAGGGGAAATATTGAGGTTGAAGCCAAAACACAGAGTCCCCCTGGGGCACTGCCTCGTGGAGCTGTGAGAAGATTCCCAGCATCCTCCAGACCGCAGAATGGTAGATCCACCAACAGCTTGTACCATGCACTTGGAAAAGCTGTAGGCACTCATCAGCCTGTGAAAGCAGCCACAGGGGCTATACCTTGCAGAGCCACAGGGGGTGGAGATGGCCAATGCCTTGGGAGCCCATCACTAGCAACAGCATTCTCTGGATGTGAAACTTTGAATTAAAGTAGATTTTGGAGCTTTAAGATTTAATGACTGCCCAGTCGGGTTTTGGACTTGCATGGGGCATGTGGCTCCTTTGTTTTGGCTAATTTCTCCCATTTGGAATGGGAACATTTACCCAATGCCTGTACCTCCATTGTATCTGGGAAGTAACTAACTTGGTTTTGATTTTACAGGCTCATAGGCAGAAGAAACATGCCTTGTCTCAGATGAAACTTTGGAGTTGGACTTTTGGGTTACTCCTGGAATGAGTTAAGACTATGGGGGACTGTTGGGAAGGCATGAAGGTTTTGAAATGTGAGAATGTGAGATTTGCAAGGGTCTCCAGGTCTGACTCTCTGTCCCCACCCAAATCTCATCTGGAGTTGTAATCCTCTCATTTTGAGGGAGGGACCTTGTTGGAGGTGATTGGGTCACAGGAGCCAATGGTTTTCCCCCATACTATCCTCATGATAGTGAGGGAGCTTTCACAAGATCTGAAGGTGTTAAAAAATGGCATTTCCCCATGTGCACTCTCTCTCTCCTGCTACCTTGTGAAGAAGGTTCCTGCTTCCCCCCTTTGCCTTCCACCATGACTGTAAGTTTGTTGAGGCCTCCTTAGCCATGCAGAACTGTGAGTCAACTAAGCCTCTTTTGTTTACAAATGACTCAGCTTCTGGTAGTATCTTTAGAACAGTGTGAAAACAGACTAATACAACAACACTTTAACTTTATTTGAGACCATTTTTTTTTTCTGAAGAAGCCACACAGGGTAGTCTTCTAATTTTTATTTATTGTATTTAGTACTGCTTTTTAATTTTTTAAATTATTTTATTTTATTTGAGTCAGGATCTTTCTCTGTTGCTCAGGCTGGAGTGTGGTGGCATGATCTTGGTTCACTGCAACCTCTGCCTTCCAGGTTCAAGTGATTCTTGTGCCTCAGCCACCCAAGTAGCGGGAATACAGGTATGTGTCACCGTGCCCAGTTAATTTTTTTTGTATTTTTAGTAGAGATGGGGTTTTGCTATGTTGGCCAGGCTGGTCTCGAAATCCTGGCCTTGAGTGATCTGCCCGCCTTGGCCTCCCAAAGTGTTGGGATTACAGGCATGAGCCACCCCACCCTGCTGTATTTAGTACCCTTTTTAACAAGCATTTGTCGTCAGTTTTCTCCATGAAGGGTGGTGAAAGACTGAAATGATCTGAAAACTCTGCATATGAAGGTTAGCAGGCATGAGAAAGACAGTCTTCCTAAAACAAGGCTGCACTTAACTTCTGTTACAATTAAAAATATCATTCTCCTTCAGGGCAGGGATGGATTTCTGGCTACACGTAAGTCAGGCATCCTTGTTAAATTATCAGGCTACTTTCCTGTGGCTTTAATGAAGTGCCTTGTATCGTCATATTATCATGGTTTTCAAAAGAGTGTTGCTAAAAGAACTGGAAGGAGTAGAAAATAAGACATGAAGCTAGGCTTTCAAAGAAGCCATGAGGACAGCTGTGGAGTTCAGGGCTGATTCTACATGTGGGGCATCCCTTGCTCACAAGGTGGTAGGAACTCGGCAAGGACTAAGGTTTGTTAACAGGGAACCTCAGCCTCTCTCTCTCTCAATAATGGAAACTGCAGACTCAGGACATGTGAGGAATGTAATGGAGTATAACGTTAATGTGTCATGGCTATTGGAGTGGCCTTGGGGTGCCACTATTGAGCTGAAGAAGAAGCAGAGGAAACAAGTGTTCTGAGAGGGCAAAGTAAAAGCAGTGAGGAATAGAGAGAAAAGAGAACACAATGTTCTGGAGCAGAACCCAAGAGCAGGCTGGGGTCCAGGCAAGCTGCCAGGGGGCCACTGTCTCAAGGCTCTTATTTGGAATATTTGGTAGCCTCTGTGGTAAACTGAGCAGTGGTCACTCCCAAAGTGTCCATGTTGTAATCCCCAGAACCTCTGAACATATATGGCAGAATGGATTTGCAGATGTGATTAGGGATTTTATAATGAGAAGGCCATCCTGGATTATCTGGGAGGTCTCCATAAAATGACAAGGGTCTTTCTAAGAGGGATGTAGGGTGGTCAGACTGAGAAGGCAGTGACCATGGAGGCAGGTCAGAGTGGTGCAGCCACAAGCTAAGGCATGCTGGCAGACTGTAGAAACTGAAAGACACCAAAAACAAATTCTCTTCTAGAGCCCCTAGAAAGAACTAGACTTGTTAAGACCTCGATTTTAGCCCATTAGGTTCCTTTCAGACTTCCAACTACCAGAACTGTATGAGGATAAATTATTGTTGTTTTAAGCCACTAAGCAATTTTATATAGTGGTAACAGAAAACTAATGCATTTCATTTTATAAAAAAAAAAAGCCTCTGTGATAGTTAATGCTGAGTGCCAACTTGGTTGGATTGAAGGATGCAAAGTATTGATCCTGGGTGTGTCTGTAAGGGTGTTGCCAAAGGAGATTAACAGTTGTGTCAGTGAGCTGGGAAAGGCGGACCAATCCTGAATCTGGGTGGGCATCATCTAATCAGCTGCCAGTGTGGCTAGAATATAAAACAGGCAGAAAAATGTGAAAAGACTAGACTGGCCTAGCCTCCCGGCCAACATCTTTCTCCCATGCTGGATGCTTCCTGCCCTTGAATATTGGACTCCAAGTTCTTCAGTTTTGGGACTCCAACTGGTTCTCCTTGCTCCCCAGCTTGCAGACGGCCTATGTGGGACTTTGTGATCCTGTGAGTTAATACTTAATAAAATCCTATATACATATATAGGAGTTCTAGAGAACCCTGACTAATACACCTTCCAATCCAGGTTGGTTTTTCTATTTTATTTCTTGAGCTGGTTTTGACACAAAAGATAAAGCAAGAGAGAGAGAAAGAGAGAATAAGAGGAAAGGAAGAAAGGAGGGAAGGAAGGTAGGAAGGAAGGGAGGGAGGGAGGGAGGGAGGGAAGAAGGAAGGAAGGAAAGAAAGTTTTAAGAAAAATGTATAGCCAAAAAAAGACTTGACTAGATCATTCATTTCTACAAAGGACGGATGAGCTTCATCTTTATGAGTTCCTTCTGAACGATGAAGAACACTTATTTTTCTGCTGTGGATCCTTTGACTTCCTTTATTCCATAGCTGGACCTATGAAGAAGAGAGCTTGCTGGGGATACAGGGGCCCAGGGAGAGAGGAAAGCAAGGGAGCATTGCCTGCAGGCTCCCATTATAAAGAAGAGCCAAGGTAAGAGACCCATATTGATGTGAGCAACTCAGAAATCAACTACACAAGAGTGGCCACACCTACTGTATACTTGCCCCATGTCATGTGAGTGAAAATAATGTGCCTTATTGGAAAGGCATGTTTTCCCTTAGAAAACATGCAATCCAACAGGAAGAGATATGTTAAACTGACTAATAATGTGGCATAAAAGTTAACAACAATTTCCATTGTTGTGGGTAGAAACGAGAAAATGCAACCACACTATATATAGCCATGCACCTTTTTCCTATAACTTTTTGTTTTTTTTTTTTGAGGTGGAGTCTCTCTCTGTCACCCAGGCTGGAGAGCAGTGGCACAATCTCGGCTCACTGCAACCTCCGCTGCCCAGGTTCAAGCAATTCTCCTGCCTCAGCCTCTCAAGTAGCTGGGATTACAGGCACATGCCATCATACCCAGCTAATTTTTGTGTTTTTTAGTAAAGACAGGGTTTCACCATGTTGGTCAGGCTGGTCTTGAACTCCTGACCTCAAGTGATCTGCCGGCCTTGGCCTCCCAAAGTGCTGGGATTACAAGCGTGAGCCACTGCACCCAGCCTTCTTTTAACTTTTTAACTGATAGTGGCTCTGCTCTCTGGGCATCACCTGCCTCTGGGTATTCTTGTCAGTTCACTGTGCCCCTCTCTGAGTGTTCACAGAGTTCTACCCAGCTACTGTAGGCCCTGGGAAGAGGCAGGAGTCCTGCCTGCCCTCAGCCTCCCTTCTCCTTACCCTGTGACTGGTTGCCTACATTGGTTGAGTTGAATTTCTGCTACTACCTCTAGTGATATCCATTATTTCCATATCTAACAGTGGCCAGTAGTTGACTTCCCCTGAGCTGCTTGCATCAATATGGTTCTCTTACCTTGGCTCTTCTTTGTAATGGGAGCCTGCAGGCAACTCTCCCTTGCTGCAGGCCCTCTTCCTAAGCCCCTGCATCCCCAGCAAGCCCTCTAATCCATAGTTCCAGCTATAGGGGTGCCCTGGATCCTGATGAGTGAGTCACTTGGTGGTAATGGCTACCCTTCTCATCATCTTCTTGAATCATAGAGAATGTACTATTTCTCCTTGGTAGGTGATATAATTTGGCTGTGTCCCCACCCAAAATCTCATCTCGAATTGTCATCCCCATAATCTCCATAATCCCCACTTGTCAAGGGAGATACCAGGTGGAGGTAATGGAATCATGGGTGCAGTTTCCTCCATGCCGTTCTTATGATAGTGAGTGAGTTCTCACAAGATCTAATGGCTTTATAAATGTTTGGTAGTTCCTCCTGCGTTCATTCTCCTTGCTGCCACTTTATAAAGAAGGTACCTTCCTTCCCCTTCACCTTCTGCCATAATTGTAAGTTTCCTGAGGCCTCCCTAGCCATGCTGAACTGTAAGCCAATTAAACCTCCTTCCTTTATAAGCCATCCAGTCTTTGGCAGTTCTTTATAGCAGTGTGAAAATGGACTAATACTGTAGGCATAAGAATATTGGCTTCCCCAGAGACTCGATTTCAATGACACTTATGTTCTCAACCCCTTTCCTGATCATCTTTAGGTTTTAGAGGCAGGAACACTGGAGGTGGGAGGAGAGCTAGGAGGGAATGAGTTAGGAGACTGTGCTGGAAGGGTGGGGTTGAGGCTCACTTTCTGACTCACTCACTCCCTTCTCCAGGCAGCAGAATGAAAGGGGACATTGATCCCTGGGAATTCTGAAATTCCAAGGAAATGGCACTGTGTCCTTTCACTTCACTTGGTGATTTCCCCTGCTTAGTAAAGGAAAAAATTGTAGTGATGACTTTTTTTTCTAGTGTGCTTATTTGTGTTAGTTTCACAATGGTGAGGTTTCCACTGAGACATTCATAATCCAGTGCAGGGTCACAGGGAAATAAGTGTTGATGTCTCAAATACTTGCAATAAGCAACTAATAACTTCACCTCCATAGGAGAGTCTTTTACGAATCTTAATCTCAAAAAATTGATGTAGGAAGTAACTTAGATGATAAGCATCAATTGGGGTAGCTAGATTTAGCAAATAAAAATACAGGACATCCAGTCAAATTTGTATTTCAAATATCTAAAAATATATTTTAAGTAAAAGTATGTCACATTTAATATTTTGGACATATACTAAGAAATTTTGTTACTAACCTGAAAAATTGAGCTAAGCACCCTGCACCATATCTGGTAACCCTCACGCCAACTGTATACTTGCCCCATGCCATGTGGATGGAAAGAAAGTACCTTATTGTAAAAGCCAATAAGGCTCATTCTCTCCCTTAGAAAATACACAATCTAGCAGGGAAAGAGATATGTTGAAGTGACATAATAATGTGAAATAAAACTGCAATAATTGACACAGGTAATATTAATGGGCTCTGTCTGTCATGGTGTCAGGCACTGAGCTGCATCTTTTACATATATGACCTCCGTCAAGTCTCACAGCACCTTGGAAACAGCCTTCATTATTCTCATCACTTCTTTGTAGGTGAGGAATGAAACCACGTGAGGATAAATGAATTGCTAAGATTATCTGACTAGGGCTGAAGTGGGTTTCAGACACGGGCTTGTTGGCAGCTGCCTGCCTTTGAACCACACACACTGTCACGCCCACAAAGGTTACAGAAAGACAGCTGGCTGAGCCAACTGGACATGGGTTGACATAAAAAGACAGAAGGGGTCAGGTGTGATGGCTCACACCTGTAATCCCAGCACTTTGGGAGGCCAAGGTGGGTGGATCACCTGAGGTCAGGAGTTCAAGACCAGCCTGCCAACATGGTGAAACCCCCTCTCTACTAAAAATACAGAAAATTAGCTAGGCATGGTGGCATGCACCTGTAATCTCAGCTACTCGGGGGCCTGAAGCAGGAGAATCGCTTGAACCTGGGAGGTGGAGGTTGCAGTGAGCCAAGATTGCGCCATTGCACTCCAGCCTGGGCAACAAGAGTGAAACTCCGTCTCAAAAAAAAAAAAAAAAAAAAAAAAGAAGGGACGTTTGTATCTTGACAATTGGATCTTTAAGATTAAACAGTAATTTACTACATGGGTAAGAGAAGAGTGCCTGGATTTGGGGAGAGAGAAAACAGCAAGCAGCAAACATAGTAAAAGCAATGGTCTAAAGGTGTGAAATGTGTCATGGGTTTGGGAACAGGGAAGAGGTAACTGGAGGGAAATGGACACAGAGGAAGTGAGGTAATGGCCCATCTAAGGTTAGCAGAGACATATATGAGCCATGCCTATGAGTGGGAGCTTAATTCTGCTGAATAAGGGGGTGAACATCATTTGACATTTACTTCATAAAATTACTTTGGCTGTCAAAGAAGACGATGGGGTAGAGAACGGAGCACCAGGTAGAAGAAGACTGAGGAGAGATAAGTAACTGGAGAGGCTCCAACCGGTTGGAAAGAACACTGGGAAGAAACCCAGGTGGGACATTCAGGATGCAGGAGTTAGAAAGCAGTCACTCAACTCACAGAGGAGGGTGAAGATGATTCTTCCGCCCTGGCAAGCTCAGCTGGGAGGATGACAGTCACGCAGTCCCAGCTTAAACACACCTGGTCTGCTCCCATTTATTCTCCCCAGCAGAAAGACATTTGGACAAGTACGGTGTCTATGTTGCTTAACGTACTGTAGCATTTGAGAACGCGATTTTGACACCTTTTTGAAACTCTATAAAAATTCATCGTTGACCTTTTTTGTTTTCAAGGAAATCTAAGGAAGCTGATGAAAATGAGGGCACAGATGACTCAACCCCAGTTCTGGAGAAAGCTGACTCTACGGAAGCCTTTTTGTTTGCAATGAGTAAAAGCAGAAATATGACAACTCATATTGTCACTATAATAAATTACAAATTGATGAAATTAAAAACACTGTGGACAGAATCCAAAGAAATATGGCTCAAATTAAAATATCCACAAAGCATTCTCTGTGTGCTTCATTCTTCCTGAACTTAGACCACGGATTGACCAAATGGTTTCTGTCTATGTTCTTCTTTCCAGACCCAGCCCAACAAGGTCACGGAGTGTTACAGGAGAGCACCAATGAGCAAACTGAAGTTTTTTCTTGACGTTTGCATTTACATCTTCCCCAAACTCAGGAGCATAATCCCTGCTGCGAACCATTTGAATTCTTTTTAATAACTACGATGTGGAGTGAAAAATAGGCAGCTGTTGCCCACTCTTAATGTCTCAGAACAGTTCTGGCAACAAGATGTTGCTTTTTCATAATATTTTTCTTTTCTTTTTTTTTTTCTTCAGGGAAGGGATTTAAAATAATTTATTCTTAATATTATGCCTGTCTAATATGTGAGAGTAA
Source organism: Homo sapiens (assembly GCF_000001405.40). Classification (NCBI taxonomy): domain Eukaryota; kingdom Metazoa; phylum Chordata; class Mammalia; order Primates; family Hominidae; genus Homo; species Homo sapiens. The sequence goes on along the minus strand of NC_000002.12, from coordinate 7,523,295 downwards.
AGATAAGCTTGACTGTGGTAATCCAAATAAATTGCTCAAGCAGAAGGCAGCTGGCTGGTGGGTAGCTGGGATCACAATGCCTCATGTACACCTCCCTTTATGTTTCCAACCCTCAATTAGAGGTTGGATTCCCGTGTTTGCTTCAGTACCTCATGAGCCTTTGAAATGCTATAGTAGATGAACTGGAGAAAGGAAGACGGTGATGGTGACGTGCTTCGCTGCCAAAGCAACATGCATGGTGTGCATTTCTCAACAGTAAGCACATTGATTCAAAGTCCAGGTGAGCAGGCTTCCGTTTTAGGCTCAGAGATTGAAGCATCATCTTGCATTCTACCTCTAATGATCTTCCAAGTACATAGGACCCTTCATTTCCTTAGAGCTGAGCTCATCTCTTGTTAACTTTCCTGGAGCAGACTTGGGAAGAGATGTGGAAAAGCACATGAGAATTTAGGAGGAGTGGGGTTCAGATCCAAGAGTACAATCTGGATGCCAGTAGTAGATCTTTTTAAAGGAAGCCACTTCTTTTTCTTTGCTTCTCACGTCTATCTGGTTAAGTATTTGCAGCTGAGATGTGATTTACATTTCACATTTGACACATTAATTTTAAGCCCATCATGTTGTTTGTTTCTGACCCAAACATAGATTCCACCTTTACCTCCAGACAATCAGAGGTTCACACAGGTTTTGTCTGTGTGTTTTTTTGTTTGTTGGTGGGGGCAGAGATGGTAAGTATGTATTTTAACACAAGAAATTACGTGTCATATACACACTATGACCTTAAGTCTGCCTCTGCCTTTCCTGGTTTTCACAGGACTCCTTCAGTCAAAGATGCATCACAGCCTCAGTTTCCCCTGAGGTATTGCAGCGTAAAGGAAAAGTATTGAAGTATATGCCTACAGCATGGATAATACACTAAAACAAAATGTACATGGAATCTGGAAGTCAGCCTATTGACCCTATGCATTTAGCTTGAACATTTTATCGTTGGTGAGTTTAGAGAAGCTATGAAATATTGCATATGCCAGAGGGCCCAAAAGGATGAGTGGCAATTAGCAATTAAGTGCTTTTTTTAAACCTGCACAGGATATGCAGTAGATCCACATTTCCACCAAATTAGGCTCAAGAAATTAATTTTCTAAGGAAAGGAACAGGAGGGCAGGCCTTTCCGTGGCCACAGTGTGGATGAAGCTGAGAAGCAGCTGCCAGTGGACACAGACTCCTCTCTATGTGAGTGTGCTGTATGGTAAAGACTTTCATTTTACAGATGTCAAAGGGAGTACCATTAAAAGTCACTTCACTTATCTTTGTCTCAATTTTCTTACTGTGAATATGAGAGGTTTGGCTTGAATTATATTTGAAGTACCTTTGTATCATCAGACATGAGGCTGTAATCCTTGGAATATGCAGGACTGGTTGTTTAAAGGACCCATGGGAGCAGAAGTGTGTTATTTATGCAGCCAGTAAGAAGACTAGGTACCATGACCCAAAGATCAGAACAAGGCTTACATATTCAACTTTATCCAGTTTTGTCTTTCTACTACTGTCTGGCCAAAATTTCTAAAACATAAAAGTAAAAATATCAATTTCTCTGAGTTCAAAAATGTCCAAAGATTATATTAACGTCTAAAAACGAGCCCAGCTTCCCAGCCTTGCCTTTTCCCTCCAGCCACAGCAGAGAACAGCTGCCATTCATCCTCTGTTCCCACTTCCATCCTTCTGCATCCCACAGCCAAATGTCCTGCACCAAACCTGGTGTCCCCAGAACATAGCTTGGGCTTTTCTGCCCCTGTGTGCCTTTGCATATACTTTAGTTATGATCGTCCTTCATCAGACACCTCCTTCCATCTGCCCCAGTCTGGACTTTCCGTGTGTGCCTTCTAGAACTCTCTACCACCTCCGTTCTGCATTCCAACTGTCTTTCAACAGCGTCATTCTGATTGCTGGATGATAAATGCTTTAAAGAAAGGGATTATGGATTCCTTATGTTGATACTATCTATATCCCATAGCTCCGTGTCTTGTTCTAAGTAGCTGTTAATAGATATTTATTAATGCAAATAAATATGTGGTAGCAGATTTGATGAGATTCCGTAAGCGGAGTAGTTGTATGAGGGAGGACCACATGGTACAATGGAAAGAGGGCCAACTGACATCACTCCATTCCTCCTTACACCGCCTCTGTCTGCACGCAGCTCTGTTGCCTGGACTGGGAACCATGTGGAGAATATCAATGGGTATTCTCATCTTTGAATCCCCACAGCCTTGCCCAGGATATATTGAGTGGAAGATATTCAAATGTTTGTGGTGCCAAGTTGTCACTGACTGACATTTTTACCTGGGAAAATCAGTTCTCTGAGCCCCCATTTCTTCCTGGTAAGATGAGGGTCTGTGATTGCGTGACGTTATTTTACAAATGTCATCAAGTTTAAATTTTGCAGAATTGTTTTTCCCTTTGCGTGGAACTGCTAGGTGTTTCTGTAGTAATCATTTCCTCGCATTTTGCAGTTAGGCAAGTTTGGTTTGGTTTTCTGCTTTGTTTTAATGAAACTCTCCAGAGTAAGCATGTTTAAATACTATTACATTGTTACAGTATCAAAGAAAATAGAAAGAGTTACAAGGCAGAAGAACACCTTAGGTGTTCACAGTGGGACTGTCCTCGCTTACACCTGTGCCCCGCAGGTCTTCATGTTCTCACTCTGTGTCTGTAGTGAAAAACAGTGCTGTGAGGGACTGACCAGGAGTAAAAGAAGTGCCTGAGACCCAGCTTTGTGATTGGAAACTCAGCAACGAAGTCCCTCTCCAACACATTAGCAAGCATTATGCATTCGTAAAATAAAAACCCGTAATTCCTGGGAAAGGTATCTTTGACCTGTCAGACAGAACATCCTTTGAGGATGATTAGGTGGCAAATGCATTGTCCAGGTGCTGGTTTCTGGGCACTGCTTTTAAAAAATTTTTAAAGGCAAATCACTAAGCTACAGCTGCTATTGTAGTCTAATCGCTAGTTTTCCACAGTAAATGATGAGCCAGTGTCTGCGTAAGTGGCAGCGGCAGTGGTCTTCTTGCTTCCTTTGCACTTCCACAAAGCTCATTGTTTTTCAGCGTCTGACAGTGCGACAGCCCGGCAGTGCCTAATTCTCCCAATTCTGACTGTGAAGAAGAGGTTCAGGGGGTCTTGCGCAGTAACATGCCTGCCTTAATGCACTTTGCCATGAAAGTAAGTAATTTGAAGGTCTTCAGGTAGCTCAGAAATAAGATTCATGCTCTCAATCATACAAAGGGAAATATTAGTCTGTGTTAAAGAACCTCAAGAGTGGATAAAGAGATTCTGCAAGAGTCTAGGAAATCTGACTTGAAATTTCTTCAACGAGTTGCTGAAAAGTTTGGGATGTGGTGCTGCTTCCAGAACCGGAACAAAGGAGAGGGTGGAAGCATCCAAACTGTTTTCCACAGATATGTATATATTTAATGCTTTTCACCGGCTGTATCATCTTAAGGGTAATGTCAGTTATATTGGAAGCCTGCTCCTTATTCCAATGAAATGGCACAGAAGAATAAAACATTTAAAAATTAGAAATCATCTGTCTCTCCATGAGTGATATTTAATCCTCATCTATCCTACATAGAAAGGAACACTTTTCAATGAAGTTCTTCTTAATGTTTTCTAAGGGACTAACATTTTAAATGTTGTATGATGTATAATGTTATATGGGTATAATATTTCTTTGGGGGCTTCTGAAGAGGATTTTTTTTAAAAAATCATTATTTTATAAAATTATGCAAAATTTTTAGGTCACCATCTAATAATATGTCACTATAAATTATGGCAAAGGATTGATTATAAATTTATTTGTGATATTTTAAAAGTCATGGTTTATAAGATTACAATCTTCCCTCAACCAAAAAAAAATTCCCCCTTCTGAAAATGCATTTTTTAAAATTAATGATACAACCATTTCCCACTGATCTAAGCTCAGAATTCTAGTGACCTTTACTCCCCCTCATCTCTTAGGCCTAGCCTGCTGTATGGAATACATCATCAAATATTCTCTGCTTTCTTTTATTGCTTTTAACATCTCCATTCTTCATCCTCTAAAAAAATTGAACCCACTACTTACCTATCCTTATTTTCTAATGTAAACTCCAACCCAATTCATGCAGAGCAAGGTCACCACTGGAAGGAACCACCAAGGACATCTGGTCCCCGCTCCTTTCTCCCTCTTTCTCACAAGCTCCTGGAGACGGCAGTTCTGCTTCTCTGAGAACTACACTTTGAGTAGCAGCCAAGGCTTTAAACTCAACACTTTGTGCCTCAGCATCAGTTGTCCTGGCTTCTAATGCGATAAATGAATCTTTCTGCTTCATCCTGAAATTCAGGCCCTTAAACATGCTCAGGTTTGGTTCTGGCTCTCCTATTCCTTTTACCTGAAGATTAAATGTCACTTATTGATACTATTCAGTCCTTTTTCAGGGATGACATCCCAAATCACACCTGTAAAACTTGTCTCAAAATAAGAGTAATGCTCTTGAATCCCTACTGCAATGTCTGGGGTTATGGCACCACCTGCACCTGCCCTGAGGCTGTTGAATGCTGTGTTGCCACATCTCCCAACCAGACTCGCTGCTGGATCTACCATCTTCCCATCATGCACCTGCCTTGATGCCCCCAACTCTGGATGCTTTTGGAAGCTTCGAGTGTCACTTGTTACAAGTTATTCCGGAGAGCCCTCCTCCTCACAAATGTTCCCTAGGGAACAGGCCCTAAAAAGGTAAAGCATCTCAGTCATGCTCTAGAATTATGCAATTCCCCTTCCCAAAGAAGTGTCATTTTGCCTAAGCGAGACTTCAAATTGATTTTTCTAAGCAGACTTAAATAGAAAGCACTTTCTCTAAAGGGATGACATTCAGAAACATGCTATAATCTGTATTGGGGCTCCTCAGTTATGACCAGAAGACTGGGGTTTGAGTCTTATTATTTTTAATTCCATTTAATTTATTTTCTATAAGATATAAAATCTATACTGATGAATCTCTAAGCAATTCCTCCACCTCCAACCTCTCTCCCGAGCCCTATTCCTGTGAGGTCAAAATATGTTCACTTAGAAATCCAGACAAATCCTGGTATGCTACTTGTCTTCCCCAAATATCGTAGGTGTCTTCCTTTGGTTAATGACCATGGCATCCTTTTAGTCACTTGGGCTAAAAATATGATCACTTTTGTTCCTCTCTCACTCTTGTCACCCACATTAAATCAGTTACCCTGGTTTATTGTTTCTCCTTCTTTTATTCATCTGAGGTTCACTTCTCCTTTTCATTGTATTCTATTATTACTCAATTTAGGCAATTATTATCTCTGATCCATACTTTCATAATCATCTTCAGTTGGTTCCTGGACTTTTATTCTCAGATTACTTTCTTTTCTACATTACTTCCAGGTTCATTTTCTACCTCAAAAGTCATCTACAAAATAAAACCACCTCCAGAAAAAAACACGTACTTCTCAGATGGTTGTTAACTGTCCCCCAAATCTGTCCTCAGTTTGTCTGCCTAATCTACTCTTTAGTGAGCTTATTGTTGTAGTCTATAATGCAGTTTCTCAAACATTATTTCCTTTAATAATTGCATCAGCTGTGTGAGTTGGTATAGCCTCTATGATCTTTTCATTATTTCATTTTACAAATAAGAAAATAAATATACAAAAAATTGTCTGACAATTGGCATCAGTCATTCAAAGTCACACTGGAGTAAGAAAGAAAAGCAAATTCAAAGCTCACACCCTCACTGTTTTTCTGTCTCCCCAGAACGTTTGTTGAAATGTCAATTCTGAAAATGCCTTGCTCTCTCTCTAGGCAGAACTAGTTTCCCCCACCCTGGGTTCCCAAAAGACTTTCCAAATACACTTCCTTGGACACAGATCACATGCAAAGTGAGTATGTATGTTCATGTTGGTTTACAGTGAGATTCTTGCGGGAAGGAACTGTGCTTCTGTTTGTGCCTGGCGTTTGTCATGTGGCAGGATCTGACACATGGCGACAGGAAGCGCTGCATAATGAATAACTGCATCTCTTTATTACGTAGTTTGAGACACGCACTGATACCTAGTGCAGTAGGACATTCCTAGCCCCTAAAGAAGTCACAATCATATTTTGATTTTGACAGGGAAGGCTATTTACTTGCTCTACAGCATGTGTGAATGTGTGCATCTTGCTAAACCTGAGACCAGAATTTATTTTGGAAAATCAACTGACCACTCTAGTTGTAAAATAGAAAATAGATTTTGTGAGAACCTAAATTCTTATCATGAGTCACAGTGAGTTAGGGCGTAAAGTCATGTCTGGTTTTGAAAGAACATTTGTATTCTTCTGCAAACGCCTTTAATAAGAATTTAGCTATTAGTAGAGCATGAGTTTTTTATAGATTTAACCTAAGTTGAACCAATAAATTTATCCAACCTCTGATGGTTCCATAAAATGACTAATATTGAACATTTTAATATTTTATGAGTGACTAAGCAACATCTTGACTGTTTGCTGGTGGAAGATGTACTTAACTGGGAATTACAATAAGGAATCTAAAGCTTTGCTTTTTATTATGGTTTAATAGGTTTAGTCTTGCAAATTTCAAGAAAATGAATGATGTCAAGAAAAGAAATAAGGCTTATGTTATTAACTGTAGGTAGTGAAAGAGTCCAGAACTAGCAGCAAGATGATCAATTGGACAAAACATATGTTTAGGAATTCATTAATGCTGAGTCATTGCAGTTCATTAGGTTGAGTGAAATATGGGTGAGAATATAATTGATTGAAACAGTGGTTCCTGATCATCACCAGGCACTGTCTGTTTGATATTTGGAAAAACCTCTGTCATTAGGAGGAATTCTTGAGTCTCATAGGTGTTTTTGAAGGGTAAACATCATAGCACTTGCTCTGTATAACCCTAAATAAACATATTTCCCATTGCCTGTCTGTGCATAATCATATCATCTGCATTAGAACCAAGTGTGAAGGTGGCTCTGGTCTGCATATTCCATCTGCATGGTATGAAGAAGTTGGAAAACTCTGGTGCCTTTCAATTCTAAGCATTAGGTTTTCACATTTTCAGAGCCAAAGACCAACACCTAATGTGTGTACTTAGGCTGATTGAATAATTACTCTGGGAAAATGCCATGTTATAAGATGATGCACAAGGCAAGAAACTGCCTCGCTGGCTGCCCAGCACTCAACTTCAGTACCCTGATTGTAATCTCAAAGCATCAAATTGGTGGATCCCTAGCACAAATGCCTTTCCTTTTTATTTTTCATATTTAATCTTTTTTTCTTATTTTTCAAATTCATATGACCATTGCTGATTTGAATTGTTAAACAACTGGAAAGTATTTCTATAACTATAATGGTAAAATATATTCTAGACTCAATAGTCCGATTATATTTGAGAAAGAAAAATATCCCAGAGATCAAGGCATAATATTTGATATTAAAAATACTTTTCTTCTATTCTTTCTCCAAAGTTTCTTTTTCATCATTCCCTATATGTTAGTTTGTTCTCTGTCCTAAAATCAGCTCACATTTACCCACATTGTGTTAAATATTTTTCCTATTATATGCTTATAACTGAAGTTCTTCAGTGCTTTTAATGAAGTGCTCTACTGGGAGCCAGTTCTAACCCAGAAAACCAAACTAGATCTAGAAATAGAAGTCAACAATATGTGGTTTTTACATTTGAAGAGTTCACAGCCCAATGAAGGAAACAGAAAAAGTGAACAAAAACCCCCAAACTACAGTGGAGGAAGCTTCAACAGAGGTATTAAATGAGTAATAAGAACACTGATGAAAGGGGAATGATCCCAGCCTTTGGAAAGAGGAGATTAAAAAACAGCTTTACAGGGGACAGCAGGTATCAGAGAGGGATTGAAAGTTTAACTTTCCATGGTCTACTCTAAAGTACAATATTTTATGAACCAGGAGATCTCCAGCTGCCATTGAGAATATTGGCTTTCATGAAATCCTTTCTTGAATGTATTGCCTGAATAAATATCATTGAGGCACGGACTTCACTGCCAAGTAATAATTCTAATGTTTGGTTGTAGAAGAAATTGGAGTTTCAATGTCATGTAGATATTTGTAACAAACAATGGTGCTTGATGTAACAGACTCCAAATTATTCTCAATTGTCCTATTGTGTGAATTATTTATGAACTTTTACACATCTGTAAACTCTTAGAATAAACCATTTTAACCATTCCATACATAGCCAGAAAAACATTATCAGACATCTTTTCACATGACTTACTTACAATTCATTGATTTACTTCAACATAACATTTCAAATGTACAAATTGCAACACTTTAGTTGTCCAGATGCTTAACAATTAGATATTTCCATTGTGTATCTTTATTGGTGCCCGCAAGTGGATTCAAACGCTTTGGGAATTACTAGGTGGAGATTGAGTAGTAGGCAATATAGATATCTATATTATTTTTTCTGTTTCTTAAAATTTTGTTTAATGAAAATAAATAATCTCTGGATTCTTGTAACAATACTGGAAAAATAGAGTAGGAGAAGGTTAGAAGGGAACTAACATTTGTTTAGCAACAACCATGAGCAAATGTCTTTACAGGGATTATCATATTTCATCTCCATAAGATGTTAGTAAATGAGTACATCATTATCCTTTTGATTATCTCCCATTGAGTTTTATTAGTCCCATTTTATCAAAGAAAATATGAGAGTCATTTTCCCAAGATCCACATATTCAAGATGGGCGCCATGTCCATCCCAGTATATAGCCATACCAGAAGTTGAACCTTATTCTGACTTTTAACCACAAGATAAATGACACTGTTTGTACTATCCCTTTATTTATGCCGTTAAGGATTTAATGCCATCACCCATGTCTCTGCACGGATATAGAAAGTGGCTAAATCATGCTGAACACATTAAAAAGCTTGTACCAGACTTGACCACTAGCATCCAAAGAGTGAGTGCATCTGTGGTGGCCAGAATAAAGGCCCCCAAAGATAAATATGGACAGTCCCTGGAATCTAAAAATATGTTACATTACATGGTAAAAAAAAAAAAAAAAAAAGACAATGCAGATGTAATTAAGGTTACAGTTTTCAGAATTGGAAGATTATCCTAGACTATCTGAGTGGGTCTAATATAATCACAGAAACCCTCAAAACTGGAGCACTTTCTCTGGATGGAGTCAGAAAGATGCAGCAAAAAGGGAAGTCAGAGTGATTCCATGAGTGAGAACGTTTCAGTGCACCATTGCTGGCTCTGAGGTATAGATGCTCACACACAAAAACCAGAGAGAGGTCTCTGGAGCTTAAAGCCAGCTGTCAGGCAGCAAATGAGAACCTCACTAGTGAAACCAAAATAAAGTGGATTCTGCCAGCAACGTGAATGGCATTGGGAGCAGATTCTTGCTAGAACTGTTGATTAGAGCTTAGCCGATGGACACCTTGATTCCAGCCTAGTGAAACCAGAAGCACAGTAATGAGATGATCCAGATTTCAACCTACAAAACCATGAAATAAGAAATACATGTTTTAAAAAAACTAAGTTCGTAATAATATGTTATGGCAGCAAAGGAAACAATTGTAGCACCCTACCAGCTGGCTAGTAGCCCTAGTTGTGGTCAGCCTAGTAGATCTTTTCTTCCCTTGTCCCTCTCCCAGTGTTTATCTATTTCATTACTTCAGAGCTGCATCTGCCACAGTTAGAACATTATATATTTTAGTCACAAAATTCAACTCGCCAAGGGTCCTCAGAGAACACCCTCCCTCTTTCCTATTTTTTAACGAAGTGTCTCCATCACAAAATACTACTCTTGAGCCAAACTCACTATGACTAATTTAAAGATTGTGTAAAATTAATTCATGGACTGATATTTCCTATATACTCAGTTATAACCAATAATGAACAAATCTAGTCATTTCTTTTTCAACAACAACTTGTATTTTACTATAAATTAATGTATTCTTATGTTTAAAGTGCCTGTGGTATCATAAGCACTTGGCATAATTTATTAGGAAGTGGTGTTAATGGGGGCCACACAGCAGTGTGATTGGGACCTCGAAGTCCTCCTCTGTATGACTGTGCTGCTTCCTGGACATGCACACAGCAGCAATGGATAAGGCAGTCACTTTCCAAAAAACCAGAGTGAGTCTGATTTTAGCAAATATTTTGCTTCTTTTTTCCTTCCCTCCAAAGAGCTGTTGAGAAATATGTTCCTTGATTTTGCTGTAGCTTATCCTTCTGTAATAGTTTTCTATTGCTATGGAGCAAATTACTACAAACTTAGCAGCTTTCCACAACACACATTTATGATCTCACAGTTTTTCTGGGTTAGGGGTCCAGGCATGGCTTGGCTGGATTCTTTACTTTAGGATCTTACTAGGGTGAAATCCAGGTATTGGCTTGGGCTGAGTTCTCATTAGAATCTTGACTGGGGAAAGATTCAATTAACTTTCATGCAGCTTTGAGTCTGAGGTTCTCTTTTTCTTGCTGGCTGTTAGGCAGAGAACATACTCAGCTGGAGAGGCTGCCATGTGATCCTCTCATAGCCCTTCCTAAAGACCCTCTCCCAATGTGGCCACTCACTTCTTTAAGACCAGGAGCATAATCTCTCTTGCTTCAAATCTCTCTCTTATTAAGGTCTTACCTGCTTTGATCAGGTCTACCCAGGATCAGGGCCTTTGATTAACTCAAAGTCACCTGATTAGGAACCTTAATTGCTTTTGCAAAATCCCTTCACTTACCCAGGAAAGTGAAAGCCCACCATATTCACAAGCTCCACCTGTAAGGGAAGTACACCAGAGGACAGGGTCTGTGGCGCATCTTAAAATTTTGCCAGCTACACCTTCCTCAAACCAACCTGAGGAGAAGTGCTGGAAAGAAACAATGCATCCTGAGTAATAAGAACCCCTACAGAATAAAATAACCAAGGGTTAAGGACAAAGACAGTCTGGTATTAGCATATTTACTGGACACAGCTCAATTGTGTAACTTAGAAAGAGATCTCTTGTTTCTAAAGAGGGGAAAATTGGAAACTCAGGGAAGAGAAGAGTATGTTTCAGTTGTGCATTAAACATCTGGTAATTTCCTATAGTGGTTATGAACTCAAGCTCTGGACTCAGACATATCGCACTGGAATGCCAGTGCCACTACAGAACATGATGTCTTAACCAAGAGTCTGAACTTCTTGAACAATGCGTAAGAATTCATTGAGCATTTCCTGGGTCATAGGTACTAAGCTAAGCTCTTTATCTAAGTGAATTAAATAATAGTCTTAGCAGTTCTATGTGATAATTATTTATCACGTTAGGCACTGAGGCTTGGGGAGATCACGTAGTATGACAAAGCACATTAAACAGTGGAGGCAGTTTGAACCCTGCCCATGTGACTTCCAAGCCTTCACGCTTTACCACTACCTATAATGGTCTCTAAACTTCAGCTGCCTTAACAAACCTGGTACAGTGGGCACTCCTACCAGGGTTGCGGTGAAGACAAATTAAGCTAATGTGGGGCAGTGATCCAGCATGGTGCCACATGGTGGCTTCTAGGGCAGGGACCCGCAAGCTTATCTATAAAGAACCAGCAAGCAAACATTTCAAGCTTTGCACATCACACTATTTCTCTTTGCAGCTAAACAGCTCTGTTGTTGAAGAATGAAAGCAACAATACACAATAAGTTAACAGATGGGTGATATTGTATTCTAAGAAAACTTTATATACAAAAGCAGGCAGACCCCTGCTCCAGGACAGCAAATTAAAAAATCAAGCAGCTCATCTATCCATTTTTGCTGGAGAAAAATACTTTTTAAAATCATGCTGTAGTGTTCCTTAAATATGTCTCTTAATATGGAATTTTATCAAATAAACTTATTTAAGTAGCCAGTACTATAGGATTTAAAAAAATATATTTTTACTATGTGTAAGATCATTTCTAACAAGCTAATATAAAAGTAATTTTCTCATTTAATGGTTTCATTGGGTTGTTCAACCACTGAGCAGAAACTGAGCCACTCTGCTTTCTGTAGGCACTTGACTGTTGGCTTCCTTACGTGCGATCTGTCTTCCTGAGTTGATGTTGTGCCACACTTTCCTGTTCTTTAATGTCCTATAAGAAGATATACATTTATTATTTCATTTTCCTCTTCCATGCATTGTCTTCATATTTTTGCCCACTCTTCTTACATCTCTGCCTGAATCCCTGGTGATTCATTGTATCCTTAAAGATTCAATAAAGAGATAAGCTGCATGTTAACTTGAACAGGGGACGCTTAATATAAAGAATTTATTAGATATAACAGGGGATTGGAATACAGCTGGTAGAAGAAAAGAGAACTCTAAGGGATCTAGAAATAGAAGATATAAGGAGGCACCACTAGCCCTAGGGCGGAGAAAGAGTCCCCAAGAAAGTGCACCTCCTCCCCCGCAAGGCTGAGGCACAGACTTTGTTGAGGAGGGCACAGCTGTGGGCCACCACATGGCAGGTAAGACACTGGGGTACTGCACTGGCAGAACCTGATGGAAATCCACCCTCAGGGATTTGCACTAAATGGACCCCCTCAATTGCAGGGGAAAGCCATTCATAGTGAGGTGCTCACTAGAGGCTCAATGCTAAAAGCATGCCCATGGGCAACGCCAGGATAGGCAGCTAGCCACGGCACACTGCAGGAGCCACGCCCTAGAGAGGATGAGCACCCTGCAGGCTGCCTGCCAGGCAAGCACCAGAACCAGAATACAAAATCCATGCTTCCTGCAATGTCTCTACCACCCTCTACTGACAAAGTTTAATGTCATGGCAGCCAGCAAAGAAAAGATAAATAAATGAAAGGCCCAGATTCATTTCCACAAAGCAGACAAAAGGGATATATTTGGAGCTGATCGGCAATAAATCAATAATGAACACACTCATTTTCCATCTCATCTTTTGTTTTACACATGGTGCCTATGTTTTCTGTATTTTGTCAACTTGAAGTAAATACGTTTTCAGAATCTCTTGGTGTTTCTGTACCATATTGTTTTCATGGCCCATTGGGCAATGCTGCCAATCCTCTGGGAAATTTTGCTGTGAATGATGAGGCAGTTTCTCTGCAGGAATTATGCAGCTCACCCGCAGTCTTCTGCCATGCCTTGCCATTGACCCACCAGCCCCTCCATGTCCTAGGAAACATTTTAAACCCCTATGTCTTATGCAAGCCACTGACAGTTCTCCTTATGATCAATCAGAGAATTGTGTCACAGCATATTAAGGGAGCATGCACATCTCTCTACCAAAACTTTGACGTGGTGCATGTCACCAATCGGCTTCTGGTGAGCTCAACCCACCAGAGTGTTACACTGCAAAAACATATCTGAATTCTAACTTAAGTTCAAACATAAAAGCCCAGCTACTATTAAGTATATTATGGTATATCTGTTAAATAGATCAGTAAGCAACCATGAGGAAACATTTATGAATATATAATAAGATGTAAAATGCCCACAATATAAATTGAAGTTAAAAAATCAGAATGTAGGCCAGGCATGGTAGCTCATGCCTGTAATCCCAGCATTGTGGGAGGCTGAGGTGGGTGAATCACTTGAGGCCGAGTATTGAAGACAGCCTGGCCAACATGGTGAAACCTTATCTCTACTAAAAATATAAAAATCACCCAGGGGTGGTGGCTTGAGCCTGTAATCCCAGCTACTTGGGAGGCTGAGGCAGGAGAATCACTTGAACCCGGGAGGCAGAGGTTGCAGTGAGCTGAGATCATGCCACTGCACTCCAGCCTGGATGATAGAATGAGACTCTGTCTCAAACAAAAAAAAGATCAGAATGTATCATACACACCTATATAACCAACAAAATGCATTAATAGCAATTATTTCTATAGTAAGAATGTTGAATTTTCTTCTTTATATTTATATGTATTTTGATAAATTTTCTTTAATGGACATTATGTTTTAAAAGAAAAAATTAAGACTAATTTAAAACATGTGACACCTCATCTCTGTGTTTTCCCTTCCTTTCCTAAAAGATTACAGCTCCATAAAGAAAGCATTCCTAGAATTGTAGTACATACAAGAAGCTCAATAAATTCTTATTATATTGAAATTATTTGACCACATAAAATGAATAGAAGAATGCATTCTTATTTTTTTCAATGATGAAAATAAAAATCATTCTTTCAGGGCCCCTATCCTCTACTCAGCTCATGGACAACTCATTAGAAATTCTATTTCCAAGGTTTAGGGTTTTATTTTTAGTGTTAAAGAGAGAATACATTGTTTTATTTGGTGCTAGAGGCTTTGCATTTTTTTATCATTGTTCTAAGAATTAAAAAAGAGTTGTTATATTTTTAGTTAATGTGAAAGTTACATTGCCACACATCAATTTGGAAGATCTATAAATGCTACCAGGTGACCTTCAAGGAAGAAGAGTTCAAAGCTTATCTCAAAATCCATACTTGGTAGTAAATGCTTCAGCTCATATTCATTTGACCAGACATAATTGGAAGACATGAGGGGAAGTTATAGGCTTACAGGGTTCATTCTTCTAATCCTAAAAGCCTTTGTCATTAGGCTCAATGGAAGATAAACCTATTTTACCTTAAAAATGAAAGATGACATGTAACAGCTATAGACAGGATTTCCTTTTTACTCATCAGCCATCTATGTTACATGGCATAATTAATCAAATAAACATTTCTGAAATAAACATTTTTGGCATGCACACTGGGTGAAGTGAAATGTTTGAATAGCTGGGATCGATAAATCATCCTATGTAATAAAAGCTATTGGCCTTGTTTTTACCTTCCCTTTTAAGGGATTAACAAGGAACTGGCAAGAAACACAAAACTGTTGATATGGGCTTCCAGCTGGCATTGATTACAGGCTGCAGTCTAATGCTATAATGTTTTGCGTTAGTACAATTTAACTAGCGACGGCTCACCTACTGCCTCCTGGGACTTGCCAGTGGAGTGCTCTTTAATGTCATTTTGCTTTTCATCTTTGAACACATACATTCTTAAAAGACCTTGCCTAGCAAAATATTGTCCTCTTCAACATGGTTTAGTGTATATTAGTGTTGAGTTGAAAAATGCTACTTAAATCTGGTTACAAGCTTTTCTCATTCACTTGTTCACAATGTTATTGAACACTTGTGTATGCCAAGAATATGCTCAACTATAGAGATAGCAAGAAGAAAAATATTCTACCCCTGCCTTCAAGGAGATTTTAAGGGGGACAAGTATAATGATTACCATGCCAAATAATGTTAAAATAATGTAAAATCAGACTGGTTGGTTTAGACTTCCAAGGCAGAGATTAAAAGGAGTCCAGGCTGCTCACCAACTGAAACAAGACACTATACATTGACAAAGAGTTTTAAAGGTAGCCATTAAAAACAATTTATTTCATTAAATATAACACTAAGTCTGATAAGGCTAATATTGAAAGACCAATTTTTAAACGTGTTTTCTTAAACTAAAATGAGTTTTCATTGAGAATAAAGATCAGAAGAAAATATATTATATTTCCCAGAGATTGCACTGAAAGATTTGGGGGATAAAATGACAGAGTAGTTTGTAAGGAGAAGGATTGGCAAGAGTAAAAATGCATTTCTGCATCCTGGGGAGTCCAACTAATATTCCCTGGTCATTATTCCACCAATTTCCTGAGAGTGTCTAATTTGTCCCTCATAACCAACCTCTCCTGACCGCAGTATGAGACACGTATCATCACCATTCCTATCTTACCACATCTATGGAAACTGAAGCACAGGTCCAGGATAGTGCAGCAAACCATGACCGATGGGCAGACTGGGGAATTGAATTCAAACCATCCGTCTCCAGAGCCCATCATCTATCAGGCTGAGATGTGTCACAAGGCCAGGGTCCCAGAAGAGAACAAAGCAATTACTTCTGGAGGACTGAGGCAGTGCCCGCTGTGCCTGAGGAATTGTGCAGGATACTGTCACCCAGAAAGAGACTCTGTGGAAAGAGCCTGGACATGCACTCTAATCACAGGCTCTCAAGAGCACCCCGAGAAGTGCTGATGCTTCACAGAGCAGAAGACTCACACATGTCCCCTCACCATAGGAAGCCACCAGAAAAGCCATGGGACACTACTAGTTGGCCCCAGAGTTCCATGCCTTTCTTCCCTAGTAAGAAAACAGTGGCCAGGCCCAGGTCACAGGCTGGAGGTTAGATATTTGTTGGCGTCTCTTGGATCTTAGAGTGGCTGGCAATTAATTGGCACCCAAAATTGCAAATAAAAATGATGTGTGCTTGCTTGAAAGGAAATCCTCCCTTTCTATTTCACCATT
The DNA here is from genome assembly GCF_000001405.40 of Homo sapiens. Taxonomy (NCBI): domain Eukaryota; kingdom Metazoa; phylum Chordata; class Mammalia; order Primates; family Hominidae; genus Homo; species Homo sapiens. The sequence continues at coordinate 7,506,978 of NC_000002.12, read as the reverse complement.
CTTCCGCATTGTTCCATGTGGGTGGACCCATGGCCAGGCTCCAACCACATGGATGGCAACAATATCATAGAGGAATACAGGAGAAAAAAGATGGAAGGAATCGAGGTCCCTGAATGATCTCTTATTTTTGAGCCACACTGACAACCTGAGCTTTCTGCCTGCCTCTGATCTCTCACATAAAAGAGAAATAAACCTCTATCTTATTTAAGCCACCAACATTTTTGTCTCTTTGTTAAAGAAATATGGCCTGCACCATCAAGTCCTATAACACCTCATATTAATACTTATGAGAAATACATAAGTATTAACATTGCTGAATGGCTAATCAGACCAAATAAATGATAACATGTCCAGGATTCAGAAGTCAGAGCTGATTTGGCTGAAAGATAACTCATGCATGTGATGAACAAGGAACACATATGCAAAGGTGAAAACTATTTCTTGTATGGTAAAGTGTGCTTTACTGGATATTCACTTCTCACTGGGAGACCAATTACTTGAGTTTTATTTGAGTGAGGAAGTGAAATCCATAGAACTGAATGTATCATCTGAGATATTTTTATTGATTTTAGATCATCCGACAGTAGAGGTTGACTCATCTTAGTTGCTTGAGATATTCTTGGAGAGGTTTTCATGAAAAACACTGAACCTAAAATACTTATTTCTCAACCTCATATGTGATAGAGATTTGGACAATGGTCAGTTTAGTAGATTTTGGGTCTAAAAGGAGTTGTTAAGGAACAAAATCACTGACAGTCAAAAAGATAAATCAACCCAAGAGTAGTAACAGAATTTTCTCTCTCTGTCTCTGTCTTTCTCTTTCTCTCTCTCCCTCTGTGTGTGTGTGTGTGTGTGTGTGTGTGTGTGTGTATTTCCAATCACTAGGACTCAACATATACTGGAGCCTCACCATTACAAGACGCTTAAATATAACCGATTAAAATTTTTAAAGATTTGTCAACACTTGGATGAGTTTATGAGAAATAATAAAAATTTTCAGGACCAAGAATAAAGGAAGAACTTAAATCTAGTGACTATAACTCTGATAGTCTGCATATTTGGTTTTAGGAGCCATATACAGAGTAGAGTAATGCCTTGGGTCAGGGTTGCAATAAGATTTGGAAGGGGCATCTTCTGATCAGGTTGAATAATAATTTATCTTCTTTAAAGTAGGGAAAGCTAAAATCCAACTTACAGAGATAACTAGTTAGAAGTTTGTCTGCCTCAGCCTTGGAGAGCAAGAAGGCATCTTGTCTAATAATTCATGTCCACTGGCCAAATAGCTTCAGGAATTGAATTTTGAATTCATACTATTTATATGTTTTGTAAAATAGCAAGCTGAGACTCTTAATTCAAAAATACCAAGATAACAGAGTGCCCTCAGGAACTAGACATTAACAAATGAGATTCCTCCCTGTAAAAAAATGCACCCTTAGCAGAGAAAACTGGAACCAGACTTCCAAAACTTAAGAAATAATTGAACTCACAAGCAAAGAAAAAGAGACTTCAAAAGTAAGAACCAGCAGTTTTGAAAAAGAATCAAATAGACTGCATAGAAACAAGTAATTGAAATTTAGACTAAAAGAAAGGGTTAGTTCATTGGACACAGGAGAGATAATTAATGAACGTGAAGATAGAATGCAGGAATTGTATAGCATTTGGCGAAGTGTGACAAAATGCAGAATACAGTGAGAAAAGAATTGATAAGAGAGTGGCATACTGCAACATCTGTAAGAAGCTAATAGACAGTGGAGAAGGCAATTTGCTGAAATTGACAAAGACTGAAAATTCTCAGATTTCAAAACTGCTAAAGGAATAGATTTTAATGTTTTCACCACAAGAAAAAATAAATTGGCGAGGTGATAGCTACCTTAATTAGGCTGGTTGAATATTTCTACAATGTACATTGATCAAAAGATCACATTGTACCCCGTAAATATATACAATTATTATTTGTCAATTAAGAATAAAACAACAACAAAATGCCACTAATTCTCCAGTGACAGAAGTCCATAATGTATTAAGCAAGATTAAAGAAAAAAACTATTAAAAAATGTATGTTAGTCAAATTGTGAAAGACTAGTGGCAAAGAGATTATCTGGTTATTTATTACTTAGAACGTAGTCAAATAAAAAGACAATTCAACCAATAGGAACAGCAATTAGACCAATAGTTGTCTTACACTGACAGATAAGTGTTAGAGAATAGTATCTTTAAAGTGCACTAAAATAAAAATATCTGATTATTGAAATAATATATACAATAAACTAAGGAGTAGGTTAGCATGTAAAAATATGAAGATACATAATTGAACCTCAAATAATGGATTTGAGCTACTGGAGTCCTCTTAAGGGCAGATTTTCTTCTGCCTCTGCCATCCTGAGAGGGCAAGACCAACCCCTCCTCTACCTCCTCCTCCTCAGCCTACTCAACGTGAAGACCAACCCCTCCTCTACCTCCTCCTCCTCAGCCTACTCAACGTGAAGATGAAAATGAAGATCTTTATGATGATCCACTTTCATTTAATGAGTAGTAAATATATTTTCCCTTCCCGATGATTTTCTTAATAACAGTTTCTTTTCTTTAGCTTACTTTATGGTAAGAATGCTGTATGTAATTCACAGAACATACAAAATCTCTGTGAATTGATATTTTATATTATCAATAAGTCTTCTGATCAGCAGCAGGCTATTAGTAGTTAAATTTTTGGAGAGTCAAAAGTTATATGGTGATTTTTGACTATGTGGTAGATCAGTACCCCCAACCTCTGTGTTATTCAAAGATGAGCTGTGTTTCAAATAAAAGAAAGTTTCAAAAAATTCAAAAATTGAATAAGATTTTTAGATTAAAAGAATTGATAATATTCACTATTTTATTAAAGAAATCCTAAAGAAGACATTTTAGTAAGAAAATAAATTATCATTGGTAAAAGTTTTTAAATCAAAAATAAAAGGCAAAAAAAAGAAACAAAAACGAATTATATAAAATAATAAAAGCTAGTTTAATTATGACTAAAATATAAAGATATTTAAAGCTATAATTCTGGACAAAACAGTGTTGAGTCCTGAGGTAGGAGCAAGGCAAATGAAACTCAAGCCTTGTAAGTTATAGAGATTTGCATTGTCCTGGAAGAAGGTAATAACTCTGATTGAGTTTACTTTGATAATTAAGTTTATAGAAGTATAAGAGAAAAATAAAAATAGATAAAAAGGCACAAACAATACAAAGGAAGAGAAGAAAGAGGGGAAATACAAAAAATTGAAAAGTAAAAGCAAAAAAAAAAATGGTAGAAATAAACACAAATACGTCAGTAAATTACAACCCATATAAAGGGACTGAACATTCTAACATAGAGACAGTTTAGCTGACTCTATGAAACATAAAAAAAATTCAGCTATTATTATTTACAAAGACAAAAATGTCTGGGGTCATCAGAGCATAGGAAAGCTGAAAACAAAAACATGGAAAAATGGCAACAGTATTTTCAAACTTAATGTTCTCATCTCCTTTGGCTTTTCTTTCATTAGAGTTGGGATTCAGAACTAAGGTCAAGTCTTCCTTTATGCAAATTCTCCCTTATGAAAGAACTTAAAAAATGATCGTGGCCAGTCAGACATTGTCACTGCATCTAAACAACCTTCTTCCGGTTCAATATTTCTTGGCTGATGCCAAGTAGATCAATTTCCAAGTCAGAGTAGCCCAAGGCTATAAGAACTGTAAATAATGACTTTTTACAAAGTGTGAGTCAAGAACATTTCCATGGGAAACAGAGTATCTTAAGTGTGTGGAGCACCTTATTATTTATGATCTCTCACATGCGCCATCTCATCTGGTATTCAACTTCAGCCTCCCTGGGTGTTACCAACATCTTTTTATAGACTGAAGTCCCAAGAAATAGATTTACGTAATATATTCTGCATTACGTGGTCAATAAAAACAAATGGATCCACTACCAAAAGTCTCTGTATCTAAATTTAATGCTTTTAACCACATATCAGCCATGTATTCTGCAGCTCTCAAAGCCAGCAGCTGGAGAAGACCAGCTAGCAACACAGACCATCACCCTACAAGACATGGAAGGAATTGTTCATGATTTGTATTGATGAGGTAAAGTAGCAGTTGATACATTATCTACTACTTCATGAAACTCTGCAACACTTCCAATATTGTTTACAAAATCACCTTCTCTCTCAACTAAAAAGATAGAAAAAATAATCCCAGCAGACACCAGTCACTATTTGAAGGTATTAACTCCATAGGTGTTTGAACTCCCAGAACCTGCATCTGCACTGAAAAGTCCTGTATTTAAGTTTATAAAATTAAGACAAACTGAAGTTAATTCTTTTGAATTTCACCATTCTGGAATTAAATGAAGATTATGGTATATTGCACAAACAGAGGGCAATTCCAGTTCTGTAAACTCCACAGTGGAGGAAGTACAGCAGCAAGGGTGATACAAAGAGAACCTTCATGTGCAACTTGCTGTGAAAATCACATCAGCCTAGAGACAGGAAGTCCAGTCTATAGTCAGTGCTTAGCAAATATCAGCTATTGCTATTAATATTAATTTCAGTGACACCCAGCATGTTTTTTGTTAATAATGATGCTTCCAATGTCTTCTGGCAGTATCTTAAATATTCTACTTTTGTGTATGGATTACTCTTATTTTCTTGAAATCTCAGGCTATATTTTTGCATTAAGGTAGAAAATGACTGACAACTTCACAGATTTTGAGAATGGGCTGCACTAGAATAAAGTCATGTGATACTATTTATGTGTTTTATATTTACAAAGGTACTGTTCTCTACCAATGTTGGAATTATTCTCTATTAATAAGAATTAATCAATAGTATTTTTCCCAGCTCAATTTTTTTAAACTTTAAAATTAAGCAGTATAAATATAAAAAAAGCTAAGCTAATATGTACTAATATTGATACAATAGTTGCATTGTTCTTGAGTGCTTGGGTTCTTGACTTTCTTCTTACTTCCAAACCTCCCACAGTGCCTTCCTTCCTAGTTTCTTTCTCTTTTCCTTCCTTCCTTCCTTCCTTCCTTCCTTCTTTCCTTCCCTCCTTCTTTTTTCTTTCTTTTCTTTCTCTCACTTTCCACCCTCCTTCCTGTCTCCATCTCTTCCTTCCTTTCTTCTTAACTCTCTTTCTTGATAAAAATTCCAATATAAAGTGTACCTTCACAGAATGCCAGAATTTGGGACAACTGTTTTTTTTTGTTGTTTTTTTTTTTTCCTGCATTTTTGCCAGCATGATCTTTTTTCCTTGTTTTTTTTGTTTTTGTTTTTCCCTTGGTGTTTTTGAAAATAGCCACTCTAAGTGGGGTGAGATGATGTCCCACTGTGGTTTTAATTTTCATTTCTGTGATGATTAGTGATGCTGAATATTTTTTCATGTATTTCTTGGCCATTTGTATGTCTTCTTTTGAGAAATTGCTATTCAGATTCCTTGTCCATTTTAAAATCACATTATTTGCTTTATTGTGTTGTTTAAGTTCTTTGTATATTCTGGACATTAATCTCTAATTGAAGGTTGCCGTTTCACTCTGTTGATCTTTTCCCTTGCTGTACAGAAGCTTTTTAGTTTGATATGGTTCATTTGTTTATTTTTGCTTTTGTTGCTGTGTTTTTGTGGTCTTAACCATAAAATCTTTGCCCAGACAAGTATCCAGAAACATTTCCCCTATGTTTTCTTCTAGTTGTTTCATAGTTTTGGGTCTTACATTTAAGTCTTTAATCCATTTTGAGTTAATTTTTGGGTATGGTGAGGGCCAAGGGTCTAGTTTTATTCTTCTGCCTATAGATATCTACTTTTCCTGGAACCACTTATTAAAGAGACTGCCCTTTCCCTAATGTAAGTTATTGACGCCTTTTTAAAAAATCAGTTGGCTGTAAATATGTAGTTTTATTTCTAGGTTCCCTACTCTGTTCCTGGTCTATGTGTCCATTTTTATGCTGTTTACGTTACTATATCTTTGTAGTATATTTTGAAGTCAGGTAGTGTGATACCTCCAGCTTTTTTTTTTTTATTTAAGTTTGTTTTGGTTATTCTAACTAGGACTCTTTAGAGTTTTTCCTGGTGGATATTTGGCACCAATGTAATTATACATAAAATGTAAATGGAACACTTGTGTCCTTTGCTATAGAACTTTCAAATCTAAGCAGTATTTTCCTTAGAAAGTTGATTAATAGATTCATTCATTTATTCTTCCATTCATTCATCTATGCTTGGACCTAAGAATTCTTCCATCCATTAATTTCTTCAAAACAGTTTTTGAAAATGATTAGACCACTATATGCCAGGTGTTAAGTGCTGACGTGTGCAAGACAAAGTGGCTGCCCTCATAGAAATCCCTGTTATCTAAGGATAATCTTCTTTGAAATTCATGTTCTTCTTGTAAAGTCAATGAAATTATTTTTATAGACAGAAAACATTTAGGAAAGCATTTTCTACACTAATTAGTACTATAAAGAAAAAGAATTATTAAATTCCATGTTTGCAAAGAAGGCCAATAAAGACAAAGGAAAGCTTAGAAGGGATAAGATCTCTGGAATTGCTGAAATCATAGTGACACATTTTTTCAGGTGCTGCTCTTGGAAGTTTGTGACAATACTATCTAGAATTTAATGGCTCATGATGCCTTATTTACTATGAAGAGTTTTTTTTTTTGGAGAATTCAGGTTCGTAAATATAACAAGAAACACAAAGTCAGTTAGGAATCAAACTACTTTAGCAAGGCTAAAGGTAGCAACACATCTGCCTTGTAAACTAGTTTAATGTCTAATGGCTGCAATTGTCATGAAAGGCTTCTTGTACAGGAGTGTATTCTTTGTGCTAAATATGTCCATGTTAATTTGTAATGCAGCCACTTTCTCAATTGAAACGCAAAATGTTCCAAAAGAACATATGTCCAGCAACTTCTTTAGCTTTAGCTTAAGAAACAGTTTGTGTGTTTCTTTTTCTATTCTTTTCTTTTCCCTCTCTTCTCTTCTGCTGCTTTTTCTCTTTAATCAAGACAGCAAATGCCTGCTACGTGCCTGGGAGACAGCCATATTTTTGCTGAGCTCCAGAACTGTGAATCCAACAACCTACTGAACACATTATGAAGCACAACAAATTAAGTACATAGTGTTTGCCTCTCTCAAGAGGTAAGCAAATTTTTGAGATAAAGAATCAAAAATGCCTAGTGATCAAGAACTGCTAAATTCATTAATGAAATGAGTGGACAGGAAAGAGAGAGACTAACATTAGGCTGTAGTTTTCTGGGAAGGCTTCAAAAGCACAGTATAAAAAAAATCTACTTGAGAGGAGTCATGAATTTTCTGTACTGTAGTAAGCAGACAGGGAATGGAAAGAAAGTGTAGTGAAGGAAGTGAAGTTGCAGACGCTGAAACGTCCAGTGGCAAATAACCAGAGATTGACTTGTTCGTAACGGGGGGATTTTTATGGGTTGAATTGTGACCCGTCTCTTATATGTCAAAGGCCTGGCCCCCTGTACCTCATATTGGGATCCTTTTTAGAAATAGAGTTGCTGCAAATGTGATTAGTTAAGATGAGGTCATACTAGAGTAGGGTAGAGCCTTAATCCAATATGATCGGTACTCTTACAAAGAAAGATTGTGGGCACAGACATGCACACAGGGAGAACACCAGGTGCAGATGTAAGCAGAGACTAGAGTGTGAAGATGTCAGCAGAGACTAGAGTGACACTTCTATATGACAAGGGACACAAACTACCAGAAAAGATTATCCACAAACCCCTAGAAGCTAGGAGAGCTTCCTGGAACAGATTCTCCCTCACAGCCTCAGAAGGAACCAATCTTGCAGACACCTTGATCTCAAACTTGTGGTCTGCAGAACTGAGAGGATGCATTCCTGTTGTTTAAACAGCTGAGTCTGTGGTACTTTGTCCCCTCAGCTCTAGGAAACTAACACAGCAGAATGAACGGAGGGGCCCCTTATCCACAATATGTATTTCCTTTGGGGACTTGTGTTGGAAAGAGCCCTCCGTGGGGTCATCCATACTAGCTGACTGTCTCCTTTGATTGAATTTGCACTTTTGTAAAATCAGGAGGTATGACCACCCAAAATAGTATTTAAATATATACTACATGTTATTAGAATGCCAATAAAGGCTAACCCAGAAGTCTCTATACCTCATTAACAGACCCTCAAAGACAGCACTAATTAAATCCTGGAAACTACAGGGTTTTGAGCAGTTGGAATTTATGTTTTAAAAATAGGCAACTTTTGTTTCCTCCCAGCTCTAAAATCTATAATTCTGGTTGTGACACACTTATCACCCACCAGTTCTTATGTTCATTTGGATCTTTCTGGATTTCTTAGAAAGTGCCAAGAAAACATTTGCATTCTGGCATACATACTGAACTGGACATTGCCATGAGGATTTTAATAAAATGAAAGAAGCACGTGGCTCCCAAATAGTTATCAGATCCTGCTACCTCCTACTGTTTGAGAAGAAACGAGTGCTTTTAAAAATTTTTTTAAAGTGATCTCCAAATTTTGGTGCATAAGATTTGTGAGTTTTTTATTTTTTTAAACAAGTCACAATGAAATGATGTGGTCTTAAGATGTGGGCTACATGGTGCTGTTATAGCAGAAGTGGGTCCTCAGTAAATCTTGTGTATGGTGAGCTGGTGTTTACTGGCTACTTAGTCAATGCTGTGTGCCCACTACCTGTTATAATGGCAATCTCCATGTAGTTACTGTTCACCTCTTCTCACCTCTCCTTCCTACCTTGTCACCCTTCACAGCAGAGAAAGTAGAAAGTTCACCAGCCCAAAATAAAATCTGCATTGGGAAACATAAAGAATGTCAGATGTATCATCAAAGCTATTGGCCTTGAACTTCATTCTGCTTTGGATTAGAAAAGTCATTTCTCTTTTCTAATTTAATTATTTGATTTCCCTTCGAAATGCAATGCAACCTGCTAATTTGTGACTTTCTCTGAATATTGTCTTCTTATTGAAGGATAAACTTGATGTTTATGTTTATATGCTATAATGTTTAATAAATAATACATGCCAAAGGAGTGACTTAGACAAGTTGTATGTCCTCTCTGAGCTTCAGTTTCTTCATATGCAGATGAGAATATTAACATCCATCTAAGCAATGTTGCAATGACGTAGTGATATGTGTGAAAGCACTGGATTAGTAGTTCTGCATTGTCAGCAAGCTGATTTCAGCGGAACAAGGGATTTATTGAATGGATGAATAGTTAACAAAACACCAGAAGGCTAAAAAACATGTGAAGAATATAGGTAATATCAAAGGAAGATCAGACAGAGAGAATCACAGCAAAACAAACAAACAAACAAACAAACAAAAAACCAACAACAAAAAAAAACAGAAAAACTGCTCTGCAGAACCAGTTAGGTGAAAAGAGAGCAGCTGTCACCATGAGCAGGGGAACCTGAGGCTTTCTGGGGCAGAGCTGTGACTGTAGACAATAATGGCAATTGCTAAAATTGTTGCCTCTGTGGTTTTTTGATCCTGAATGTTGCTGTTGCCACTGCTGATGTCATCGCTGAAGGAACACAATCTCCCCTCCCCGGGCTTCTTTGCTATGCTATGTCTTGATTTAAATTCCTAGGTGCTTGCATCTGATCTACCACTCTTGCAAGAACGGAGTCTGGGAAAGTGAGTATTTGACTTCTCACTTTCTGTAGAGGGAGGCCAACTCTGCTTTCAGAACAGCTTCATGTGGTAGGGAATTTCGCAACTAAGAAAAGAATTAAGAAACAAATCAACAAACAACAAAACTTCACTATGTCCACAAGAATCTATTACTTTCTGCAGTATCATATGGCCTAAATATATTATGTAAATGTTGCTATACAGAATAAAAAAAGAATAAATAGAAATAATCCCCAGGTGGTGGAGGTTAGGAACAGATTGTTTAGAAATATAAGTTTGTGTTGAGATTAAGAACAGGTTAGATTCAGACAAACAAGGACAGAGGAAGTCCAGACTTCCAAGGTGGGGCAAATTGTATGGACAATGGTTTTACATTTTAAAATATGAAAGTATATTCTTAAATAAGCAAAATCATTGTCTGAAACAGAACACTAAAGCGAAACATATAGAGAGTAAATCTGGAAAGGTAACGTGTATCTTAGTTATGTGATACCTTTAATTTTATATTAAGGACTAAAGGAGATTTCAAGGATTTCAACTGGGAGATGATCTAGAGGGATAGTTATTAGACAACATGGAGCCCACCCTGAGACAGATCAGCAGACTCTCTGATGACCTGCAGGTGACTTGGGGAAGAGAGACAGCAGATGAGGCACTTAAACATCTGAACTTTGAAAATGACTTTGCAGTGATATAAAGAATTTACCATCAAAGGCAATTTGTTATATACCCTTATGGGAATGTCAATCACCTTGAAAATAATCAGCAGAAATAGAATGCCCCCAAAAGCTTCTTTTGTCTGGCTTCTGTTCATCATAGTATAAACTATTAGAGTATCTTTTTATTTAACTTTTATTTTAGGTTCAGGGGTACATGTGCAGGTTTTTTATATAGGTAAATTTCCTGTGGCAGGGAGTTGGCGTACAGAATATTTTGTTACCCAGGTAATCAGCATAGTACCTAATAGGTAGTTTTTTTATCCTTACCCTGTCCTTATTGTAATTTTACCTCTTTTGAATATAGTATACAGATTACAGATTGCAGGCAGGCTGCATTGTACATCGGCATCTCTGTTCCATTAGTCATATATCTTAATAAGGACATAAATATATTTTAAATGGTTATTTGTATCAATCCTGGAATTTAAATATCCATCATCTGGTGAATGGATAAACAAATTATGGTTTACCAATGAAACGGAATACAACTTAGCAATAAAATGAAGCAAACTACAGACACATGCAACAATATGAAGAAATCTCAAAGAAAATGTTAAACAAAAGAATGCAGAAACTTAAGGCTGTATACTGTATGATTCCATTCAGATGGCTTCTTGTCAAAGGCAAATCCTAGGAAGTTCATCTTTACTGCTTTTGGTACTAAGACAATAATAGCCATATCATTCATATATATATATATATATATATATATATATAGTTGTTGTTGTTGTTTTGTTTTGTTTTTTTGAGACGGAGTCTTGCTCTGTCGCCCAGGCTGGAGTGCAGTGGCGCAGTCTCGACTCACTGCAAGCTCCGCCTCCTGGGTTCACGCCATTCTCCTGCCTCAGCCTCACTAGTAGCTGGGCCTACAGGCACCCACCATCACGCCCGGCTAATTTTTTGTATTTTTAGTTGAGACAGTGTTTCACCGTGTCTCCATCTCCTGACCTCGTGATCCGCCCACCTCAGCCTCCCAAGTATATATACATGTGTGTATATACATGTAAATGTGTATACATATATGTATATATCACTTACACACATATACATGTATATATATTTATTTATTTATATTGGAAGAGTATGTGTACAATTAATATTAGTTCTTTCTTAAACATTTGCCAGTAAAGCCATTCAGTCCTGGAGATTTCTTTGTAAGAAGCTTTTAAAATGTGACTTCAAATTCTTATTAGACATGAGATTATTTAGGTTTTCTATCTCGTTGTGAGTGAGATTTGGTAGCTTGTATCTTTCAAGGAATTTGTCTCTTAAATCTGTTTTATCTTAAAGTTTTGCATACAATTATCTCATCGTCCTGGCCAGGCGTGGTGGCTCACGCCTGTAATCCCAGCACTTTGGGAAGGAGGCTGAGGCGGGAAGATCACGAGGTCAGGATATCGAGACCATCCTGGTTAACATGGTGAAACCCCATCTCTACCAAAAAAATACAAAAAATTAGCAGGGTGTGGTGGCGGGTGCCTTTAGTCCCAGGTACTGGGGAGGCTGAGGCAGGAGAATGGCATGAATCCGGGAGACAGAGCTTGCAGTGAGCCGAGATCCTGCCACTCCACTCCAGCCTGAGCAACAGAGTGAGACTCCATCTCAAAAAAAAAAAAAAAAATTATCTTATCATCCTTTAATATCCACAGGAACTATGGTTATGTTCATTCTTTCGTTCCTGACACTGGTAAATTGCATGTCCTCTTTTTGTTTGCTTCATCAGTAAACTAAAGGTTTAACAATTTTATGAATATTTTAAATGAGTAGTTTTTTTGTTTCCTTGATTTTTGTCTATTATTTTGCTGGTTTTAGTCTCATTGATTTCTGCTCTGACCTTTATAATATTTGTTTCCTTACTTGATTTGGGCTTAATTACTTTTTTTTTTTTTTCCAAAAATGTCTAATGTGGAAGATATGTAATTATTTAAGAATATACTATTTTTTCTGTTTCATGTGAACACTCAATACTATAAATTTTCCTCAAAGTGCTGAATTAGCTACATCCTAAGCATGTTGTTTCTATAAAATTATCAAAATTTGATAAAGTATAACATCCTGGAGATTATAAGATAACTTCATATTTATTTCAATTTGAGATATCAAAGTAACTATATACAGGTTCACATAATTTTTATGACAGATTGTATTCTCCAAAGATGGTTGCAACTACATTCTCCTTCTCCCATATTCTTCTACAAGGTGACTGACATTGACTTCATTCATTAATAGATGGAGTCAATTTACCCTCCTTATAAATGTAGATGAATTCGTAATTAGAGTATCATAGAAATGACTTTTTATGATGTCTCGGTTTGGTTTATAAAATGTGATGCAACTTCTCTCCTGTTCACTGAAACACCCATATTTGAATACCTGACTTACCATGTAAATAATTTAACTTCTATAAACTGGCTATGTTGTGAGAAAGCCAAGAATCATGGTGAAGCCACATGTATGTACTTAATCATATAGTATGTAGCCATTTTGGTTGGCTTTTTTCACTTAATACTATGCATTTAATTTTCCCCCATGTCTTCATAATTTGATAGTGCCTTTCTTTTTAGTGTTGAATAATATGCCATTGCCTGGTTGTATCACAATGATACACAATGGACATTTATTTGTCTGTTCACCTACCGAAGGACACTTTGGTGGTTTTCAAGTTTTAGCAATTATAAATAAAATTGCCATAAATATTATGTGCAATTTTTTTTGCGTGGACAAAATGGCTGAACTCATTCATCAATACCAAGGAGCATGATTGCTGGATTATATGGTAAGAGTATGGTTAGCTTGGTAAGAAACTGTCAAACCGTCTTTTGTATAATCGTGCCCTTTTGCATTCCTGGCAATGCTGAATGAGGTTCTTGTTTGTTTGCATTCTGAGTAGCATTTGATGTTGTTGGTGTTCTGGATTTCAGCCATTTTAACAGGTATGTCATGGTATCTCATTGTCATTTTAATTTGCATTTCGCTAATGACATATGATAGGAAACACCTTTTTTAATGCCTATTTGCCACCTGTGCATCTTCTTTGGAGAGGTGTTTGTTGGCTTGTCTATTTCTTCTCTTGACAGTGTCTTTCACTGAGCAGACATTTTAGATTTTTTGTTTGTTTTTTAACATGGAGTCTCACTCTGTCACCCAGGCTGGAGTGCAGTGGCTCACTGCAACCTCTGCCTCCTGGGTTCAAGTGATTCTCCTACCTCAACCTCCCGAGTAGCTGGGATTACTGGTGCGTGCCACCATGCCCTGCTAATTTTTATGTTTTTAGTGGAGGTGGGGTTTCACCGTGTTGGCCAGGCTGGTCTCGAATTCCTGACCTCAAGTGATCTGCCTGCCTCAGCCTCCCAAAGTGCTGGGATTACAGGAGTGAGACATTTTTAATTTTAATGAAGTTCAGCTTATCAGTTATTTATTTAATGGATAGTGCCTTTGGTGTTATATCTAAAAAGTTAACACTCAGCCCAAAGTCATCTAGATTTTATTTTCTGTTAATTTTTAGGACTTTTATAGTTTTGAGTTTTACATTCAGGTCTACAATCCATTATGAATAAATTTCTTGGTTGAAGTCAAATTGTGAAAATAATTTACCAATGCACAGGCAAACCAATATTTTCCTAATGGTCCCAAAGTAAACGTAATCTCTAAAGTAAATAAGAACTTCCAGTTAGTCACAGTGTAGTTACTAGTATTGATCCACATACTGGTTAGCCCTGAGTAACTCTGAACTTACAAATAAAAGTATTTTTATACAGCAAAGATTTTATGCAGCATTCATTTAAGAAATATTTACTAAGTTTGTTCCCTGTGCAAGAGCCCTGGAGTCTCATTTTCTAGGCCCTGGAGATATAGCAGCCCACTAAACAAACAAAAATTGCTATCCTCAGGGAGCCTATATTCTAATGGGATGGAACATACCATAGAAAAAATAAATAAAATGACTATAATAAATATTAGGCACTGGTAAATGCCACAGAGATACAAAATATAGGAAAGAAGAAGAGCTCATTTGGTTGTGAGTTTGCGATTTTTAATATGGTTAGATAAAAGTCATGGATAAGATGACATCTGAGAAAAGATCTAAGCAGATAAGGAAGAAAGTCATGTAGATATCTGGAAGAAGAGCATGGGAGAAGGTAGGCAAAAGCTAAATCAGAGACCCAATGGGGAGCAGAAATCATGCAGGACTTCGCAGACTTTTGCTCCGAGTGAGAGAAAGTCACAGAGAATAAAGGAGAAGTAAGTATGGAGGGTATAGAAATAAATGGAAGGGCTCTATAAAATGTTCTGTTTTCTTATAGTTTGAAAAGTACTCAAGAAAATCTTTAAGACTCCAAAAGCAAGAACTGTGTCTACTCTAAATACTTCTTGGCTAGAACATTAATGTTTGCAACATATTTATTTGTGAAGATAAACCTCAATGTTGAAAGGATAAGACAAAAAAATTAAATTTCTATATCATCTGAAGAAGTTGTAGTTATTATACATGGAGAATAATCTTTGGTTACAGAAAAGATATTCTCTTTCTTCCAGAAAAGAAGATGGGATTTGTTTAATTCCCTACAATTCCAATGACAATAGAGAATACCAAAAAATAATTAAAATAACATAATTATTTTCAGAGAAATGTTGAAGTTGGAGCTCTGACACTTAGGAACTGTTTGGCCTTGGGCAATTTATCTCACCTCTCAAGGCCTCTGTTTCCTCCTCTAAAGTGGAAATCCTAATAGTGCAAACTTCTTAGATATAGCAGGGTTAAATTAAGTTAGGTAATATATATAAACATTCAGAAAATCATCTCTTAAACATTAAGGGTTTGGCTATATTATTATTAATGTCAATGCTGTTATTATCATCTTAGGAAACAGAAACTGGGCTGATACATTCAGCTTTAAGGTTCAGGACATGGTCAACACAATGCCATTTGCTATGTACATTATCTAATCATTGTTGTTAGCTGTTATTTTTACCATAAAAACTCTGTATATACATTCTGCTAATATATCTATTTGTATTACATTGCATAAACATAATCTGAAAGTTTATTATTGCATAGTTAATACAGGCTCACCATCAAAGATAAGTAAAGTTATTTTAAAAGATAGAAATTAAACAATCTCTAGATCACTCACATGCGTAGTAAACTACGATTGTTTTCCAGTTTGACCAAACTTAGTTTCTGATGTATCAACTCATTTTATTTTTACACTTAGAAGTTCTTTGCAACTTCTCAAATATCTTCTTTATTTTACAGATAGTCTCGAGTGAACAAATACACTCCTAATTTTTTTCTAGGAAAAGTCTAAAAGAAAAGCTGTTTCAGACAATTAGTATAAAAAAATACACATCCTCCAGGTCTTCCCAAGTCATCTTTGCATAGAAACTTTAATCTTATGCTTAAAATGAATACTCTAGGAGTAATAGTCAAATTGGAAAATAAGCATATGAGATACATTCACAGTAAATATTGCTCTATTATTTTAGGCATAAATACAAAATTGAGTGACATGTTTTCAAACACATACCCAAAACTACATGTCTCTGTATGTATGTGTGTGTACACACACACAAACACCCACGAACACATATATATAAATACACTCACATGTATGAGGGGAGAGAGAGAGACTCCTTTTTGGTGTACTCACTCTCAGACTACTCAGCTCAGTGAATATTTATGGTGTGCATCCTCTGTACTTGTCAATCTGCTAGACATTGGGAATACATAGGAGTGAAAAAATGGTCCTTGTGAAATACAGTTAAATGACACATAAATAAATGAGTCTAACACGATGTGATCCTGTGTCAAATAATGACGGTATTCATAAAGACATGAGGAAAAAAATGAGTAAGCTATATAAGTTCCGATCCTAAGAAAAGGAAAATAAGAAATGCTGAGTAAATCACCGTAGATTTAAGTCCCACCTTAAATTATTCATTAAAATGTAATAGGAAAAAGAATGGGGTAAGGAATTCCAGAAAGAAGGAACAACATTAACGAAGACTAAACATATGAAATACATCAAGCATTGGGAGGTATTCTATTCTAATGATGCTGCCGCTGCTTTAAAAGAAATTAATCTTTGAGAATTGTCCATAGACAATGATGACAAAGTGTAAGAAATTATTGAGAGTAGATTTCGTTTGGGAAAAGTAAAACCATTCAAATGGATAAGTTCAACGTGAATAGAAATCTATAAAATACTAAATGGTTGGAGAATAAATATGGGCTATCTTCCCCATTTATTGATTCAACCAGGTTTGAGCAAAGCACTGGACGATGTCAGTGGAAAGAGGGCCCACCCACCCAAGGTGACAGAGCACTGTTCAGGGAGGAGGTGGCATTTGAGCTGCACATTGAAGGGTGAGTTCCGCAGACGGAGACGGGGTGTTGATGCACCTCAACATGAGTATTGCCGTTCAAAATTTTTGCTTGAAGAGCTCAGCATTTGTTCTTGTGGTGCTGCCATTATCCCCATATGAAATGATCTTCAAAGGTCAGATAAGCCACTCAGGATGATCCTTCTCATGTTTGTGGTCACTGTTTATGTAACTCTGCAGATTCCCATTCAAATGAGATCTCAGTGCAGGGCCCAATACAATTGAATAAATTTGTACTAAATATGGTAACAAATCAAACTAACTACAAACACACACACATTGAGAGAGAGAGAGATAAAGGGAGAGTGAGAAGGAAGTATTTCCCTGGGTTGTGATTTTGCAGCCACCAAAGGTCCATTCATTTGCTGTTAATATTCGCCTGGCACTTAATTTGGTTTGTCTAGATCCTCCTGATATGGGCTGTAACATGTCAGGGAATATTGGCCCAAATCTCACCCCATACTACCTTTGCCCAGATTAACAGGCTGACCTGGACTAAATTAAATTGCTGTGGCATACCCCACAGGAGGGCTGGCTATCAGGCAGACTGAGGTAAGTAACCATGTGGTGCCCAGTATATACTACTGTTACCAGGTCAGAGCACATGAAGGGTGGTCCCAGGCCAAGCAGCAGCTGAACAAAACATGACCTCCCTGGTTGGAAAGCACATTTACAAAGGTAAGTGTACATCAGACAGTAAATACATCAGTTATACCATAGACATTAGAGATTTAAAACAACACCAAGTCCCTGAGGCTTCATAGAGGAATGGTTCTTACATAGTCTAGCGGTCTGGCCAAGTTTTGGACCAAGGCAATTGTTTTTTTCTTTTCTTTTCTTTTCTTTTCTTCCTTCTTTTCTTTTCTTTTTCTCTTTTCTTTCCTTTCCTTTTCTTTCCTTCCTTCCTTCCTTCTTTTCTCTTTCCTTCCCTCCCATCCTCCCTCCCTTCCTTCCTTCCTTCCTTTCTCCTTCCTTCCCTCTCTCCTTCCTCCCTTCCTTTCTCTTTCCTTCCCTCCCTCCTTCCTCCCTTCCTTTCTCCTTCCTTCCTCCTTCCTTCCCTCCCTCCTTCCTCCCTTCCTTTCTCCTTCCTTCCCTCCCTCCTTCCTCCCTTCCTTTCTCTTTCCTTCCCTCCCTCCTTCCTCCCTTCCTTCCTTTCTCCTTCCTTCCTCCTTCCTTCCTCCCTTCCTTTCTCCTTCCTTCCCTCCCTCCTTCCTCCCTTCCTTTCTCTTTCCTTCCCTCCCTCCTTCCTCCCTTCCTTTCTCTTTCCTTCCCTCCCTCCTTCCTCCCTTCCTTTCTCTTTCCTTCCCTCCCTCCTTCCTCCCTTCCTTTCTCCTTCCTTCCCTCCCTCCTTCCTCCCTTCCTTTCTCTTTCCTTCCCTCCGTCCTTCCTCCCTTCCTTTCTCCTTCCTTCCTCCTTCCTTCCCTCCCTCCTTCCTCCCTTCCTTTCTCCTTCCTTCCCTCCCTCCTTCCTCCCTTCCTTTCTCTTTCCTTCCCTCCCTCCTTCCTCCCTTCCTTTCTCTTTCCTTCCCTCCCTCCTTCCTCCCTTCCTTTCTACTTCCTTCCTCCTTCCTTCCCTCCCTCCTTCCTCCCTTCCTTTCTCCTTCCTTCCCTCCCTCCTTCCTCCCTTCCTTTCTCTTTCCTTCCCTCCCTCCTTCCTCCCTTCCTATCTCCTTCCTTCCCTCCCTCCTTCCTCCCTTCCTTTCTCTTTCCTTCCCTCCCTCCTTCCTCCCTTCCTTTCTCTTTCCTTCCCTCCCTCCTTCCTTCCTTCCTTCCTTTTTTCTTCCTCCCTCCCTCCCTTCCTCCCTTTCTTTCTTTCTCTCCCTCTCTCTCTCTTTCTCATTTCTGTCAACTGATTTTAACTAGAAACATTTTTATTTTGGATTTTATCATTTTAGCTTATTCAATCACTCATGCTTCTTTTTTATTTTTGAAATTATGATATAATTTACATACAGTAAAATTCATCCTTTTACAGTTCTGTGAATTTTGACAAGCACATACAGTTTTATACAATCAAGATAAAAAATAACTTCATCACCCCCCAAAATTAACCCTGACTCCTTCTGTTATCAACTTGCCTCCATTCCCCTGACCATTGATGTGTCTTCTGTCTCTGTGGTTTTGCTTTTACGAGAATGTCCTATAAATGGAATGATACACAAGTAACCTTTCAGATCTGGCTTTTTACAATTAGCATAATGCGTTTGAGATTCACCCATGTTGTGTGTATTAATAGTTTGTTTCTTTTCATTATTGAACAGTATTTTGTATTAGTCTGTTCCCATGCTGCTAATAAAGACATACTTGAGACTGGGTAATTTACAAAGGAAAGAAATTTAATTGACTCACAGTTCCACATGGCTGAAGAGGCCTCACAATCATGGTGGAAGGCAAATGAGGAGCAAAGTCACGTCTTACATAGTGGCAGGTAAGAGAGCTTGTGCAGGCGAACTCCCATTTATAGAATCCTTAGGATCTCGTGAGACTTACTCACTACCAAGAGAACAGTCTGGGGAAAACCACCCCCATGATTCAATTATCTCCACCTGGTTCTGCCCTTGACACATGGGGATTATTACAATTCAAGGTGAGATTTGGCTGGGGACACAGCCAAACCATACATATTTCAAATGCGTAGGTGTATTGCACTTTGTTTATCCACTTCCTACTTGAGGGAATTTAGGTTGTTTCTAGTTTTTATGGATATGAATAAAGCCTATATAAACACTCTATACAGGTTTTTGTGTAAATGTACGTTTTCATCACTTGTGTAGCTATCGAAGAGTGAAATTGCTGGGTTGTATGGTAAGCGTCTATTCAACTTTAGAAGAAATTGTAAACTGTTTTCCAAAGTGGGTACACCATTTCGAATTCCCACCAACATTGTGTGACAGTTTCTGTTGGTCTTCATCCTTGCTAACTCCTTACTGTTAGGTTTTGTTTATTCATTTTTATGTAGTTGTACTTCTTATGTATTCTAATAGGTATATAGTATTCTATATAGGTATAGTATATAGTATTCTAATAGGTATATAGTGCTGTGTCATTGTGGTTTAATTTGCAGTTCCTTAATAACTAAATATATTGAGCATATTTTTATTTGCTAATTTCCATCTATCTATCTTTGTTGGTGAAATGTCTGTTCAAAGCTTTTGTCTGTTTATAAACTGGGTTATGTTACTATTTTTGAGACTTGATACATATATATATATATATATATCAGTGCTTCATCAGTTATGATATTTGTGAATATTTTCTTACAGTGAGGGGCTTGCCATTTCATTCTCTTTACAGTGTCCTGTGAAGAGCAGATATTCTTAATTTTGGTCACATTGAAATAATCAGTCTTTCTTTTTATAGATCTTGATTTTCATGTTGTATCTAAAATATTCATACCTTACTCAAAGTCACAAATATTTTTCTCCTGTTATTTCTTTCAGAGTTCTCTATAATTTACATGTAGGCCTATTACCCATTTAATTAATTTTTATAGGTTGCGAGGTGTATATTGAGATTCATTCAATTTCACATGGATATGAAATTATTCTGGCAACATTTGTTGAAAAGACTGTTTTTATTCCATTGAATTACCTTTGCATATTTCTCAAAACCCAATTAACTATGTGGCTACATTCTGTCCCATTTATCTACATGTCTATCCTTTCTCCATTGCCATACGGTCTTCACTACTGTATTGTAGTTAAAGTTTAGTAGGATTCAATATTTAGAAATACAAATGCCTTTTGTATATTACCCTTGTATCATTTGACATTGCCAAAGTTACTAATTAGTACCAGGAACTATTTTGCACATTTTTGACATTTGCTACATAGACAATCATGTAATATACAAATAGAGGTTATTTTATGATTTTATCTCTAAGACATATGCTTATTTTCCTTTACTTTTTGCCCTGTGTAAGACCTCTGCTGTGATATTAAATGAAAGAGTTAAGAACAGAAAGAAAAATCATTCAATACATCACCACTAATTGTAATATTAGCTGTAGCTTCTTAAAGATGCCATTTATCAGGTTAAGGATGTGTCCTTTTATACCTAGTGTGTTGAGGCTTTTACCATGAATTGATATTGAGTTTTGCCAACATGTTTTTCTACATCTATTGAGATGAATCTGTATTTTGCCTTATTTAGTCTCTCATATGATCAATTATACTGATTGGTTTTTCTGCTGTTGTCCCAGCCTTGCATTCCTAAAGTGAGCCTGCCCAATATTCTCTCTATAAGGTTGGATTTGAATTGCTAATGTTTTGTTGAAATATTTTTGTGCCTGTGGGCTTGAGTACTATTGATCTTTAGTTATTTTTTTCTTAATGTCTTTTCTTACTTGGATATGAAGGTTATGTTGTATAATAAGTTGTGTTGAGAAGTGTTCCTCTTCTACTTTTATATACACATTTGTGTATAATTTATATTTCTTCTTTAAGTCTTTGGTAGAAATTGCTAGGGGAGGTATCTCCACTTGGATTTTTCTGTGTTGGAGAATTTTTTATTTTTGGGTTTCAAGGGGAGGTTTTAAGTAATATGCAATTCCTTTGATAGATATTAGACTATTCAATTTTCTATTTTTTCTTGAGTGAGGTTTGGTAGCTTTTATTTTTCAAGGAATTTTTCCATTTTATTTAAATTGAAATAATAAGCAATTATATCTGATTATTTTAATATTTATTAGGATCTGCAGGTCATGTCCCCTCTTTAAATTCCAAATAGTTGTAAGTTGCATCTTTTTTTTTCTCTTAGAAGTTTGGTTAGAAACTTACCAATTTTATTTATAATTTTGAAACACCTGAACATTTTGGTTCATTGATTTTCTTTATGTAAAATTTCATTAATGGCTGCTCTTATTATGCTGTTCCTCTTACTGCTTTAGTGTTTAATTTGCTCTAACATTTTTAGTTTCTTAAGGTACAAGTTTAGATTATTAATACAAAGTCATGCTTTTCCATTGTAAGTATATGATGCTATAAATTTCCCTTTAAACAGTGCTTTTGTTTCAGCATTGACATTCTAATTTCAATATATTGCATTTTTATTTTCATTAAAATCAAATTTTTAAAATTTCTTACGTGATTTTTTTTGACCCGTGGATGATTTAGAATTTTATTATTTAATTTCATTTTGTGGATTCTGTATTTTTCTGTTATTGATTTGTAGCTCAACTTTGTTGTGTTGTAAAAGTATATTTTGTAAAATTTTAATTTTTAAAATGCTTTTAGGTTTACTTTACGGCCTAGAATATCTTCTATCTTGTTGAGTGCCCATGTGTATTTCAAAAGAATGTATATAGGGGTATTTTGCATAGAGTATTTTATAAATGTCAATTAAGTTGGATTGTTCAAAAGTGTTTTACAGGTCTGTTATAAACCTAGTATTCATATATACATATTTTCTCCATAACTTTGCTTAATGAATTTTGAAGCTCTCTTGTTACAGATACATTTAGTGTTATTATGGTCTCTTGGAGAATTGACTAATTTATTGCTATGCAACATCTTTCCTTTTCTTTGAAATGCCTTCCTCTGAATTCTATACTTCTCTAGCATTAATATAGCTATGCAAGCTTTCTTTTGATCCATGTTTGGATGAAATATCACTGGTTTTTTCCTATTTAAATGATTAATGTTATCTAATATAATTTTTGATTAAACATTTATTTTGAGATAATTGTGGGTTTTCAAGCAGTTGTGAGAAGTAATACGAGGAGATCTATGCACCCTTTACCAAGTTTCCCTAAATGATAACATCCTGCACATATAGTACACTATCAAAACCAGGAAGTTACATTGATGTAATTCAGTAATCTTATTCAGATTTTCTGTTTTGCTTGTATTCATTACTGTGTGTTTATTTAGCTCTATAAATTAATTTCATTACATTTGTAGTACATGAATTTATCACTAAAGTCGAGGTACAGAACTACTCCCTCCTCCCCAAATTCCACATGTTGCCCTTTTATAAACATATTCATATACCCCCATTCCTAACCCTTGGCATATACTAATCTGTTTCTTATTTCCATAATTATTTTATTTTGAGAATATTATCTAAATTGAATCATAATTCAATCTTTGAGAGCTTTTTTCACCCAGGAAAATTTTGTAGAGATTGAGTCTGGTTGTTGCATGTACCAATGGTTCATTCTTTATTGCTGAGTAGTATTCTATGACATAAATATACCACAGTTTGCTTAACCCTTCATTCATTGAAGGACATTTTGGCTGTTTCCAGTTGTGGTTATGAATAAAGCTGTCATGGAAATTCATGTACAAGATTTCATTAAATATACATTTTCATTTCTCTAGGATAAGTGTTCAAAAGTACAACTGCCAGTCACATGGTGTTTCCAAGTTTAGATTCTTCAAGAAAATGCCAAAGTGATGCTGAGAGCAGTGGCTCACACCTGTATTCCCAGTGCTTTATTTCTGGGTTCTCTATTCTTGGTTTCCTAATATTTTGTTGATGATTTTTGCATCTGTGTTCATCAGGGATATTGTTCTGTACCTTTCTTTTTCTGTTATGACCTTGTCTGATTTTGGTATCAGGGTGATGCTGGCCTTGTAGAATGAGTTAGGGTGTCCCATTGAACTATGTGTCTATTTTTATACCAGTACCATGCTGTTTCAGTTACAATAGCTTTGTAGTATAATTTGAAGTCAAGTAATCTGATGCCTCCAGCTTTGTTCTTTTGTTTAGAATTGCTTTGTCTATTCAGGCTTTTTTTGGTTCCATATGACTTTTTCAATTTATTTTTTAATTCTGTGGAAAGTGACATTGGTAGTTTGATAGGGATTTCATTCAATCTGTAGACTGCTTTGGGCAGTATGGCCATTTTAACAATATTATTCTTCTAATCCATGAGCATGGGATGTTTTCCCATTTGTTTGTGTCATCTATGATTACTTTCATTACAATTTTATAGTTCTCCTTATAAAGATATTTGGCATCCTTGGTTAAATATATTCCTAAATATTTTATTTTTGTAGTTATTATAAATAGGATTGCCTTTTTTGATTTGGTCCTCTGCTAGACCATTATTGGTGTATAGAAATGCTACCAATTTCTGTACATTGATTTTGTATCTGAAACTTTACTGAATTCATTTTTTTCAAAACTAAGATTGTTTTTGGTGAAGTCTTTAAGATTATCATAAGTGAACAGGGATAATTTCATTTCCTCTTTTCCAATTTTGTTGTCTCTTATTTTATTCTCTTGCCTGAGTGTTCTGGCAGGGACTTCCAGGACTCTTTTGAATAAGAGTAGTGAAAGTGGGCATTCTTGCTTTGTTCCAGTTCTTTGAGGGAATGCTTCATGCCAGTTTGTTGATAATTTTTATCATGAATTTGATCAAAAGCTTTTTCTGTGTCTATTGAGACAATCATATAGTTTTTATCCTTAATTCTGTTTATGTGATATATCACTTTATTGATTTGCATATGTTGAAACATTCTTGCATCTATGGGATGAATCCCATCTGATCATGGTGAATTCTCATCTTTTTGGTGTGATGTTGGATTTGATTTGCTAGCATTTTATTGAGGATTTTCTGTGTCTATGTTCATCAGAGATATTGTTCTATAGTTTTCTTTGTCGTGTTGTGTCCTTGTCTGGTTTTAGTGTCAGGGTGATTCTGACCTCATGGAATGAGTTGGAGTGAATTCCCTCCTCTTCAATTTTTAAAAATAGTTTTAGGAGGATTGGTATTCGTTCTTCATTGTGTGTTTGGTAGAACTTGACTGTGAATCCACCTGGACCTGGGCTTTTATTTTGGGGAGAAGGGAGGAAATTTTCTATTATTGATTCAATCTCATCACTCATTATTGGTCTTCTCAAGAGTTATATTTCTTCCTGGTTCAATATCAAGAAATGTTTACAGGAATTTATCCATTTCCTCTAAATTTTCTAGTTTTTTTACTGTATAGTTATTTAGAATAATCTCTGAATTTTTTTTTTTTTTTTTTTTTTTTTTTGAGACAAGGTCTCACTTTGTCACCCAGGCCGGAGTGCAGTGGCATGATCTTGGCTCACTGTAACCTCCACCTCCCTCACTCACTCAAGCAGTCCTCTCACCTCATTCTCCCAAGTAGTTGGGGCTACACATATCACCACACAGCTAATTTTGGGGTTTTTTTTGTATTTTTCTTAGAGATGGGGTTTAGCCATGTTGCGCAGGCTGGTCTTGAACTCCTGAGCTTGAGCTATTTGCCCGCCTTGGCCTCCCAAAGTGCTGGGATTACAGGCATGAGCTACTGTACGGGGCTTCTGATAATTTTTTCTATTTCTGTGTTATCATTTGCAATATCTCCTTTTTTATTTCTGATTCTGTTTATTTGCATTTTTCTCTTCTTTTTTCAATTAATATAGCTAGTGGTTTATCAGTTTTGTTCATCTTTTGGAATAATTGATTTTTTGTTTTGGTCATTCCTTGGGTTTTTTTTTTTTTGTCTTTATTTCATTTAGTTCTGCTCTGATCTTTGTTATTTCTTTTCTTCTGCTAACTTTGGTTTTGGTTTGTTCTTGTTTTTCTAATTCCTTGAGGTATGATGTTAGGTTGCTAATTTGTGATCCTTCTACCTTTTTTTGATGTAGGTACTTAATGCTGTAAACTTCCCTCTTAGTGCTACTTTTAATTTATCCCACAGGTTTTGGTACGTTGTGCTTTCATTTGCAGTCACTTCAAATTTTTTGTAATTTCTGTTTTAATTTCTTCATTTACCTACTGATCATTCAGGACCATGATGTTGAATTTCCATATATTTGTAGAGTTTCCAAAGTTACTCTTAGTATTGATTTCTAGCATTGCTCCACTGAGTTCTGAGAAGATATGTGATATGATTTTGATTTTTTTGAATCTGTTAAGAATTGCTTTGTGCTGTAACATGTGGTCTGTCTTTGAGAATGTTCCATGTGCTGATGCAAAGCATGAATATTCTGTAATTATTGTGTAGAATGTTCTGTAAATGTTCATTAAGCCCATTTGTTCTAAAGTCCAATGTAAATCCAATATTTCTTTGTTAATTCTCTGTTTTGCTGATATGTCTAGTGCTGTGAGTGGGATGTTGAAATATCCCATTATTATTGTATTGCTGTCTATCTCTTTATTTAGGCATACTAACCTTTGTTTGGTGAATCAGGGTGCTCTCATTTGGGTGCATATATATTTAGGTTTGTTATATCCTCTTGCTAAATAATCCCTTTATCATTACATAATAACCTTCTTTATTTTCTTTTTTTCACTGTTTATGATATAAAGTCTGTTTTATCTGATATATAAACAGCTACTCCTGCTCAATTTTGGTTTCTGTATACATGGAATATCTTCTGCCATCCCTCGACTTTCAGTCTATATGTGTCTTTATGGGTAAGGTGATTTTTCTTGTAGGCAACATATTTATATGTAGTTGGATCATGTTAATTTCACAGGTTAAAGGAAAGTCTTAGAAGGGTGCTGAAGTCAGTGTGTCAGAATAATAGGATGGCAGAGAAGAGAGAACAAGAACTGAATTCATCAAATTGTCTGCCTGTGGTTGCATGTGTGCATGAGTGTACATGTGCATGAGTGTGTCTGTGTGGGTGCATGTGTGTGTCATCAGTAAAATCCAGCTGCTCAGGGGCAGCCATAGAGAAGGCAGAGATTTGAATTTCACAGGGGTTTGGATTAGGCCTTTTGCAGGTGCATTATAATGAAATCTTAGGGCATCTGAAGCTGTATCAATCTAAGCTGGAGAAAGAGAGAAGTGAGAATATGAGGATATTTACACTCCTATCTACAATGTATGTGAATTTCTTATGCTCCCATTAGATGCTGTCAATCATTTTTTCCATTTATCAATTTATGGGCAAATAATGGCCTTGAATCTATTGTATAACTTGCTTTTCCCACTTATTGACTTTTGACTTCTTTTTTTCATCAATCAACTTTTCATATCTTCTCAATATTTTTCTAATTATGTTTGTGTCTTTAAAACAAATTTTAAGAACTTACATATTTTAGTGATACTAAAACTTCGTCACATATGTTACACATACTTTCTCTGTAGATTATTCTTTGACTAAGTTTCTGTGATGTTTGATTTATAGAAGTTTGAATGTTTAAATATTAAATTGGTCATTATTTGTTCAGTAGCTTTAAGCTTTCTTATTATACTTAGGAAGACTTCCTCCACAAATGCTTCAAAATAATCTCATATTACTTTGAATAAGCTTGCAGTTTTTGAACATTTTACTTTTTGTAATTTATGTATGCTGTAAAGTAGTGATCAAACTTATTTTTTCTCCAAATGTTTGCTCCATTTTCTCAACATAATTTGGGAGAAACCCAGTTTTTTTCTTACATATTTGCAATACCAAATGCACTATGGATTAAATTTCATGCATTCTTGGATATATTTATCATTCTTATGTTTTGTTCTTCTGGGATAGCCATATTTTGTTATAATGGTAACTTCTTAGAATGTTTTAATATCTGATAAGACAAAACCACCTCAATTATGCAAAGATTTCACATTGTTCTTGGCAATCCTCACACATTTATTCTTTTATATAAACTTTATATTCAATTTGTCCAACTCCCAAATATGCCCCTGTTAAGTGTAAGAAAGAAATATTACTGGGTTTAATTATTTATTTTGGAGAATTGACATTTTAACTTGGAACAGGGCTTGTGATTCTTAATTGGATTCTTAATATTTTTCCATAAAATATAGTTTATTGCACATGGGATTTACATATTTATTTTTGCATTTAATATTATGGACTTTGTATTTATGTCACTATATGGATGAATTCCATTAGTTATTGTTTCATTTCATTCTCTGACAATTGATAGATGTTACTACAAATCTCCTATATCCTGCTGCATATGAAAATTATCTATCAGTTCTAACTATTTTAATTGAAGTTCTTTTATTTTCTAAATATATAGCAATATCTGCAATTAAGGATAATATCTTTATTTTAGATATACCATTAATTTTATTTTTTTAATTATATCACATATCCCCTATCAAAACATTTTAAATAATTGATATCCTTATATTTTTTCTTGATTTTAGTAAAACTTTTTTAAGCAATTATTCTTTTAATATAATATTTGCTCCTGGTTTTTGATAAATGATTTTACCCAGTGCTTACATTTTCCTTGTTTTTATTAGACTTTTCATTAAAAAATAATGTCTACTTTTACTCGTTGTTGCATTGGCTTTTTGTTTGCTATGTTTTCTAGTGGAATAATCTCAGTTTCAGTCTTTATTAATTCTTACGTACTTTCTTTTGGTGTATTTTTCTCTACTTCTTTTACTTCTGGGGTTGGCATGTGCTCATTTTCACACTCTCCTTTAATTCAGATGCTCTAATGTGGGGCGGGAGATGCCAGCCCGGTCTGTAGACACCCCCGCTCCTTCTCACCACAAATCTGAGGAAATCTTTCATCAAGGAAGATTTTCTGTCACAATCTTTCATTTTTCACAAAAAGAAGGAATGCTTTTCTCTGACCTTGGTAGAGCATATTGATCTTTCTTCAGTCAGTAACACAAAATGTCTGCCCTTCTGGTCCTCACAGATGACAGTCATTTGAGTGGCCTGCTGGGAGGTCTTACCACAAAGCCATCTGAGACAATTGGGATCTGAAAGAAATGAGCTAATAATTCTGTTAACTATTCACTGTATTTTCTATGTTTTTTATTATTATTATTATTTTTTTTTTTTTTTTATTTTTTGAGATTGAGTCTAGCTCTGTCACCCAGGCTGGAGTGCAGTTGCACAATCTCAGCTCACTGCAACCTCTGCCTCCTGGGTTCAAGTGACTCTCCTGCCTCAGCCTCCTGAGTAGTTGGGATTACAGGTGCACGCCACTTGCATGCCACTACACCTGGCTAATTTTTGTACTTTTAGTGGAGACAGGGTTTCACCATGTTGGCCAGGCTGGTCTTGAACTCCTGACCTCAAGAGATTGCCCCCCTCAGCCTCCCAAAATGTTGGGATTACAGGCGTGAGCCACTGCACCCGGCCTTAGAGGTTTTTGTTGTTGTTACTTTGTTTTGTTTTTCCCATAAATTTAGTCGAATTTTTAAAAAGCTACATACCTGGGACCAATATCTTTCGCTGTCTCTGCAGCCATCAGCCCCAGCACCAGGATTTTCTTAAAGAATTACTATGAACTGAAACTGTCTACTGGCTTACCCCGGAAGCCAGTGAAATAAAAAACAAGTCCATAAAATTTCTCTGCATTTGTAAAGAATGATTAGTGAAGACTTGTTCTATCATATTCCAAATGTCACATACATAAAGGTTTTATATGATGTATTTTTCTCAGAAGTTTGAGGCTGGAAATGATTTTGCTCTCCTATGAAATGGAATGAATTCTATTATTAAATAGTGAATGCTGTGTCATTTATGCTATGTCATTAACAGCATTCATAGAATGACATAGCATGTGTCATGGTTGGTAGGAAGCTCAATACTCTATTTCTGTATCATCTTTTTCTCTCCTTGCTCTTTTCTTCTTTTTCTTTCTCTTTCTCTTTCTCAGCCTCTATGGATTTTAATCCTACTTGTTCTTTAATTGTAAGCTGCTTTTGTGAAAATAAGGCAGATATAATCAAGTCAGAACATGTATAAATACGGAATAAAAATAAAGAAAAACAACTTCAATATTTATAAGCCAAATGAAAAAGAACGGGTGTGTTTTCTTTTTCTTACTTACCTATAGTAATTTTTTGGGCTTTCAACACTTGGAATCAATCTGAAAAATAAAGCAAAACAAAACAACTACAACAACAACAACAAACCAAGGCCATTCTATAGAAGAATCATTTCCTGGAACTGCACTCAATCTCTCTGTTTATTTGTGAGAGAGTAACAAGTTGATATTAACTCTTTAATGCTGGAATTATATGCCAGAAATAATAGAAGAAGGGCTTTCTATATGTCTATTTCCATACTTGATGTGGACAGTTCAAGACCCAGAAACAAGTAGAATTGTATTTTATTGTAACCTATTTTTAATGATATTCCAGGCTTCTACACATGGCTTTCAAAGTTTGCTGTAACAAAAACTAAGCAGTAACCAGTGGCCTTTAAACATTTCTTTCAAATACTCCTAGACACAGGTGCCAAGCACGGAGAACCTATATGATCACCTCTTACACTTTCTCGAAACCCATGAGTCCTTTTGCCCAGAGGTCGAGTCTAAAATGCAAATTCAGTCCTGAGAGTTTCCTCATCTGGGCTTTCTTCTATCATGGCTCCCTCAGGAAGGGGGGATGAGGGAAGTAGGCCTGCATGACTCCAGAGGCAGGGCACAGTGTCTGTTTCAATGCTGGCTAGCTTTTGGCTCCTTCATTCTGGGCTCTGAGGTAGGTCACAGGTCAGCCTGCCATACCTGGGCTCAGGTGGAGCTCCCGATTGCTTTAAGGGTCCCTTCGTGGGTTGTGCAACTCTGTGCCTTCCTCCAGGGAGACCCAGGCTCTGTGGGGAGATTACACACACATTAGGCTCATCAGTTTGATAAGGGAATACCTAATTCAAACAAATAACCCCCAAGAATGATCACACATGTTTATAATTGTCCTGAGCTTTGCAGGGTTCCCAGGGCAATACTGTATCCACTCCTTTCACTTTCCTCTGCAAAAGAAAACATGATGTAAGGGGATAATGTTGTTTAACTCTCTTCTGGTGCATTTTTTTAATTCTTATAGATATTTCTAGCCCTGAGTTTCACCACTCATGGAATAAATGGCATTCACTAATTTAGGAGAGGAGCAGAGATAACCTAATACAAAAGATTCATTGAAAGGTAGGCTTTGTTCCAAAAAATGGGGTAAAAGAGTGTTTCTAAACTCCAAAAATTTTTCTTCACATGTCAAGGACAGTGCTATGAAATGCAAGTTAAGAAAAGCTTTCCCATAAAAAGAGAAAGAAAAGTGTGTGCAATAGGTGAGAATTCTTAGATGTAGAATAGGCAGGACTCCATAAGAATGGAGAAGATTCCCCAACTGAAGCAAGAAGGGTTGTGATTCAACATTATGTTTGCTGTGCAGATGAAACACATAGAACACTAGAAGCAACCTCACCTGCTGGGTGAAGGAGGCCTGCATCCTCCAGGCACAAATGGAAGAAGTAAAAGTAGAAACACTATAAAGAAACTATAGCCTACTTTAATCCATACGTCTCTTTCTGTGGTTTGGAGCCATTTTGCTTCCCGTTCATCTGTCTTGCCCCAAAGCTGGAGAAAGGGAGCCCTATTGAAGCTGTGTAGTAGTTATCATTTGTGCAATGCTCTGAAATGCTGAAACGCCCTACACACCATCCAGCCTCTGTTATTCTGTTTTCCCTTGCCCTGTGAGATGCAGCTAAGCAGGATACCTCAACCTTCCCATGACTTCTTCCAGACCTGTTTTTGTTAGTTTTTTAAAAAAATTATGCCATAGAGTAAAAATTCAAAATGATGAAAATTCTTAGGAGTAATATTAGTTTTCAAGGCTGCTGTAAAAAAGTACCTCCAACAGCTGGCTTAAAAACAACACATATTTATTGCCTCACAGTTCTGCAGACCGGAAGTCTGAAATCAAGGTGTTGGCAGGGTTGGTTCCCTCTGAAGGCAGTGAGGAAGAATCTGTCCCAAGCCTCTTCCGAGCTCCTGGTGGTTTCCTGGCAATCCTTAGTGTTCCTTGGCTTGTAGAAGCCTCAACCTGATCTCAGCCTTCGTTTTCACATGCCATCCTCCCTCTGTGTGTGTGTGCGTGCGTGCGTGCACGTGTGCGTGTCTTGTGCAGAGTTTTTCTTTTCTTTTTTCCTAAGGACACCGATTATATTGGACTAGGGGCCCACCCTACTCCAGTATGACCTCATCTTAACTAATTACATCTGCAATGATCCTGTTCTGGTCGCAATCAGAGGCTATGAGGCTTAGGACTTCAGCTTATGCATTTGGAGGGGATGCAATTCAACCCATAACAGTTGTTTCATCTATTTTCAACTTTAATGTAGAAGAGTAAAAGAAAATAGAAGTAAAAGAAATTTTGCGGGTCCTGATTTTACAGAAACATTGGAAAGTCTCCACAACTTACAAATTTTTTTTTTGGCTTCTAGCCTATCTGTAAGAATGAATTCACCCTTCTCCTCTTCTTCTGACATCCTGTGGCTCATTAATGTCAGGCTTGCTTAGGGCTTCTACAAGCAGACCCCTGCTCCGTCCTGTGCATAACGCTACCCCAAACGTGTTCCACCGAAAGGTCTCTGTTTTTCACATTTTATATACTTGTTTCTCTTGCATTAATTCTTGAAGTTTCGTTTTTCCCATGCAAATATGAAAACACATTTTAAAAAAAGAGGTATTCTCTCCCTCTCAGCAGCAGAAGTTTGAAAACGAAGATTTATTTTGCATCTTTGACAGACGGATCTATTGAAATTTATCATTTTTAAAAAGACATATACCCTCTTTTTTGCAGTAGGAGCCAATAAACAAAGTAGTGGGCCCCTAATTTACATAAAAATTAATAAGAAACTTTATCTGAAACACAGATTGCTTTATTGCCTGACTTAACATGTCACAAAAGTCGGAGTAGAAGCATTGAGCACTGAAAATTCAAGAACCTTATGAAAAGTTGTGGTCTCCAAATTAAGGCTTCCAGAAGAAATATTAAAAGTCTGCTCACTTCCGTAGTAGTTTTATTCTCAGATATATATTTTTAAATAAATCTCAGAAGGCAAGTCCAATTTATCTTCAAAGCATTTCTTGTGTGCCCATTTGAGGAACATCAAATATTTATTACATGCTCCCCTGCAGATGGCAAAATCTATACAAAATAAATAAATATTTTCTGCTTTACGAAGTGTAAATTTTATGTGTGTTAAAACTTGTATAGATAACCTCCAAATCAAGGATGTGAGATCCAAATGTGCTCAAAAGGAGCAAACAACCACTCTTATTGTGACCCAAGTAAACTTCAAGGAATACCTGGATGGTGTTAAAAACAAAAACAAAACTCAAGCAATAATGAAGTCTGAACACAGTGGAGGGAAGGAATTGGGAGACCAGGAGATACGATGTATGATTCTACTTTCGTGGCTTCCAGTGGTCCTAGCACTTTTCTTTTCTGAGCCTCTTCAAAATGAAAACAATAGAGAGCTGACCATATTTCAGGTCATCCTAAGTTTACAGCTAGTTGTATGGTGAGGCTGGCTCTAGTTTTTAACTTATTTGTATCTTTTAAATTAAATAACACACCATTTAAAAAATACTTTTTCTACATAGAACCAAAATTTTGCTAAGAATTAGATTCAGTGGTTTTCTTGAAGCTTTGCTGATTCACTTTTAAGGATATTTCTTATACGTAAGACACTAGAGCTTAAGAGGAAATACATTTACAAAATGAATTTTTAGCTTTATCTGGCTCCTAAATATGTGAATAGCAGTTTTAGATTTCTAATGAATGCCATGCCCAGTCGGATTTGTCTAGGGGCAAAATCCCTTAAGATGCCCCTTGCTGTAAACCTCTCAAAAAGAAAATCTCATCACCAGTCAAAAGTAATGGGTCCAAGGGGTGTTGTGATTCCCCTAAATTCTCAGGTCAGCAGCATTCTCATTTCTGACTTTTTCACTTCGGTCAGCTGGAATCACACTCTACGGTAAAGAGGCTGGCATTTCTTTTATCTCAGTCTTACAAAATAGGTAGCTTTGGAAACTACTTCTCCACTTGAGTATCGCAAAAGCCTCCCTAATTGATAAATCTTCCAAGTTCATCTCCAAACAGATAGCACATTGCTTGCATCAGCAGTTTGCTTGGCATTTGAACTCCTCATTACTGACTCAAAAAAATAGGAGGATCAGGAAAAGGGAAAACAGATTCCAAAATGCAGAACCTGATAAAACACCACTGGGGGAAATTAAAGTAGAAGTGAGAGAACAATAGCTCTTTTGTCCTTCATCACCTCCTCATAACGTGAAAAGGAAAATGCAAGTGTTTATATGAGAAATGATCCCCCGGGGTAACCCCCTTGACGAAGCCTGTGATATTGAAAAAGGAAAGTCAGTTCCAATCAGCCTCCCTGAGATATTTCCATTTTTCCCCACTGAAGGTAACAGTCTTCATTTTTCAGTCTGCAAATAGTAAGTTCTAAATACATGCTGGATGAAAGGAAGTGCAAATGAAAAATGTATACAGAAATTAATAGTTTGAAATGATCTCAGGTAGATTTTGAGTAATTTTGCAAAAGCATATGAAAAAATAGGTGTAAAAATTCTCTTTAAATAAAATACATGTAAAAGAAATTAAAACACTAGGGACTATAAGGGAAGCTGAACCATTCTGCGGATTACATTTGTCTTTTAATCCACTTTGTCCTCTACATGAAATGTGGCATAAAGACATCTGCCGATATTTTAAAGGCTTCTGCTGGTGCCTGAATTATATTTTTAAATGAGACCCTAAAGCTGCATTCTAATGCATTACTTTCATTTAGTAAAGTGTGCATCCAGCCTCATTCTACTCCCTCGGCATCCTTTATTTAATCAGTCTGAGAGCAGCATAGAACATCTCCATCTCCACATGTGTCTCTGCCAGATACTGCTGACTTTTACATTTAACCTTTCTGGCAATACATGACCTACTTGAAGGAAAGGAAATAGATACACAACTGAGCAGGAGATGGAGGAGGGGGAGAAAAATTCCTTTAGATAATCAGTGAGACATATGCAAATCTGACTCTTTGCACCTGATGTGATGGATGTCATTGGAGATGCCATAATAAACAACTTTAGAATTCCTTTGTAAGAGTTAGCACTGTGATTTCTATATTTGATACACAATTTAGGTTGGCTAAGAAAGTCGATCTGCTATTTGCTTTTTGTTTGTTTGTTTTTGGTTGTTTGTTTGTTTCTTTTGAGACAGAGTCTCGCTCTGTCACCCAGACTGGAGTGCAGTGGCGCGATCTCGGCTCACTGCAAGCTCCACCTCCCGGGTTCATGCCATTCTCCTGCCTCAGCCTCCTGAGTGGCTGGGACTACAGGCGCCCGCCACCATGCCCGGCTAATTTTTTGTATTTTTAGTAGAGATGGGGTTTCACTGTGTTAGCCAGGATGGTCTCGATCTCCTGACCTTGTGATCTGCCCGCCTCAGCCTCCCAAAGTGCTGGGATTACAGGAGTGAGCCACTGCACCGGGCCATTTGTTATTTTTAGGAAATAAAAATAATATTGCATGTACTGTGATGGCAGTGGTTGTGATGACCATAGTGGATTCCTTTGGAACCTGCATTAACCAAAAGATATAGTTGGTTCAGAGTGCGAAAAATCATGGAGCAGGTGGATTTGAACTCAGGAGGACTCTGCTACTATCACAAGATTTTAACTGCTCATCTGGTGACATGGTACAGTGGGGAGTGCATAGGCAGTGGGACCAGGAAGGATTGGATTCCAGTCCAATTGTGCAGCTAGTTATTAAATGTGGGGCCTTAGAAATGGATGGAGGCTTACTGAGTCTCAGCTCTTCCCCCAACTGTACCATCTATATAGTAGAGATCTCAGCTCCATCATAGACTTTTGTAAGAATTAAGCGAAACTGTGATTCAAAAGCACCTGACAGGGTAAGTAGGTATCAGAGAAATGTTAGATCTTGACCTAGTCAGGCTAATTTAGTGTATGCAAAAGTAACAAATGACCTCATTTTTCTGTAATAAGCAGCAGATGAGTTTATTTCTTCCTCATGCTCTTTGTGCTAAAAGGGTTGGCAGGGGGTGCTGAGGGAGATGAAGACAAGCCTCCTCTGTCTGGTAAATGCATTTGTCCTTGTAGCAGAGAAAAGTGAGCAAATTGCGTAAGAGTTTTCTACCACCTCAGACCAGAAATGATGCACATTAGTTTTGCTCACATTTTATAGGAAAGCTGTAGTGACTTGGCCCTGCCTAACATTCAGGAGCTCAGGATGTGTCGGGGAAGAAGATGGAATATTTGGTGAGCATCCTCTCTCAGATACAGTTCTCTGTCTCCCCCCCCACTAAACACACTTTTTCAGGCACTTCAACAATATTTTAAAGATCACCTAAAAACCAAAACAAAGTATGGTTACTAAACAATGCACAGCATTTGTCATAGTTTGGGTGTTATTGGCACATGTCTTCCTAGCAATCTATCAACAAATAACAAATTTGACTAAACTGTCACCATCATTTCAGCCAAAAATAAAGAAATATTATCTCCTCCTCACCTATAAAACAACTTAATTTTTACGATTTTGGCAATTCAATGGATAACAAAAATCTAATTTTCATTAGTTTTTATTTTATTTTATTTATTTATTTTTAAGATGGAGTCTCACTCTATGGCCCAGGCTGGAGTGCAGTGGTGCGATCTTGGCTCACTGCAACCTCCGCCTCCTGGGTTCAAGCGATTCTTCTGCCTCAGCCTCCCAAGTAGCTGAGACTACAGGTGCACGCCACCACACCCAGCTAATTTTTTTTTGTATTTGTAGTAGAGACGGGGTTTCACCATGTTGGCCAGGCTGGTCTCCAACTATTGACCTCATGATCCACCCGCCTTAGCCTCCCAAAGTGCTGGGATTACAGGTGTGAGCCACTACGCCTGGCCAGATGTTTTTAAAAATAAGAAAAATGTCCTCATAAGGCATTCATCAATTTTTGGTATTCCAGGGGGAACAGGGACCCTATGTTGCACAGCATAAAAGTAATCATGTGGTGACCCAGCCACCTCCTGCAGGTGACTTCCTTCTCTCAGATGGACTTCACCTCCATAACTGTAAAATAAGTTGCACTGCCAATTCTCTGGGACCTTTCAGCCCCTGATATCTACCTATTCTATCATTGTTGTTGTTGTTTTTTTAATAACAAGTTCTGTGTGGAATGTATAATGCCAATGAAATGTCCTCTGCTTTCCACCAAAGGCATTCTATCCCGTGAGCACCCAGGAGACAGAGCCCCTGCTTCCTGCCAGAGAAACCATCTCTCTTGATATCCACAGTGGGTCAAGTGAGAAGCATCGAGATGAAATCACATCCGCAGATTTCCTCAAGAAGAGTGCTCAGTGCTGCTGACTATACAGGCGTTATGCTTTACCTTTCATATGTTTGAATGTTTCAAGTCAGGTTTTGGCTTCTCCCTAGGATGCCCTTCTCCACTTCAAATAAAAATCCATGTTTAAATCATTGAATTTGCCCCAGGAAATTGGAGCATGCATATTGTCAGCCAAGATTTGACTGTTTTTCAGGCCTCCTATTGACACAAGAGACATGGAGGTAAATAAGATGAATCTCTTCCTTAATGACCACATTACCTACTCTGAGAAAGACAAATTGGTAAATAAATAAACAATTAGAATATAGCATGATAAATATAAAGGTGGGGGGAAGAGTGATACATGTTCTTTGAAAACAGGAAATTCATAGCATGCTGGAGCACAGGGGCTGCAGTTTATGAACGTTCTGAATGAGGAAATTGATTCACACAGTCTGATTCCCTCACACCCAATCATGTCACTGACACTTGGCCATTTTTCAGGATGTGAAAAGGAATCTCTCAGTGATGAAGCGCATTCCCCTTAGAATCACTCTAGAGCAGATACGTGGAATCTTTATAGCAAAATATACATCGCCAGTGCTAATTTTCCCACAAATAATTGAGATTCTCAGGGGAATGTCCTGAATTTCAAGCTCTCTTCTTTTCTTCCTTTGCCAGTTTATGTAATTTCTTCCTTATCCCACACCTGATAAGATTTCTTTCTTTATTCCATTACTCTTGCTTCCCCCGCCTGTTCCCATAGTCCCTCCCTGTTCTAGACGAATTTCGTCTTAAAGGGTCCCTTATAGCACCTTGCATTCTAAGTATCAATAGGTTGGGCTCTGTCCTGATATCTCAAAGAATCAGGATTGAAAGTTTGAAGTCTTTTCTCTGCTAGGATTGAGCTTTCTAAAACACAAATTCAGTTATTAGGGGCAGGGACTATTGCACCAGACATAATATGTATCCCTGGAATGTAGATCCAGGTGCCAGAAAATTGCAGGCCAGTAGGAAAATGGTGTAATCTGTGATTCCATCTGGCCCATGAATTTCCAGTGGCCTTGCTTATAGATTGTCAGAACTGTTCATTAAGTTTGTTGTGAAACCAAAGGCTTAATATCTGTAATTTACAGGGTTCAATAGGCAGTTAAATTGAGTGAAACTATTTTTGAATGACTACTCCAGTTTCAGAGAAA
Source organism: Homo sapiens (assembly GCF_000001405.40). Taxonomy (NCBI): domain Eukaryota; kingdom Metazoa; phylum Chordata; class Mammalia; order Primates; family Hominidae; genus Homo; species Homo sapiens. The sequence continues at coordinate 7,468,990 of NC_000002.12, read as the reverse complement.
TAGCCGACATTGCAGCTCAGAAGAGCTGCATTTCCAGGCAGCACCAGGGACTCAAAATTATTTATAGGCCCTTTAGAAAAGGGTTTTGCTATACTAAGTTGAGAAACTTTTTCTCCTCTTAAGAAAAAAAAAATTAACAAAAGCTACAGTGCTGACAAAAGGATACATTTTTAACCCAAGTAAGTTATCAACTACAACCACGTAACTTTAAATGGTTCAAACAGAGCAAAGGTTGATTGTATTTTCTGATTTTGTCTTTCTCACTCTCATCTGTGGTTATCTTAAAATGCATTCACTACAGTGAAAATTTGTTTGCATGTAATGGTAGGTAGTGAAGGGGGACTGTTTAGTGTTGAATGGGTGGTAAAAAACGGAATTCCTTATAAGGCAGTCCTTTTATACTAGTAATGTATAAGTAATTTCTTACACAGTATATCCATAATGAGGATATTAGCCACTTCTGAAATAAAAGAGAAGGTTCCTGAATTAAAGGATAAATGCTTGAGGTGATGGATACCCCATTTACGCTGATGTGATTATCACACATTGTATGCCTGTATCAAGATATTCCATGTACCCCAAAAATAGATATGCCTACTGTGTATACACAAAAATTAAAAACACTATTTTTTTTAAATGTGGCAACAAACCACAGATGGAAATTATGACTTTTATCCTGGTGGTTAACATGAAAAGGCAATGCAGACGTCAGGATGATGACCAAGAACAAGCGGAAGTCAACAAGAACCAAGGGCCCTGTCAGAAGGAGGCATGCAGAACAGAAGCCCTCATGGGCCCTGGGGTTACTCAGCTGAGTCTCAAACTGTTTCAGAATGGCTCCTCCTCTTGAAGCATTTTTACCTTTGCTCCAGGGCCCTGTGAACTTAACTTTTTAAGGACTAAGTAAATTATCTGCTCATAAGAAGAGAGCTCTAACCTAGTGTGGCAAACATTACTAATTCCCTACCCCAAATCTATTCTCCCCTTCTTCACAGACTCAGCACTGATGTTTCTCAGGGTGGCAATGTGCTGGGATAGGAGAGTAAAAGCAGAACATTTGTCACCCTTTCTTTACAGCTTGGGCCACACAATGGCCGAGGAGATGCAAATGTAAGTCAGCTGGGAATTTCTGGGAAAGTTTGCTTTTCTGCAAAAGACGGCTACCTCTTTTTTGGGTAACTTTTATATTCTTTCTTCCTGGAATGAGGGCTGAGGTTGGAGACAGAGCATGGCTTTTCTGATCAAGAAGCAATCAGACAGGCAAAACCAGATATTTAGGATGATAAAGCACAAAGCTAGAAAAAACCTAGGGCATTAATGAGAGTGTGGACTTTCTCCGTGGCTCACGCCTGTAATACCAGCACTTTGGGAGGCCGAGGGGGGCGGATCACGAGGTCAGGAGATCTAGACCATCTTGGCTAACACGATGAAACCCTGTCTCTACTAAAAATACAAAAAATTAGCTGGGCATGGTGGCGGGCGCCTGTAGTCCCAGCTACTTGGGAGGCTGAGGCAGGAGAATGACGTGAACTTGGGAGGCAGAGCTTGCAGTGAGCCGAGATCATGCCACTGCACTCCAGCCTGGGTGGCAGAGCAAGACTCCATTTCAAAAAAAAAAAAAAAAAATGTAAAGCCAACACGATAAATCTTGTCTCAGAGGTCCTCAGTTACATTTCAAATTCAAATACCTTCTTAACAATTTTAAGAATATGCAGCTCTTGTGGGACATTTCCACACATAATGTAAGTAAATAATCGAATGAAGAAATGGAAAACAAAACGAGAAACTCCACCAAAACTACTCAATATGTCAAAGTGCAAGAAATCATTTTTACAAGTGATGAGACATAAATTAACATCTAAAATATAATTATAAAATAATATTATGATTTTCTTTATTTTGATTCATTAGATTTCGATCAGACGTTACTGTTTGGTAAATAATAGTAGAAATAATGAAGTGAATGAAAACTCTGTCTTACAGTGACTACTTCTTTGTAATTGTATAAAAAATAAACTTTGGGATATCTTTATGTTTACCAAGTACCTATACAATTTTCTTTTTGCATTATTTTCACTAATGCCTACAGTTTTAGAAATAATTTTCAGTAATTATCTGATCATTTCTCTTTTTTTTGGTCCATCGCCTCCTAATTTGGTTTTCTTTAATTCCTCACCATCATTCAAATGGCAAAAAAAAAAAAAAAAAAAAAAACGAGTAATTAAAGAAGCTTTTTCTGAGCAACATACTCTCCCAGCATTTCCTCAAAGGTTTTACAAGATAATCTGGGTACCAGGACACATACAAACAAACAAACAAAAACACCTGCAATACATCATGGGACTTGCTAGAATATGCTAATAATGACTTCAGGTTTTGGAAGAGTGAAAGCTTTCTGTGGTTGAGCAAGACTTTTGAGTGAAGGGGTATTCAAACAAGGCTTGTAGTGTGTTAAAAGTAGTCGAAGAGACGAGAGCATTTTCTAGGCAGAGGAAAGCAGTGTCAGGAAAGAGAGGGCACATGTTAGATGTGAGTGGATATCCATAAACCACTGATTTGGTTGGAGTGCAGGGTGAGTAATGAGGAGGAGTAGAGGAGAGTAGGAAAGCTATATTGGACACAGATTAGGATGGACCATGGATAGTAAATTTAGGGGAACAGACTTTGTATGAGCCATGTTTTGAATGTCCTGTATATAGTGAGACTCTGATAAATCACTTAGCTTTCTTACAATAAACACCTAATTTTCACCGCCAATACCAATATTTTATTTTTATCTAAAATGAACACAATCTTATTGTTATCCCTATTCTACAGACATTTGGGGGTAAATGTGAACCACTTGAGGAACCTGAAATCTCACCCCCATCAGCAATGAGACATCCTTCCCCTCTCCCTAGAGTAGACTCATCCGAGCCTAGTGAAGAGTCCGGACTTTCCCCGTCACCCAGAATTAAACAGGCCACTCCACACATACTGTGTTGGTAGAGGCTGCATAAGGAGGAGCAATAATGTGCCTCTCATCCTTCCAGCCAGGGTGGTATCAGCAGAGGCCAAGTGGAGAGAATAAGCCTCCATCCTCACCCAACAGCAACATTGAGTGTCAACTTCACCTCACTGTAATGAGAGAGATCCCCTTTCACCAGCCAGAGTACTATAAGAGGAGGCCCACCGACAGACAAGATTTAAATAAAATCCTAAGTCTCAAACCATAATTCCCCGAATGTCCACATGTCAATAAAATATTATTTATCATACTAAGAACCAAGAAGATCTCAGATTGAATGAAAAAAGACAATTATTAGACAGCAAAACCATGATGACACAGATATTAGAATAATCTGATCAGGATTTTAAAACAGCCATTATAAAAATGTTTCAATGATCAAACACAAACACAATTAAATAAAAATATAGAAAGTTATCAAATAAATGGAAGATAGGAACTAAATTGAAATTATAGAATTAAAAGAAAATGCTTTAGCATTAGCCAAAAACGAAGAGAAAAACAAAACTCACTGTACAGGCTCATCAGCACCCTAGGGAAGAAAGCATCAGTGAATTTGAATGTAGTACAACACAAATTACCCAACCCAACAACAGAAAAACACAGTAGAGAGAGAGCACCTCAGAGATACGTGTGATTATAACAGAAGATCAAATATTCATGGAGCAGGTAGAGTAGTCAAAGAAATAATGACTGAAAGCTTTCCAAATTTACAAATAAACATAAATGTATAAATTCAAGAAGATGAGCAATAACAAACAAGATAAACACAAAGAAATCCACACCCAAACACATCATCAAAATTAACCTTTGAAAACTAAAGTAAAAAATTAAATAAATAAGAAAGAGAAAACACTGAAACTTCTAGTGAGAAATGGCACATTACCTACACGGTAGAAACAACTCGGTACATTTTCTTTTCTTTTTTTTTTTTCAGGCGGAGTCTCGCTCTGTCGCCCAGGCTGGAGTGCAGTGGCGCGATCTCGGCTCACTGCCAGCTCCGCCTCCCGGGTTCGCGCCATTCTCCTGCCTCAGCCTCCTGAGTATCTGGGACTACAGGCGCCCGCCACCAAGCCCGGCTAATTTTTTGTATTTTTAGTAAAGACAAGGTTTCACTTTGTTAGCCAGGATGGTCTCAATCTCCTGACCTCATGATCTGCCTGTCTCGGCCTCCCAAAGCTGGGATTACAGGCGTGAGCCACCACGCCCGGCCCTTGGTAAATTTCTATCAGAAACTATGGAGACCAAAAGGAAATGGTACTACTGTGTACCCACAAGAGTTAAAAAAATTTTTAAAAAAGGTATGAAGGAAATGGCATGCAATTTCCCAAGTACTGAAAAACTGTTAAACTGTAATTCTATATTAATTGAAAATATCCTTCAGGAATTCAGGAAAATCAAAACATTCTCAAAGAATAAGAAAATTTATCACCAGTGCACCTACTCTAAATAATAGTTAAAAGAAGTTCTCTAAAGAAAAAGAATATATTAAGAGAAAGAATCTTGGAACATCAAAAAGAAAACTAAAACATGGGTAAAGTGTAATAGAATTCCTTTCTCTTCTGGAATTTTCTAAATTATGTATGACAATTGAACAATCTATGTAGAGAAAATATTTAAGATCCTTATTATAAACGAGGGAGGGTAAATGGAGGTTAAAGGGGATAAGAGTATTATACTTCGCTCAGACTAGTAAAATTTTATATATATGGTTATAATTACAGTGACTATTAAAAGCACTTTAAATAGAGATACAGTTACTATCACTACCGATAAATTGAAATTTAAAATATATTCAAGAAACCTACTGGAAGGTAGAAAAACAAAAATGAAGAAATGAAAAAACAAAACAAATTGATCATTTCATTAACTGTAAATGGTCTGAAAACAAAAGACAGAGAATGGCAAAGTAGATTTTTATAGCCAAACAAAAGATGATCTAACTATATAATTTCTACAAGAAAGTCACTTCAATATAATAATAAAGATAAGTTGAATAAAAAAGTTTAAAATAAGATATACCAGGGAAACATTAATCAAAAGAGTGCAGAGGTGGTTATATCAATATCAAATAAAATAAACATCAAAACAAATTACCATATATAAAGAGGAACAGTTCATAATCACGAAAGGGCCAATCCACCAAGAAGAAAAAAAACCTTAACGTGCATGTGCCATACAAAAACACTGTAAAATAATTTGCAGCAAACAGTAACAGAATTGAAAATAGAAATAGATGAATCCACAACGAAAGAATTCAACAACCCTCACTCAATAATCAATAGAACAACTAGACAGAAAATCAGCAAGGATATAAAACCCAACAACATCACCAACAATTAGTATCTAATTGATATTTATAGAACATTCCATGCAACTACTACTGCAGACTACACATTCATTCCAAGTACCCGTAGAGCATAAACAAAGATAGACCAAATTCTGGACCACAAAACAAACCACAATAAATTTTTAAAACTCAAAATTACTCAGAGCGTGTTGTCCGACTATAGTGGGATCAAACAAGAAGTCAATAACAGAAATCCAGCAGGATAATTTCCCAAACCTGAGAAATTAAATAATTGACTTCTAAATAATCCCTATGCAGAAAAGAGAAGTCTCAAGGAAAATAAAATAATACAAAGAGCTGAATTAAAATAAAAATAGAAGATACCAAAATTTCTGACATGCAGCTAAAAAAGTAATAAGAGAAAAAATGGTGATCCTAAGGCTTGCATTAAAGAAGAGAACATTTAAAATCAGTAATCTAAGCTCCCAAATCAGGAAACCAAGGCCAAAAGAACCAAACCGAAAAGAAAATCAAGGCAAACAGAAGAAAGTAATAAAGATAACATTAGAAATCAATGATATTGAAAACAAAAATACAATGTAGAAAGCAGATGCACAAAACTGAAAAGTAGAGAAAATTATGAAATAAGAAGTTGGTTCTTTAAGATGATCAGTACAATTTATATTTCCCTATCAAGGCTGACAAAGAAAACAAGAGAAAAGACACAAATTATGAATATGCATAATAAAGCAAGGTACATCATTACAGACCCTGATGACAGCAAAAGTATAATAAGTGAATATTATGGAAAATTCTGCACATGTAAACTTGATAAATTAGATAAAATATAACAATTCATTGAAAAGTAAAGCTACCACAACTCTTTCAATAAGAAACCAATCATTTGAATAGCCCTATAACTATTAAAGAAGAGCTCATAATTTAAAACCTTCTAAAAACAAATTACAAGGCCTAGATGCCTTCACTGGTGAATTCTACTGAAAGTTAAAAAAAAAAACACACACACACTAATTTTACACAAAATCGAAGAGGAAGCAATACTTCCCGCTTATCTTACAAAGCCAACCAGGATTATCTTGATACCAAAAACCAGACAATGACAGTATAAAAAATGAAACCTACCAACTAATGTCCCTCAGGAATATAGATTCAAAAATTATTTACTTATTTATTTTAAGTTCTGGGGTACATATGCAGGATGTGCAGGTTCATTACATTGGTAAACATGTGCCATGGTGATATGCTGCTCCTATAAACCCATTGCATAGTTATTAAGTCCAGCAAGCATCAGCTATTTTTCCTGATGCTCTTCTTCCTCTCACCCTGCCACAGGCACAAGTGCATGTTGTTCCCTCCCTGTATCTATATGTTCACATTGTTCAGCTCCCACTTATAAGTGAGAATACATGGTGTCTGATTTTCTGTCCTGTGTTAGTTTGCTGAGGATAATGGCTTCCATCTCCATCCATGTCCCTCCAAAGGACAGGAATTCATTCCTTTTTATGGCTGCATAGTATTCCATGATGTATATGTACCACATTTTCTTTATCCGGTCTATCGTTCTTGGGCATTTGGATTGATTCCATGTCTTTGCTATTGTGAATAGTGCTGCAGTGAACATATGCATGCATGTATCTTTATAATAGAATGATTTGCATTCCTTTAGGTATATACTCAGTAATGGGATTGCTGGGTCAAATGGTATTTCTGGTTCTAGGTCTTTGAGGAATCACCACACTGTCTTCCACAATGGTTGAACTAATTTACATTGCTACCAACAGTATAAAAGCATTGCTATTTCTCTGCAGCCTCACCAGCATCTCTTGTTTCTTGGCTTTTTAATAATTGCCATTCTGACTGGTATGGTATCTCATTGTGGTTTTGACTTGCATTTCTCTAATGATGAGTGATGTTGAGCTTTTTTTCATGTTCGTCGGCCACACAAATGTCTTCTTTTGAGAAGTGTCTGTTCATGCCCTTTGTCCACTTTTTAATGGAGTTGTTTTTCCTTATAAATATGTTTAAGTTTATCATAGATTCTGGATATTAGGCTTTTATTAGATGGATAGATTGCAAATTTTTTCTTTCATTCTGTAGGTTGTCTGTTCAGTCTGATGACAGTTTCTTTTTTGCAAAAACTCTTAACAAAATATTAGCAAGTAGAATTTCACGATATATTTAAAAAAACTAAAAACATAGCTAAGTGAGGCTCATTCCAGGGATGGAAGGTATATTCAATACTTTTGAAAATCAGTTAATGTAGTTAATGTTAACAACTACAGAAGAGAAATCAGATGATTAAATCAAAGGATGCAGAAGGAGCGTTTTCCTAATGAATAATCATTCATTATTTTTTTAAGTTTCTAAGTTTCAGAAAACTAGAAATAGAGGAGAATTTCTCTACTGGCTAAAGAGCATCAACAAAAACCTATGGCAAACATTATACCTAAATGATGAAGGACTGAATACTTTGCCCCTAAGACTACAAAAAAGCAAAGGATGTCCACCCTCACCACTGCTATTCAACATGGTACTGGAAACTCTAGCTAGTGAAATAAGGCAAGAAAGAGATAAAAGGCATATAGACTAGAAATGATGAAACAAAACTGATTTTATTTGCACATGACAGTATGGTCTACAGAGAAAATCCCAAGTCATCTGTAAAAACTATTAAAACTAATATGTGATTTCAGCAATGTCACATGATATAAAATCAACATACAAAAATTAATTGTATTGCTACATACTAGCAATGAAATTGTGAAAATTAAAATTGCAATACTGCTTACAATTACTCAAAGATGATAAAATACTCAGGTGTCAATCTAACAAAATATGCAAAGAAATTATGTGCTAAAACTATAAAATTCTAATTAAAGACATAAAAATACCTAAATAAATGAAGAGACATATGACGTTCATGAATTGGAAACCTTAACATAGTGAATTGTCAAATCTCCTCAAATTGACACACCATTTTAATGTAATTCCTATCATAATTCAAGCAAGATTTTTTGTTGACATAGAGGTGATTATTCCAAAATTTATATGGAACTACAAAGGCACTAGAATAGCTAAAATAGTTCTGAAAGAGAAGAATAAAGTTGGAGAAAGTGCTTTTCAAATTTTCAAGATTTATCAAGGTACACTAACCAAAACTGTGTGGTATTGATGGAGTATAATGGAATAAAGATCAATGAAACTGAATAGAGAATTTAAAAGTAGGTTTTCACAAGTATGGCCAACTAATTTTTGATGAAGGTAAAAAGAATTCAATGGAGGAAGAATAGTCTTTGCAATAAATGGTGCTGGAGCAATTGAACATCTATAGGTTAAAAACTAAACCTTGATTTAAACCTTATAACCTACTATAATTAACTTAAAATGGATCATAAATTTAAATATTAATTATAAAACTACAAATCTTTTAAAAGGTAATGTAGGAAAAATCTTCAAGATTTACAGCATGGTGAAGCATTCTTAGACATGACACCAAATGCATGATCCATAAAAGAGAAAATAGTTTGACTTTATCAAAATCAAAATTATCTTTTCGGTGAAAGATCCTGTAAAGAAGATAAAAAGGAAAGCTACAGACTGGGTGAAAATGTGTGAAAGCCACATATTTGACAAAGGCAATCATATCAAGAATATAATAGGAACTCTCAAAACACAATGGCAAAAAAAAAAAAAAAAAAAAACAAACAAGCCCAATCCAGGGAGAAAATGGGCAAGAAATATGAAGGTATCTGTCATTGAGGGGAGTATAAGGATGGCAGATAAGCATATGAAAAGATGATCTGCATCTTTAGAACATCTTCTGAACAATTGCCATTAGACAAATGCAAACCAAGACCATGATATTATTACACACCTATTAAAACACATAAAATTAAAAAGGGTGATAATACCAAGTGCTGATAAGGATATAGAGAAACAGAATGTTTCCTACATGGCTGGTAGGAATGTAAAATGATGCAGTAACTCTAGATAAAAAATTGGCTTTTTAAAAATAACACCAAACATGCAATTACCATTTGACTCAGCAGTTGCACTCATGGGTATTTATTCTTGAGAAAGGAAAACTTATTTTGGCACAAAAATCTGAACAAGATTGTCCACAGCAGCTTTTTCTGTAATAGTCCAAACTGAGAAACAGCTCAAAAGTCCTTCAGTTTAGTCTGTAATAGCCCAAACTAAGAAACATCCCCCAAAGTCCTTTGATTACATTAAAAATAAATGAGAAATCTGAATTGTTAAACAAAATGTGGTATTTTGTTTACCATAGTTTACCAAGCATACCATGAAATACTACTTAGGAATACAAAGGTGAAGTAATTATGTATACATGCATCAACTTGGACAGATCTCAGGAGCCTTACGCTGAGGTTAAAAAGTAAATCTCAAAAGTCACACACTATATAATTCTATGTATATAACATTCTCACAATGACAAAATTATGGATATGGGAAACATTAGTTGTTGCCAGGGTTTAGAGATAGTGTATGTTGGTGGGTTGGGTGAAGGAATGTGACTATTAAAAAGCAGCATAGAAAGATCTCTGTGGTGATGGAATAGTTCTCTATCTTAACTGCAGTGATGATTGCACAAATTCACATGTGATAAAGTAGCAGAACTATATACATACATGGTAGATATGTCAGATCCTGTGTTTGGCGTTGTACCATAATTATGTAAGAATGTAAGCACTGGGAAAAATCATTGAATGAAAGGTACACAGGATCACTCTATAGTAAGTTTTCAACTTCCTGTGAATTTGTAATTATTTCAAAACAAAAAGCCTAAAACAGGTGCTATTGGCTCATGAACAGTAGGATGGATTCATCACATGTTCTAATGCAGGATATACATTTTCCCTCTGCTTACAGACAATGTATCACGGATGTATGGATTTGTGAGCTCATTGTGACTTGATCTAAATGGGCTTCGACCTTCACATTTCAGTGCTTCAGAGCTGTGGCCAGATGCCCATTCAGATTACCCAGCCTTTGGGTCTACCCAGAAGATACCTGTAGGAGCAGAACTGCTGTCAACTAATAACTCCAGACTTCCTGGAGCCGCTGTGTATTCCATCACCTTTTGGTTTTAGCTGGGGTACAACTCAGATTTCTCATTTATCTTTAATGTAATGCATAGTTATTGAGCACCGACTGGGCCAAGCACTGTCAAGGCCCCAAGTGCCCAATGGCCCCTTGCAGATGGAATAAGTAGATTAATGCGGGACCTTGACACTGACTCTCTTCTGTCTCAGATTTGGTATTTTCCTATTTTACTGGAATTTGGCCAGACTCTAACCAGTGTCTCCTAAAACAAAACACAATAAAATAAATGAGTTAACTGAATCTGCTCAAAGATCTAAAATAAGCCAAAACTCCAAAGATGTTGGTGTAGATTGAGTGCAGGCAACATTCCTCATGAAAGATAAAATAAAACCACAAAAATGTGCATATCTTTTGACCTAATAAATGTTCATAAAAATCTTTCCTATGGAAACACTTCAAAATATGGGATCAAGGTATATGCAAGATGTTCATTATTAGCATTAAAATGTAACATGCAAACTACCTCCAAAGAGAACTCGCTTTAGGCTGTTCTTGCATTGTTATAAAGAAATACATGAGGCCAGGTTCAGAGGCATATGCCTATAATCCCAGCACTTTGAGAGGCCAAGGAGGGTGGATCACATGAGGCTAGGAGTTCAAGACCAGCTTAGTCAACATGATGAAACCTCATCTCTACAAAAAAATACAAAAATTAGACGGGTGTGATGGTGAATACCTGTAATCCCAGCTCCTCGGGTGGCTGAAGCACGAGAATCGCTTGAACCCAGGAGGCAGAGGTTGCAGTGAGCCAAGATCATGCCAGGCACTCCAGCCTGGGTGACAGAGCCAAACTGTCGCAAACAAAAAAATTCAGTAAAATTTTGAATTATTATCTTACCCAACTGACATAAAACTCATCTAGTAACAAATGTGTTATTTTTAATGTAAAAGAAAAATTGAAAATTATTATTATAGGTTGTATCAAAACAGGAATACGATGTATGTAAAATGCCTTCCAGGTTAATGTATCTGTCAGAGAGTCTGTTGCATGAATAAACAGAAAGTTAACAAAACAAGACTGTTCAAAACTAGCTAATAAAAAATCATGTTATTTTCTTTTAAAATGTAAACCTAAATTTATAGATAATGATATTGCTTGGCTTACAGTATAAGCTGAGTAAAAAGGTCAAACTGAGAGACAAGTTATGAACTGCACAGTTTGTAGATTCCTCTCCATCCCTGATTCTGTTACTCTGTTTGAGCTCTCACCAATTCTTGCCTGGACGCTGGAAATGGCCTTTACAGGGGTCTCATACCTCTGCGCTCAGCCATTCAAAGGCAACACAGACAGCGAATCCATTCACGTGGCTGATCTAAAATGCAATTCTGATCACTGCTCAATCGCAGCAGTGGTGCGTCGAGACTTGCTGAAACGACATGCTCTTTTCCAGGGCCCTGAGATCCTTCAGAATCTGCGTCTCCCGCGTCCCTGACACATTTCTTGCTCCTGCCTGTGCCTAGCATGCATGTCATGTCACAACAGGGACGTGCTTGGAGCTGTCCACACTCCATGCGTCCTCTACTTTTTATTTCACTCAAAGACTCTCCAGCTGGAATGCGCTTCGCCTGCCTGCCTCTCAGCCTCGGTCACAACCTCACAAAGCTCCCTGCCCTTCCCTACCAGGCAGGTTAACCACTCTCCTCGGATATCACCCGGAGAGTGTCATGTGGCTCTCCCCTTGTTTCCACATTACTTTACACTTTACAACTCTCTGGCCTCCTGTCCTTGAGGGCGGGGATTAAAATTCCACGTTTTAAAACTCTTTGGCCAGTGCGTGGTGTCTGGTCATAATTTTTAAAAAATGGTTTGAATAAACAAAGCAGTGATACACAATGAATGAGTGAGCTGGCTACACACAGGTGCTAGAACTTTTTCACCTGTCTTTATTTATTTCCAAATGATATGAGTCTGTTAAGATGCACCTCAGGTTGTCTATGCTCCCCAAGACTTTCTTAGACTCTCTTGGTCCATAGACGTGTAGCCCTTCTTTTCTGAATTGAGTTCCCACTTCGAGACTAGGCCACTTCAGCATCTTTCTGCAGAGCCAACTCGTACTTTCGGAATTGTATGAGCCAGTTCTTAAATGAGTGGGAGCTTAAAATTAGCCATGGTAAGAATATTGACACCATGGAAATTGGCAAACCCTACAAATGAGGGGTTTCGTTGTTGTTTTCGGAGAGCCAGCTGTGAAAGCTACAGTCACAGCACTCTGCATTTGTGTGTGTGTGTGCGTGTACACGCAGACATCTATAATTTTACTTTGTGTGTATTTTCTTACCCTAACAATATTGTAAGTCCTACATGACAGGGAGCCTATATTTTCTGTTTATATAAATAAAAATTATGTATTTACTTATTTATAGAACCTATCTCATCTACTCTGAAAATGTGTTGTTTGGATAAAATATGGACTTCAGAAATCTAAATGTCAAATAAAAACAAAAATAATGTGAGAGGAAGAGAAAAGCCATATAATGAACATCCAGATTCAGATAACTACTGTGACTAAGGATTAAACATTTGCTCTGAGCTTCATAGCAGCCAAAAGAAAAACTGGCATTTTTCATTTTACTTTATTATCTGTTACTAAACAGTGACTAAAAGGATAATGTACATTGACATTGAACAAAAGCATAATAAAAAGTGATTTTTAATTATGTCCTGGCCATGTATGCCATTTTATATATTAATTTTACTCAGTTTCACAACCACAGAGATAATTCTTATTATCGTTTTTGGACAAAGAAGGCACGGAAGTTTGCACGGGTAAGTGCCTAGTCAAGTTCATGCACAGCTAGTCAAAGAGGAAGTACCCATGGGCATGGGATCCAAGACAGTGATCCGTTGTTCCCAGCCATGTTATACTACCTTTCTTGGTTACAACGGAGATGCCTATCATGAAACTGTATAAAACAGACAGATATGTATTCTATATGGTAATTATTTACAAAAATATTCCAAAAAAATGTAGCCATCATGAGTTTCAGAGGTAACTCAGGGATGATAGTTTACTGAGGCTCACTAATAAGGTCTGTGTGTTATCCAAGGGTTTAGCCTAATAAGAAGACAGGATTTCGAAGCTCTGGACACAGGCATCCATGGGTCACATCTGACACTAACTTCCTCAAATGCTAATTGCTCAGCTGGCTTTCAACACTTAATGAGAGACACAGTTCAAAGTTAAAACTCAGATTGCTACTTGAAGGTCAGTCCATAAGTTTGGGTTAAAGAACAAAACAAAAATTGTTTATGTACGGGTGGAATTTACTCATAGTAAGACGTTTCCGGTGTGATGAATGATTTGAACGATTTGTTTCAAGCATATTACTACTTATCTGTGTAACATAAATAGTGGGATGTCCCAGGCTTCCAGCCTCAGGACTTTGTGCTGGCTCCTCAGAGCTACTGCCCATGTGAGTAACAGACACCTGCATGCAGTTACCTAGAAGCAGATATCCACATGCAGCTGCCCACATGCTAATGTCCACAAGCAGATACCCACATGCAGATACCCACACGCAGATGCCCACATGCAGATACCCACATGCAGATACCCACATGCAGATACCCACATGCAGAATGCAGATGCCCACATGCAGATGCCCACATGCAGATGCCCACATGCAGATATGCACATGCAGCTGCCCACATGCTAATGTCCACATGCAGATACCCATGTGCAGAATGCAGATGCCCACATGCAGATACCCACATGCAGATGCCCACATGCAGAATGAAGATATCCACATGTAGCTGTCCATATGCAAATGCCTACATGCAGATACCCACGTGCAGATGCCCACATACAGACACCTACACACAGATGCCGACATGCAGATACCTACATGCAGATACCGACGTGCAGATGCCCACATACAGACACCTACACACAGATGCCAACATGCAGATACCTACATGCAGATACCCACATGCAGAATACAGATGCCCACATGCAGATGCCCACACACGGATACCCACGTGCAGATACCCACATGCAGATACACACATGCAGATACCCACATGCAGATACACACTCGCAGATGCCCACACGCAGATGCCCCCATACAGAAACCTACATACAGAAACCTACACACAGAAACCTACATGCAGTCAACATGAACACTAATTTCCTCCTGTTTATCTGGCCCTAAACAAGATGCGGCGCAAACCAGATTCAGTCTCTGTTCTTTAGGACTCAAGTTTCATCAGAGAGAAAGAGAACCACAAAAATACAAATGGCAGTGTCATTTCTAAGGGCTCTGGAAGGGACATATTCAGGATTCTATGCCAGCACATGGTGGGAAGGGCCTGACTTTCGTGGGGATGGAGGAAGGGCAGTGTTGTAAGGGGATCATGGAAAGCGCTGGTGAGATTTCAGTGACAATGAATCCAAAGACTAACTTGTACATGTTTAGCATTTTTCTGGATATACTTATTCTTCTCATGATTGTAAGAATGTGAACTGGATAAAGCAATTTGCACAACAGTAAACCTAATTCGTATGATAAAAAATAAAAAGTGATGTGTGAGTTAAAAACCTGCAAATAAAGAGTGGGCACTCTGTATAGATTATTGGATCCCAGAAGCATTCAGTGGGAACTTCCTGGAGGAGATAGTATTTCAATCGGGTCTAAAGAACAGAAAAAAACCCAGATCGGAACATCCATGAAATACAAAATTCAAGGTAATGTTTTGCCCTAAAATAGGCTGGAAACATGAATAAGCTTGATGAATAAATGTGGAAAGATAAATAAATGTGGAAAGATGAATAAATGTGGAATTAAGAAATAAACAACAATGCAAAGGCTGGTGATGGGGATAATAAGCACAATGTTTCCAAAATGTTCTATGCTAAGGATGTCAAGAATACCTGTTGGCTGGCCACACACCTTGAAGTCAGTAAGTCATGTGCACTTTGTGGTTTATACTCTCTGTTACCAACACCAAATCTCCTGTCTCCAGTATTCAGTGATAGAAATTCTTTTTCTTCTTAAGAATCCCATGTATCTTATTATTATGTACATAGAGTTATTTGGCAACTGGTTGCTTCCTCTGAAACTTCTGAGCTCAAGGATTATGCTGGAGCAGCCTCAGAGCCCAGCACAGTGCCTGGCCTGTAGCAGGCACTTGGTCGATTTTGTGTTTTGAATGCTTTAGACTGTTTCTTGTTAAGTTTGTTAAAATTTACAAAATTACTTGCAGACACTCTTCACCCCACTTGGGCATCCTTAATGAGCCACTCTGGATGATAGAATGTGGCCCAGAACCACACATGGATGCTATTTGACTGAATTAAGTGAGCGTAGGAGAGAAGCCCCTTGTACAAGGAGTGATGGGACCAGCTGGCTCACGACGGCAAGTGCAAGCCGTCCATGAAGAACTCCCTTGAGTGACAAACACTCTCTTCTCTCCTGCTTGTCACAGCAGGTGTGGAGAGACCTGACATGGCAGAGCCATGGGTTCTGCCTCCAGAGGTTGTAGGAGAAGGGGGACTGCTGCTGTTTTTGGAGCACAGACCATAAATTACTCACTGATTGAGAGCACGTGGCTCCTCCTTCCCAAGTCTTTCTTCCACGTCACTCACACCTGGATGCCACCATGCCCGGATGCACTCTCCATGCACTTTTCTTGCCCCCCTTGCTCCTGGAATTTGCCAGGATGTGTAGGCATCAGGCCTGCCTTTAGGCATCCTGAGTAGAGCCACGGAAGACCTAAATTAGCTGGGATGGGTCCATTTGACAATCACCCAGGCCAAACTGACACTTGCAATCTGAGTCACTGCATTTTAACTGTTTATTAAGTGGTGACAGTGACAGCTAGATAGTTTAGAGGAAGGGCCCCTTCCCAGTGTGTTCCGGGAGTGCACTGCTCTAGAGAGAAGGCAGAGGCATGATAGCATGGGCGGTGCTGACGGTGGAGGGGCTGCTGTTATTGTAGACCACAGGATGAACACACAACTGAATCTCTCTGCTCTTTTGTCTTGTGGAAAAATGGTTTGTTAGAAGTCACTCTAAAAAGTAGCCCTCTCCTCTGTATCCCTAGCTTTGGGCAGCTTTTCGTGAGTGTTGTTTTGGGGAGCATGGAGAGCTCATTTGGCAGTAGGAAAACGCCTTCCTGAATTTGACAGGTACCATGTTTCCATTGAAAAGCCACAACGTGCGTGGCCCTGACACCTCAGAAAAGAGGACAGGCTTCGATAGGAATCTGATCTGCTTTGAAGAGGCCAGGAAGCCTTTCCTGCTTACCAGGAAATGCCCACATTCTGAGCATACCATCTTTCCGCCTGGCTCGTTGATTAGCTGCAATATGGGTCTGGTATACATTTTACAAGTGAGATGCATTGATGGGTGGGGTTAAGTATCCCTGGCCAGGAAAGAATGAGAACACACAGCAGTGGACTCTCTAGGGTGGCCACTTCGTTGGGGGCAGCACTGACAAACACAGGAGGACACAAGCGCAAAGATGGGCTTGGCTTTTTCTCACAATTTTGCCTCAAGTCAGACTTGTTTGCCTCCTAGGAACTGTTTGCTAGAATAAGAGTGTGAATGTCAGGAAAATACATGTGCCCCCACACACTTCTGTAGAGCACATATGTTGCCAGCTACAGTAAACAAAAGTGCCTTATGCAAGCAGGACTAATGCAAGAAAAAAAAAAAGGCTGGGGCAAGTGTGGAAGGATTTAGACTCGAGTCCTGAATTCAAGACCCAAGTCCTTCACTTTGTGCCCTGTGATTATCCTGGATACAAATCTCTTGGCTCATCTGGGCCTAAGTTTTGTTTTGTTTAATTTCATGCATAAAATGAGGAGACTGATAACAATCCCTACCTTGGAGGATGGTTTTAAAGATCAAGGAGCTAATGCAGGGGATCTCAACCTCAATGCTACTGACACTTTGAGCTGAATAGTTGCTGTGGAGGTGTGCCTGGGCATGGCAGGGGTCCCTGGCCTTTCCCCACCAGACGCTAATAGAACTCCCTCCTTCCCTAGTTATAGCAGCCAAAGATGTCTCCAGACTTCGCCAAATGTCCCCTGGAAGAGCAAAATTGGCCCCAGTTGAAAACCACTGATTAAATGTATATACAATTATTTGAAAGAGGAGAGAACTCTCTACACATTTGTTAGGCATGGAGATAGAAATAACAATGAGGAGGTGACAACATTTACATATTCTAAGTGGGTATAGTGGAAGTCGGGCATAAACTGATGCCCAATGTCAAGTTGATGGGGTAGGAAATCAGATTAATTCAGCCTGATATATTATGGCTTGATACTACTGTGAAAATGCCATATTTAATTAAACAAATTCTGTTTCTTTCTTCCTAGTAAAGGGGAAGGGAAAAAAGAAAATGAGTAACACATTAAATTGCAGGATATTAATTATACAGAGCTACATATTAACTGTTATGCATCCTAAGGAGCTAATTTTCTTCACACTGTTATTATTATTTGTTACTTGTATAGCACCGTTGATGTAAACAGACTGTTTTAGAAATACGCCCATAAAGTTCACTGCTGTTCCGTGAGTGTGCTGTATAATTACGCATTTACCTTCTAGTAAGCAAGTGAGAAGCACAGCTCACTCACGGCAAAAACCCATTGCAGTCGCGTTGATCTGACTTTCTAAAAATCTCTGAGTAGCAGCTACAACATGTTGTGCTGGAAACAGAATTGATATCATCTGAATAAACAAGAGTCTTGAGAAGAAATCTATTTTTGTTATATATATTTTTTTACATTAAAGAAAAGGGCCAGTCTTTCTCAGAAAGAGTTTCACACCGGGGGTATTTTTCAGAGGAGGGGTATTTTTTGGTTTTCTGTTTTCTCTTCTGTGGGGCTGATCCATCCCTGTCAAGTCTGCAAAGTGTGTTGTGCGTGGGTGGAAAGGCAAACCACACAGAACATGCTCTTTGCCATAGTCAGGTCACCTTCAATACCACATGACGAGTTTCTTAAGAAGGGAAAAAAAATGCAACAAAAAGAAAACACACAGACACAAATGATTGAAAAACCAATATGAATTATATGCCAAAAGGTGGCTTCACATTTTCAGCTCAGATCACCAATGTCAGCAAAACCCTTTCCCACCGTGTGTCAGCCGTGGACAGGTGGAAGATGGAGGGCGGCATGCAGGCCTCTCTGTCATGGAGCAGCTGGGCTGGTGCTGATGAAATCACCATTGATCCACCCCGTAGTATGGACTGTAGATGATTTCTAGCTTAGACACATTTGTAGGCAATCTTTTGGGGAATGGAGTGTAATCACTGTATTGGTCAAAAATATTCACACTTCCTGTTTTTTGTTTTTTGTTTTCTTTTTATTCTGCACATGGCTTGGAGCAATGAACACCTAAGATTCCGGATACATTTCTTTAAAAAGGATATATTGCTTGTATGGCTCAAACAGAACTCCTCATAACAAACAATCTTTCAGTTTCATGAGTAAGGTTGTGGTCCTCAACTTTGACAAGAATGGCAGCCTCACTACTTATTTATCAAAGAAAATGGCTCCAAAATGGAAACTACACATCTCTTGGGCTCCAGAGTCCAGGATGTTATGTAGCTGGTGAACTTCTCAGGCAGATAAACTTATAAGGCTTGAAAAATCTGTTGACTGGTTCCCTTGCAAATTCCAAGAAGTAGATGTATACAGTGATGGGTATTTATCTTTAGGGAAAAAATGAAGATTGAAAATAAGAAAAAAACAATATTTGAATAAATAAATTCTCATCACACAAATTTTTTTAAAATATCTGTCTTTTCTCCTCACCAAAGATGATGGTTATGGGTGTTTTAGCCTGGAGAAAAACAAAAAAATCTTTGTCCAAATACATATAAACCTATAAAAGTATGTTTAAATTTCTCTACATATTAAGGATTTTACCTAGTTCTCCAATTAACAATTAGATGATTTTATACATTTTTCAATTCAATCTATTTGTCAGATGTGCTGTATTCTTAACAGGAATGCTCAGTAATTCTCCACCAAGGAGGAAGTCAGATGTGGGGAGGGGTGTGGAGCTGCCATGAGAGAGCAGGTGTTTCTCTCCCCCTCCCCTTAGATGGTGAGGGAGGAGAACCACTGACACAGGAGAAGTCCTGGGGTGCTGTGATCATTGTTATTCTCTAAGGCAGACATTTCACTCAGAGATGAGACTTCAAGGGTGAATTTCCAACACTTGGAACAAATACTTCATGAATTTACCAAAAGCCTGATTACCTCAGATGTAAGTTGAGATGATTTAACACACAGTATTTCAAGAAGTTTATTTTTAGGAAGATAATGGAAAACAAAGTTTATCCAAGCACTATGAGACAATAACTTAGGTGAGACATAGAAACGCATTCCAATACAGCAAATTTAAATAGAAAGGAAGGCGAGTGCCTAGCTGGTAGTTTTATGCCTCATTCTGTGAAAGCAGAGATAAAAGTCAGGTTACATGGGAGCCATGTGAAGCTTTCTTTGCTGCGCACTCCTGCCCTTACCTGTGAGCACACGGTATGTGTGTGAGTGCTCTGTCCCAGGCCTGATTCTTACCCTTTGGGGCTCGTGATGCAGCCAGCTCTCCGTGAAGTCCATCTCACATCTCAGTACCCAAGGCCTCTTTAGAAAATAAAATTTATGTAGGAAATAAACTGTGCTTTTATGTTGTTACAAAACAATAGAAGCGGGACCTTCACCTGCCTTCCCTGTTCTCAGCAGTTTGAGATGACATGTGGGTGCTCACTGTCACCTCTTAGAATCACATGTTACGCCTTTTCCAGGATAGTCCCCAGTGAAAACCTCCCAGACTGTGGAGGGAGCATTTGAGAGCACCACGAGGGCGATGAGACTCAGGTAACGGCAGGGACTAAGGTGAAGGCTCCTAGGGAGGAGACCCAGCAGGGGTGCCTGATCCAGACTGGGGGATCTGGAGTACAGGGTTTTGTCATGAAGAAAGCAATTTTAATCAGGAAACAGCTAGCTTGGTGAGAGTGAATTGGGGAGGCAGAGAGTTCTGGGCAGATAGAACTGTAGGTGATAGATTCGGAAGCCAGAGACCCTGGAACATTCTAGGAGCTTGAAAAATTTCTGTGTGGGTCCAGTTAGAGTAAGGGGTGGTCGCGAGGTGGGACCCAGCATGCTTAGGCGGGGAGATGCTGTTAATGGAAGGCTCTATTAATGATGGGTAGGGCCAGAGGATTATGAAGGAGTCAATACTAACTTCTAAGGACCTTGCAATACCCACGCAAATTTGCATTTTATTCCTGGGGGGATTCCTGTAGAGAAAAGAAAGATCGGCCTGGCACGGTGGCTCACGCCTGTAATCCCAACACTTTGGGAGGCTGAGGGGGGCGGATCAGGAAGTTAGGAGATCGAAGCCATCCTGGCTGACACAGTGAAACTCCGTCTCCACTAAAAAAAATATACAAAAAATTAGCCGGGTGTGGTGGCGGGCGCCTGTAGTCCCAGCTACTCTGGAGGCAGAAGCAGGAGAATGGCGAGAATCTGGGAGGTGGAGCTTGCAGTGAGCCGAGATCGCGTCACTGCACACCAGCCTGGGGGACAGAACGAGACCCTGTCTCAGTAAATAAATAAATACATAAATATAAAAATAAATAAAGAAAAAAAAGAGGAAAGATCCAGGAGACAAAAAATGGAATCCTGTCCGATGAAGGGTACCTTTGCCTCAACAGTGAGCCCTGGGCAGGTAGTTTGTCCCATGACTTCTCTTTAGAGGCCCGGATGCTGTTTTATGCTGGGCAGACAAATAGGTTTAATGGAGAGATTTTAATTAATAAACCTAAAAAATGAAAAGACAACATTAAAAAGAAGAAAAATGCTTGGTGGTTTCTGATTTAGGTCTAGAGAGGGCATTAATACATCACTACGATTTTTTTTCTTTTTAGCCTTATACATATTTTTCCTTTTAAAATCTAACTATGTGTCTAAAGTTAGCAGGGAATTATAAAAAGAGAAAAAAAGTCATTCTTCATTCTCTCAGTCTAATTCAACAAATGCTTAGGAGTTAATGAATTTTCTTCAAACCTTTTCCCCTTAGGAGTGAGTGTCTTACCACATTTGTATTCATATTATATACACAGTTTAAACCCAGTTTTTCATATAACATTATGTCATAGACATTTTTCTTATTATTGGAGTCCATAGCCATCATTTTAAGTAAAAAGATAATAATTCATCAAGAAAGTACACTATATCATATCTATTCTCCTATTCTTAAGTTATGATCACCTTTTTGCTACATAAAGGATCTATTTTTGTGGGTCTTCCCAAGAGTTTTGAATTATGCCTTTGGGAATTGATTCCAAGACCTGTAATTTCCATTGAATGTGTATCAATGTACTTATATGTCTTTTTCTTCATATTACCAAAATGTTTTCCAAATGGATTATACCAATCTACACTCAGACTATCTGCTCCAGAGAAAAATAGCCTTCTGGGGAACTTGTGGGGACTTCTCATCCACACTCCATGCTCTACGTTGTATCATCCTTCTTGGCTGTGAAGAGAAGTCTGAGCAAGGCAAATGCTATGGAAGCCCACCAGATGGACACATATATGAATAGAGTTTGCTTCTGGCCACATTTTCACCTTTAGGAATTGTCAGGATGCAGTTCTCTATGGTGTCTCTGCATCTCAGACTACATTTATCTAGCAGCATTAGAAGCTAGTGTCTCCCTTAAGGGCAAAGGGCAGACTTGTTTTGTGATCAAGATAATAAGGATAGTGTCTCCTTCAGAAACAAAGTTTGGGCAGGTTTGCTAGCAGCCCCATTAAGGTTAGGGGTTTGGCACCCCATGTTCCTCAGCTGTGATGCAGACCCCATTGTACATGGCAATCACCTGGGCCTACCTTGGGGACATATGGAACCGATGCAACAAGAAGCTCATGCTGCCTGTTGTGCTGTGACTAATAGGCTGTCTAGATCCATTCCCCACCCATGGAATCTACAGAAGGGTGGCTAGCCAGCCCAGAAGCTGCAGTGGCTGCTGCTCCTGAGGGATTCCTTAACCATGAGACGACAGGTTGTGAAAGTATGGACCGACAATATCTGGGCAGAAGAGGCTGCAACCAAGGGCAGAAATGTGCCTGGCTTCTGGTACAAACTACAGCACCTATTATTTATTGTGTTAATTTTCTGAGGGCCTATGTAGCAACTACTCCTGTTTGCTTGTAGAAGACCTGAGATCCAGGAGTCAGATACACTCAGATGCAACTGCCGGTTTCAGTGCTTACTCCTTCCATGACCCTGAGCATGGTACTCTCTATGCCTCAGTTCCCATGTATGAAACAGAAATTGTAAGAGAATCTCACAAATTTGTTTAATGAGATGATATAGTGAAGTGCATGGCATTGTGAACTGGCTCATAGCATATACTGAAAATATGTTACCTAGTACTTCTTTGCTGCTTGATTATAAGATTTGAACAGCTTTTCATTCTCCAAAGACCAGATAATTTGGTATACAGAAAAATCTTAATTGGTAATCAAACCCAGCCTTATAGTTTTACTGATTGAAAAAAGGAACGCAGTGACTTGCCTTCTGCTAAAATGGACACCAAGTTAGTACTGGGCAGTATTAGCATACATACCTCCTCAGTATCAGCTCAACTCCCTCTCTACTGGAACTTCAATTCACCATGTAGTAATCGAGACAGAGTGAAGTGTTCTGTAGATAGGAAGTAAAGAGAGACAAGATGGAATTAAGTTTAAAAACACATAGAGAAGCTAGGGATTGCCACAGGACCACTCTTAAAACTAGACAGACAGAGGCTGGGTGCGGTGGCTCACACCTGTAATCCTAGCACTTTGGGAAGCAAAGGCGGGCAGATCACTTGAGGTCAGGGGCTCGAGACCAGCCTTGCCGACATGGAGAAGCCCCTTCTCTACTAAAAATACAAAAAATAGCCAGGTGTGGTGGCATGCACCTGTAGTCCCCACTACTTGGGAGGCTGAGGAAGGAGAATCACTTGAACCTAGGGGGCAGAGGTTGCAGTGAGCTGAGATCGAGCCACTGCACTCCAGCCTGGGTGACAGACAGACGGAGACTCTGTCTTAAAAAAAATAAAAATAGACAGGAAGCAATTTGAAGTATTATTGAGATAATATTTCTGATAGAAAACAAAGGCTTCAAATTCTATGGACTAAGAGTAAAATAGCTTATTTAGAAAGGTGGTTCTCAGGTTCTCATTCTGAGACAATTCACTTTTGCTATTACAAGTAAAACTAAATTTGAATGTTGCCTACTAAAATCACATAACATGAAAAGTTGCAATAGGATAGAAGACATACACAAAAGCAGAAACATGTTATTAAAAGAAGATATGCAAACTCAAAAGTAAAATAGCATAAATTCATAAATGTTGAGTAGAACACATCTCAAAACTGTCTGTACCCACAGTTGCATTGTTGTACAAGTCATAGAATATTTCCTAAGCTAATGATTAGGAAAGCCTTATGCAAGCTATAAATCCATCAAAACATGTAAATTAATATAATTAATAATGTAAAGTAATATGATTAATATTATAAATAATACTGCGTAAGCATTTTCTTAGGCTAGAATATGCTCTGGTAATAACACCTATGTCTTAGAAGGTTGATGCAATAATGGTTTGCATTTCTTAGTCATGAAAATTCCACTGCAGTTCTTGGCAATTTTTCAGGGTAGCCCTCCACGTAGTAATTCAATGATTCTTATCGCTCTGATCTAGTGCATCTACCACTTCAATGTGAGACATCCTTGATCACCATGACAGGGGAAGACAGCTTGAAGTTTGCAGCCGATCTTGCATATGTTGGCCCCAAATAAGCATACTTTGCTTACATCCACAGCCTAGGGCCACAGCTAACTAGTCAAGAAGAGTGGGAAATAGGACAGACAAACTGAGTGCTTGGGGGATCCCCATTCTCATGAATAAAATTGTTAAATTATTGTCTGTGGATGATTTTTTTTCTAAGAAAGCACCTAACTGCGCAATGAATTTGGAAAGAGATTCGTGCAAACATTCCTTAAAATTCAGATGAAAAGTGGTGCTTGGTGTGATAAAGGCTTAATTACCAACAAAATTCAAATCTCCAAAACACGTCATTTCATAGAATTAATAAGCAAGGTTTTTACTCTGTTGTGAAAGTTAGTGTGGTTTTAAAAGTGAGGGCTTATAAACTGGTTAAATAAAACATTCTTCTATCAAAACGCTATACAAACCCTAAGAATAATGCAATAGAGCTGTATGGGCTGATATGGTAAAAGCAATGCACAGCAAAATGTGGGAAGAGTGTGATTCCATTTCTGTGCATGCATTCCTGTGTACACACATGCATGGTTGGTCTTCATTTTCCAGGATCTCTTGCAGCCAGGTGTGTCCATGTAACAGAGTTCTAGCCCATAAACTATGAGCAAAATAGCTGTATACTGTTTTACAGATTCCAGCTTGGCCCGTAAGCTCTGCTCTAGCCATCTTCCACGAGTTTCTCTTCTACCTGGGCTTCTACTCAATATGAAAAAAGCTGGGCCAGGCACAGTGGCTCATGCCTGGAATCCCAGCACTTTGGGAGGCCAAGGAGGATCACAAGTTCAGGAGATCGAGACCATCCTGGCTAACATGGTGAAACCCCATCTCTACTAAAAATACAAAAATTAGCTGGACATGGTGGTATGTGCCTGTGGTCCCAGAGGCTGAGGCAGAAGAATCGCATGAACCCGCGAGGCGAAGGTTGCAGTGAGCAGAGATCGCACCACTGCACTCCAGCCTGGGCAACAGAGTGAGACTCTGTCTCAAGAAAAAAAAATAGGAAGAAAAGAAAAGAAAAGAAAAGAAAAGAAAAGAAAAGAAAAGAAAAAAACTGAACCTTGCATCCCTGCTTGGAAGAGGGATGCCCACCAACAGGAACACCTCTTTTATACTTTATGTGAGTAAGAAATTAAGCTCTAGTACCCTTCAGCCTTTATGCATATTAAAGTTTCCCTGTTCTACAGCTATCTTACTTGGACTAAAAGAAATTAAAGTCTGTAGTTGCTCCATGAGGGAGTGAGATGGAGGATAGTGGTGGCACTAAGTGCCCTTAAATTGTTGAATTAAGATCTTCAAAAATCAAAGATTAAAAAGGAAATAAAACAAAACACTGATCGTGTTATACACTTGCTTATTTGCACTTATCTCTTTCTGCTAAATATTTAATATTGAAGAGAAAACAAAAGAAATCATTTAGTTGACAAGCACGTGTGTCAATTATATAACCAATATTTTAACTTAAGCACTTGGAGCCTCAGCTTCACCACTTGAAAGCAAGGTCTTTTAGCTTAGTGACAACTACAGTATCTTTCATAAAATGTCTTTAATTACAGGTTTCGCATAGGCATGTGGGTGAATGATCATCAAACTCACAGTCAAACACAGGCATCTTGAGAAAGGAAAAGTTCAGTGCTGATAAACAATATTACTTGAAACAAGGAGAGGTGAAAATGTTAGCTTCCTTTAACTTAGAGACATAGGGCAATAAAAAAATACCATTTTGGGGTTTTGAAAGAGTGTGTTTGTGTGTGTGTTTTTGTGTGTGTGTGAAATACACATAAAACAGAGACTCTAATGATTACAAAAAAAAAGAAAACTAGAGTATATAAAAACAAACAATGAATGTGAAATGTTTCTTAAAATGCTAATTAAAAAGAAGGAAAAGCAGCTGCCTGACCACAGCATAATGGTGTAAACACACACACACACACACAACTTGTAAAATTCCATACTTTCATTCTCTCTGGTGAATTATATCTGATTTAGAACTCCAAAATTATTCTTATTGTAACAATCTCCTTTGTTTATCATTGCCTATTGAGAAAACTTTTGTCACTTTCAACAAACCAATAAATCCCACTGATGCTGCTGAACCACAACAAGCTGTATTGAAAGTTTGGCACGAGGAAGTGTCACATTACCTACGCTCCAGTCTGTTGTCAGCTCCTCTCCTCATCAATGGTTGTACAAATAATCCTTTATCCAAAAAAAGCTTTTATTTCTGGGATAAACCATGAAAGGGGTGCTATGATACATGTATCCCTAGTGCCAATTCTCTTTTGAATATTCTAGATTCCCTCAGCATGTATTCTCAACCATGGTTCTCCTTCAATATTCTTACCTTTAAAAATTTTCACCCTCTTCCCATCTCCTCCTGTTTTTTGACAAGGTGGGTATATGATAGAGCTTTGTATTAGTCTGTTTTCATGCTGCTAATAAAGACATACCCTAGACTAGGTAATTTATAAAGGAAAGAGTTTTTGGTTTTTTGTTTGGTTGTTTTGTTTTGTTTGAGACAGAGTCTTGCTCTGTCGCCCAGGCTGGAGTACAGTGGCACAATCTCAGCTCACTGCAAGCTCCGTGTAAAGGAAAGAGTTTTAATTGACTCACAGTTCCACATGGCTGGGGAGGCCTCAAAATCATGGCAGAAGAGCAAGGTACGTCCTACATGGTGGTAGGCAAGAAGCTTGGGTAGGGGAATTCCCATTTATAAAACCATCAGATCTTGTGACACTTAATCACTACCATGAGAACAGTATGGGGGAAATTGCCCCCATGATTCAATTATCTCCACCTAGCACCACCCTTCCTACATGAGGATTATTACAATTCAAGGTGAGATTTGGGTGGGGACACAGCCAAACCATATCAAGCTTAGAGAATCAGACACTTGGCAAAGAATCTTTATAACCCTAGTAAGACCTACCATGCATTGAAAGCCAACTGTTGAAACAATGAGTAAAGTCCATTGCTTATATTACCTCTGCTCCTTATGTACTAGTGTATGAAATGGGTATCTCTACCTGTTTCTCAGGTAAGGGAGGAAGTTGGGGCTAAGATGGGTCAAATAGGTTGCACCTGGTTTTACACCTAATCAAGATCAGAGCTGGGAGGTAAACCCAGGTCTACTTTAAATACCATTTTCATTCCAGGAGGAAAGATATCCATTCACTTATTTATTTAATCATTCAGAGAGTATTTGGGATCCTACACTGAAGGGTGTTTTGTGATAAATTCAAAGTCAGAATTTCTTTCCAACACTCATTCTGCAGTTAAGATGGGACACAATGATCGAAAACAGGAGAACATGCTATATTTCCCCATGCTTCAGCCCTAGGCACAAAGGTCTTCTTATAGACAGAGCTCCACTGGCTCAAGTGACCCATGAACACAGGAAAAGGAATACAGTGCAGTGAGCTAATCCCAGACTGATCTTATATATCCATCCTATGTCTGAACCACTTAATTTTTTTACTCAAATAAATCAACAGAGTGCAGAGTCAGCCTTCTGTGGGCATCTCTAGAGTAATTAGAATAGGTTCTAAAGGCTCTCTTTGTCTAACTTGGTGTGGAGGCATTGCTGACACTTTACCGTGTGATAACGGGCAAGTGACAGCCACAGACTCATCAGTTCACACATCCCTCACCTGGTATTTCTAAAGCCGTTGTACTTTTTTCTCCTATTTTTTAAAGAAATGTTTTATCATAAGAAATTTGGCGTGTTCAGCTTTTAAAATTTTTTTCTTATGCATTTGTCCAGAATGAAATCCCTTGACACTATCACATTTGTCCCAGACACAGCTTTTGGACAAAATAGCCTTTACAGATCATTCAGAGGAATATTCATTGAGCAGTAAGTGAATTACAGTCAGTCGAAGCTTGCATAAATTACAGCTTCTGAGTGAAGGAAATAAGAAGAAATACATGATGAAAGCTGAGGCACATCAAGAAGCCCATCACCTAAGATTATTGTATCTCATGACATATTCCCCTAAACATGCTTCTCTTGGCTTCCCCTGTGCCATAACATGTATTCTATGAGAAAATGATAATAATTCTTGATTCCTCATGCTGACCTCCACATTTCACAGGTCAAGTAATGTTGAACATTTTAATTCCCAAAATTGCCTTCAATACATCCTTTCAATGCACTATCTCTCAACAGAGCAATTGAATTTTATTCTCCACCTACCCCAACATATGCACACACATTTGTCTCTATTGTCTTTGTGGTCAGCCCTTCACCGTTGTATTGGCAGAAGAATCTTCTACGTGACAAACTAATTGAATCACTGCCTTGGTCAAAGTCCTTTAGTAATTCCAAATTGATCAAAGCATAAAATCCCCAAAAGTGAAAAAATGTCCCCACATTCTGTTCAAATTGTCCTTCCATCCTTATTCCCAGAACGTTAATGTTTTAAAGAAACCAAGCTGCTCGCTCTTTCTAAAGCACATCCTGTCCTTTCACTGGGCTTATCCTGAACGGACCAAACAGAATGCTCTTCTTTCTCTTCCCCACCTGCCTGAATCTGGAACTTTTTTCTGTTTTCTCAGGTTGAGTTAGTTCTGCCCACCTTTGAGTATCAACACTTGACATATGCCAACCACGAATGGTCCTGACACCCTGATGGGAATGACTCTCCTGTTTGCTTCACTCACAAAAAATGAGCTCTTCCATTTAAAGGGCCATTTCACTTTCAGTTGTTATTGAAATATTTCATTAAAAATATTTTTGAATGAATGGATGGATGAATCTTGAAAAAGTTTGATTAAAATATGGTGCCAGCAGTCAGTAGCAGTTATGTTAGTTGGGGAGTGAGTCAGAGTATTGAAGGTCTCTTCCACACGGTCCCTACATAGTGGTCTTCCTGGCCTTGACCAAGCCTCCCATCATCAAGGGGAAATTCTGCCATTTCTTCATCATCATTTTCTTATCTGTAGGCCCTAGTGTCTAATGACATCGGATGAACCAGATGCTTAGTTTCTCCAGTAATGTTTTTGTCCTTTCTTGAACAAAAAGTTGTATAATGTTACTTAATCATATATGATTTTTTAAAAAATTGTATAATATTACTTAATCATACATGATTTTCTTAAAAATCATATAATGTTACTTAATATACATTCTTTGTGATGGGACAAAAATGGCAACTTTATTAGAGGAAGAGTTAATGTAAAAACCAACAATCTATTCTAGTTGCAATCCTCATTCAAAAATTCAAATCAGCTGATAAAATTGACATAAATTTTCAGATGTAAAACAAAGACATCTTCATCCTCTTAGTCTCCAGATAGATATCACTCGCCTGGAAAATTTTCTCTGACTCCTAGATTTGGGAGAAACTCACTGCTATGAATTGTCCCAGCACCCTGTTCTTACCATGCGACTCATAATAGCGGTAGCTATTTATTTCTTGTCATCCTTCCATACCTATCTAGGAACTCCTTGGGAGAGGGACAGGATCTTCCTAACCACTGTATTCCTCATGCCTAGTACAGTGATGGCACCCAGCAGAATTTCAGTAATAGGATTTAATGAAAGAACAAATGAATAGAGTTTGCTGGTAGAAAACAAGGCTAATTTTCAAACTTTCCCTGCTGACATGAAGAAGAAGGTATTTTCTTTAGCACCAACATGGTTTTTTTTAGCGCTCCCCAGCACTAAAGTGGAAATATGACAATGTACAGTTCACAGGAAGTAGATATTTCACACTATGATTAGTCTTTTTGGGTTGTTGACTGAACCAATCTTAGGACTTTAAAAGTCATAGGAATGCTGTAGCCCTATAACCATGAGTTCATGGCTGGCTGATTAGGCTCCTGAGACTAAAGCAACAGACACACAATCAAACCTCCTACTCTTGCTGCCTAAATTTTATTTATTATTTTTATTTATTTATTTATTTATTTATTTATTATTTTTTGAAACAGGGTCTTGCTCTGTCACCCAGGCTGGAGTGCAATGGTGTGATCTCGGCTCACTGCAACCTCTGCCTCCTGGGTTCAAACAAGTCTCCTGTTTTAGCCTCCTGAGTAGCTGGGATTAAAGGCGGCTGCCACCACGCCTGGCTAATTTTTGTATTTTTAGCAGACACGGGGTTTCACCATGTTGGCCAGGCTGGTATTGAACTCCTGACTTCAGGTGATCCACACACCTCACCCTCCCAAAGTGCTGGAATTACAGGTGTGAGAAAACATAAATGAAAACTGCAGTAAAGTAAACAAAGCAAAAGTGACAATAAGGAGTTGAAGGCAGCTGAGAGTTGAAAGTGTCCTGCAAAAGTCTCAAACTTTGCCGTTTTACTCAGAGAACTCTCTAGAGCCCTGGTCTAAGGTCCAGACAGACATGGTATTATCTGACTTTCTGTTCCCAAATCCCATCTGATTACGTTGCAGCCTCAGTTCTTTATCTGCTTCCCAGCCTATGTGGGTTTAGTGAATGACTGGCTCCCTGAAAACCCATCAGTCCAGATAGTGCCTTTCAGGGGAACCTCTTTCCTCCCAGGCTTGCACAGTGTATTTCAGCTGGGATGCCTCCTGATGACTCCCTCTGGCTGGTTCTGCTACATTCGCTCACTAACCTTTAGATACTCATTCATTATTAATGCAAAAGTGAGTGGTCATTGCCGAGTTGCAGTGGAAAGTCACACTTAACTTTCAATGCCATCTTCCTCTATTCCTGAAAGATGCTATTAGAATTAGGCAGGATGTTATAAGCTGAGAGAACAGCAAAGGAAAAGCATTTGCCTGCCTTCCAACCTCTCATAGCAATGATTAGAACACATTAAGGATTCTTTTCATTCTAGTAAGTATTTTTCTAGGTTTGCTCGAAGACCTAAATCAAGTTAGGGTAGGTTTTCGTAAGTGCCCGTGGTTTGGGCTGAAACCGAAAACTGATTCAAATGATGCAACTATTATGAAAGTTTTTCTGTAATAAAGTAATCATAAAATTGAAATTATGAAATGACTAGTGTTCACTGCCTTTCCATTTTCCAAGTAATTATCTGACGCTTCTGGGGTTTAGCAGATTTTTCTGCTAAATTTTTATTAAGATGAAAAAAGAAACATTTGTAAATAGCACCAAAGGTAGGATGTATTAAAAAGATACAGAGATGCTCAAAAGGCACTGAAATAAACTCTGTTTAATTTCTACTGGGGTCTTGCAAGCTTTTGGACACCCGAGTCAAATATTAAAACAACATTAGGGATTTTTTCTTAAGTTCAGAAACCCCCACCATCTAAGCAAAACATTTAAATTCTATTTTGGCCTTTGTTAGAGTTGGAGCATCATCAAACAGTACTTTTTCTAATCTGACATTTTAGAGGTTGGCAAATAATGACCATGAGCCACATTCAGCCCACTGTCTGTTTTTCTAAATACAGTTTTATTGGAGCACAACCACACCCATTTGTTTATGTCTTATCTGTGGGTGCTTTTCACACCTCAATGGCAGAGTTGAGTAGTTGCAACAGAGACCATATGGCCTGTGGAGCTGAAAATGTTTACTATCTGGCCCTTTACAGAAGAAGTTTGACAATGCCTGCTTTAAATAAAATATGCATTCTATTAGCTGGAGCTAGGCTTTTACAGATTATTAAAATATAACTAAATCCAATCCTTAACTTTCTGAGCTGCCATTACTCCCAAATATATTCCATTTGTGGCTGATAAAAACAATGTTTTTTTATTTTCTTTACCTCTCAAAAAATGCACTGAAGAAAACCTAACATATCAGAAGACCTGTCTATGGAAAAATAGGGGGAAAAGTCTCCTAAGAACAACCTCAGAGGGTTTTTAGAAGAGCAAACATTGCCCAATTTGTTCCCAACCAGTCCCATTTCTGTTGGTAAAATAAGCTCACAGCTTCAGTCATTACTCTTTGGGCCAGCAAGATCAAAGATGTGTTTATGTGAATGTGCCAGGGAAGGAGACAAAAAGCAGAGGTTCTCCACCATGGCTGCATATTGGAAGCACCTGGGAGATGAAGACAGTTCGAAAGCCAAGTCCCTCCCCAGGCCAATTAAATCAGAGTATGTGGAAATGTGGCCAGGGCAGCAGAATGTTTTCAAATTCCCCAGGTGGTTCTCCATTGCAAATAGAACTGAGAGTCGCTGGGTTCCAGTAAGGAAGGGTGCTATATGGAACAAGGACGTCACTTAAATTTGGGGGTTTTCCTTTCCACTGTAAAATGAGAGGGTTGAAATGAAGTTCTCTGAGGTCATTCCCGTCTGTGATTATAAGTGCAGTTCAATTGAATTAAGTTAATTTCCCCAAAAGAGGAAGCATGGAGCATTTTGACACCTTCTGTTATGAAGAAATATGTGGAATGGAAAGTGTTCAGAGCACGAATGGGTTCACTGCCGTGGGAACATGGGAAAGAAGGCTTGACGGTATTTCTGCTACTACTCTGTGGTTCAGTACTTCAGAAAGAAGAGAAGCCAGAACTTCTCTGGGACCTGTGTCAGACGCATGCTGTTACTCCTGCTGGCCTTTGCAGGCACCTCCAGTTCTGGTGGTTCACTTTTAGTTAACAGACAATAACCGAACACATGGTCTGAGGCTCACACTGTGCAGAGAGAGGGTGAAGCTTCTCAAGGGTGAATATTTTCTCTAGAGGAAAACAATGATGGGATAGATTCTGGTTCTGCTGCTTACCAGCTGTGAAAGATGGGATTTATTCATTCTCTCTAGACATCAGTTTTCTCATCTGCACAATAAGAGTAATAATCATCTCTCTATTCTGGTATCCTACAGAGGATTAAATAAAATAATGCATCAGAAGGCTTGGCAAAGTGTCCACCACAATGTAGGCTAAACAAAGAGTATATCATCATTACAATCATTTTCATTATTATTACTGTAATCATCATGATGTATTGGCAACACACAAGTGAATCAAAGGTACTGGCTACCAGTGATTTTCAATTTGTGGTTACAAATGACACCTAACAGGGCTGACTTTGTTAATATTTGAGGGGCTCTATAATAGTAAGATGGGAAGGTGTCTTTCTGTATAAAATACCTCAGACATTACGAGGGAGCCAGGCATGGTGGCTCCCGCCTGTAATCCCAGCACTTTGGGAGGCCAAGGCAGGTGGATCACTTGTGGTCAGGATCTTGAGACCAGCCTGGCCAACATGGTGAAATCCCATCTCCAAAAACACAAAAATTAGCCAGGCGTGCTGGTGCGTGCCTGTAGTCCAAGCTACTGGGGAGGCTGAGGCAGAAGAATCACTTGAACCCAGGAGGCGGAGGTTGCAGTGAGCTGACATCATGCCACTGCACTCTGGCCTGGGTAAAGGAGTAAACTCCATCTCAAAACAAAACAAAACAACAACAACAGCAACAACAAGGCTAGCAAAGGGCAGCATGTATGACAGGCAGGATGCACACTAACTCCCATTCCCTCCCCCACTGCAGAATGTACAGCATCGCATGTGCAGATGGTTATTACACAAGTGTGTGTCCATAAGCAATCTAGGGTGTATTTTGAATGCTTTTAAAGCTTCCTATGAATAGTAGCATATTAAATGGATACTGGTGAAACCTGGATTTTCACTCAACATTAAGTTTTTGAGATTTATCCATATCAACACACGCCATGCAAGCCCACAGGTTCTAACTGCTATATTCTATGTCACTTTACGATTTTGCCATGATTTATTTATCCTTTCTTATGTGGCTGAATATTTGAATCATTTCCATTATTCTGTATTACAAAAAAAGAAATGTTGCAGTGTCCATTTTACATGTTTCCTTGTGTACAAGTGTGGGAGTCTCTTAGTGCGTTTACTGAGGAGCTTTATCACACAGAATACGCCCATCTTTAAATTCTCAGTCTCCTTTCCGGGCTCATTGTTATCTCCTGGATTTTGTAAGTATCGGTGTGCCCCACAGCTCAGTTCTTGCATCTCTTCTCTTCTCCACCTGCATTTAGGTAATACCACCTGGTTCCATGTCTTTAAATACCACCCAGGATTACTATCTCCAGTCTGGACATACTTCCTGAAGTCTGGGTTCATACATCAACTTGCTTACTTAGTATCTTTGTAGATATCTAAAGGGACATATGACGGACATTGTAAATGCTCGCCAATGGGGTTTCTCTTCCAGGCACACAGACTGCATTTCTCATCGCACTTTCACCAACATGGGAGAATGTGACTACTTCTTGTTGAAAAAAAATAAGAATGTACCACTTGTCTTTGGTTCCCTGGGAAATCGAGTCACAGATTTGGTATGGGAGGTTATTGGGCCAGCCCTTCAGGAATTCACCTGTATGGGAGTTAGAGGTGGAGATCTGGGCAGAGGGAAGACTTGAACTGAACTGTGATTCATTTCCAGCAGAGCCTTAGCTGATCCCGCAAGGGCCCTGGAGGTGAAATCGCATCTCAGAATTGTTCCAGATGGAGGCATGAGCTGTGTCTTTTTCCTCCCATGTCAGCCATCATTAGAAGTGGGCAGCTTCTAGGGAGAGGACATTTCCTTGTGCTAGATGGCTTTCTTTATCTGAGAAATTTATGGGGAGGGATGTCCCGGGGAGCCACCCGACACTTCAACAACAGGGATAATAAATACCTCAGACCTCAGGGGGAGTGATGAGCAACACACCCCCACATCCACTGCACACTCCTAAGCTGAGGTGGTAAAAAAGAGCCTGCTCAGTTTTCAATCTTGTACTTCATTCAGCAATGAGTGTGAAGACCATGAATGGCCCCCATCTCAAATCCTTCAAGGAGCTACAAGGGCTTAAGTCATCTGAACCTGTATCACTTCTCCAACCTCACCTTGAACCATTCATACTTATCGTTCTCCAGTATAGAATGACCCCCCACTCCACTCAGCTATTCACTAATTCCCTCACTTCTTTCAAGGCACTGCTCAGATGTCATCTCATTGTTATGAGCCCTTCTCTGATCACCATCTATTTCAAAAAATATATGTGAATAAATTTATTTTTTAAATTATTTTCCAGAGCATTCATGTCATCATAAGACACATTACAAATTTATTTTTAAACAAATAAAAGACTAGCCCCATCTAAGCATAACTGTCTGCACTTCTCACCTACTGCAACTGGAATAGCCACTGCATTCAATAAATGTTTGTTGAATAAATGAATTGAATATAGTAGGCATTAGTGTTAATGGTTTGGGGATTCTTTTGAATTTTCTATTAAAATATGTTATTTGCATATAATAGCAATTTTATCTATTACTTAAATGTTTAAAGTTTTCATTTCTTTCTTTTTTTTTCTTTTCATATTGCAATGGCTAGGACCATTCTTGAGGATTGTTTTTACCACAAAAAAAGAGATAAATTTTATCAAGTTATTTTTCTGCATGAATGGAAATGGTGATGCAACTAATAATTAATGGAGTTTCTGATGTCTAACCATACTTAGGTCTCTGTGATAACCTTCCTAATCTTTGAAATCTATGTCAAAATGCAGAGCTCAAGAGATATAGACCACAGATTCTGATGGCAATAAGACCTTCTGATCACAGAGAGAGCTGTTTTTCTATGAGAGACTATTCCACGGACAGAGGTGGCGCTTTTGAAGCATAACCAGGCAAAGTCAATGCCTTCAGGAGCCAGACAGATGCTGTGAATCAGGGAAACAGACTGAGGGTGGAGATGGGCACACGGGAGATGCCACCTTCATACATGGTGCTCAGAGGAAAATCAGTACCGACTGTTGCCATGTGAAAATGAAGGCCCAGTGTGGCCAGGTCATCTGATATTTGTCTAGACAGACTAGAAATCTGGATATTTAAAACGTAAAATATTCTACTTTTTAAGTACCTTTTAATAAATTCAAATTTATACAAGAAGACATCATGTGGTCCAAAAAAACTCATCTCTAGGCCAAGGAAGAATTAAGAGTTTGAGACTTCCAGTGTACAAGAATGAGTTTATGTCCTTCTCTGATTTTAACAGGCATTTTAACTCTTTTATCTAGATTTCTTCACTTCTGAATTATGGCTAACAGTAATTGTCTCACTGAGTTGTGGTTTGTAAATAAGTATCATAAGCATTAAAGCAATGTTGAAAAGAAGGAAGTTCACTATGACTCCCAACCGGTGAAGGCATCACACTGGAGGAGAGAGGAGAGAGGGAAGCTGGAGCTCATGTCCATCACGCCTTGAAGAAATCCACTCTGAGAGCAGCCCATGAGCCACATCAATACAAGTAGCCATAATAAGTAACGGGAGCTGTTATATACATTTTTGTTTTCTACTGTCCAGTACACCCAAAATCTAATGTTTATCATTTAAAAAAATGGTGAAGTTAAGAACTCTCCTTGTGGGTGGCCGCGTGGGTGAAGTCACATGTGTGACAGGGATGATCCTACTGCAGGTGGCAGTGTGGGTGCTCAGGATATTTCCGGATGCCACTTTTCCATCTCCTTTATCCCTTGTGTCTGCAAGGCGGGCCCTTTACGGATCACCAAGAGGAAAGATGCTAGAGTCCAGTCCTAAAGGAGATTCCAGTCCCAGGAAAGCCATCAGACACATAGAGAGGACACCTACACAAGGCAGTGTGGGGGTGGGGGCGGGGGGCTGCGGGGCATCTAGCCATGGTAGCCATGGCCCTGCCAGCACTCAGCCTCTGTGCCCTGGTCCCCAGCATATAAAATGACGATTGTACAATTCCAGTGTTGAGGGACTGTACCAACCCCGATGAGATTAATGCATGTGACAGGTTTTAGCACCTGGAACTTAGTGAAGCCTCAATTACTATGTATCTTTGGTATTCTTATTAAAGACAAGCAAAATACCACGGTGAAATAACACGGTGCTCCAAAGAGAAGACGTTTGGAATGCCTGCGGGGATGGACGGCCAGGCCATATGAAAGAGGACTTCACAGATGGAGAGGGTTTCCACAGGCAGTGACGCTCATGGTACAAAGCAGAAGATTCTCCCAAAATAAAGACCAGGGTGAACAAAAGCACTCAACTGGGAATAAACTGTGATGAACAAGTTGAAGCCGGGTTATTCCAAAAATCATCTGGCTGTGGCCAGGATCAGGACTCCACCACCACCCCCGGCCCCCGCCCCCACCCAGTGTGTCCAGGTTCTGTGGTCACCGTCATAGAGCCAAGGGCATTTCTCTAGTGCATACAGAAGCCTGGTTCCAGCACCCTGCGTCAGGACCACATTCCTGGGCGGAGACTCGGGCAGACCTGTGGGCTGGGACTAGGAGTGGTGGGCCCTGAGGGCCTGGAGAAACACCAAAGCGAGCTGAGTGCGCGCGCGGAGTGCACACCTGCGGTGACGCCCGGCCGGCCTGGCCTCACCTGCCCGGAAGGCTCTGCGGGCGGAGAGGGCGCATCTGCGCGGCCCCACGGAGCCCGGCTCTGCGCGCCGCTGATTAGCATGCAGGGCCCCCGCGGCCAGGCGCGCAGCTGGACGGCAGCTTCCCCCCGGCCTTTGAAAAAGCCTCTCTCACAGCTGGAGAGAAAAGAGCCCCCGCGCCACTGGCCGGCCATTGTGAGCGGCAAAGAGCCCTTCTTTGGGCGGAAGCAGAAGTTGGCCCAGCTGTCGAGCATTTGAAATGTAAAAGGCCGAGGCGCGCGGGAGGGGAGGCGACAGAGGCCGCGGCAGAGGAAATGCAAGCTGCCCCGGGGGTGAGGAAACCGTGGGCTGAGAAGTTCACTTTGAGCAATCAATAAGGCTTTCAGAGACCAGGACAGAAAAAAACAGTTCCGGAGAGAGGGCAGCGAGAGCGGCCAGCCCCAGCCGCGCTCCTGCAGCCGGGCTGCGCCTGCCACTCGCAGGCCTGCAGCCCATCCCAGGACGCAAGGAGCGGCTGGGCTAGCCCAGAAGTCTAGGGCTGACCGGGGTGAACTGAGAGATGGACTCATTGCGAGTGCCTGGCTGTTCCATACACCCCACTCCACCTCTTGCCCACAGTGACCTCCTCCCTAGGGCGCATGAAGCCCTTGCACCCCGCGCTTAGTCTCCAGCCCACGCTGCTCTGTGACACGGCTGGGGTCTCCACCTCACTCTCTGTGTCAGGGTGTGCACTTCCTTCTCCCTTTGGGTCCCCTTGCTCTCTGAACAGTCCTTAAAAGCACGCTCAGTCCCCTCCTGCCGCTCTTGCTGAGTCCCAGCCTCAGGGCTCCACGTAGAATCAGGCAACCCCTGCTGGTCTGTCTTTCTGTTGACTTTTGACAAGCCTCCACCATGGTTCCTATCACTAATCAACTGTGTGTCCACCACCCAGCCTTCCTCAGACCTTGTGCAGTCTGCTAGGAATCCGCACGCCACCACCCTGACCTTAGGGAGTTGGCAGAGGAGGGCAAATGCAACTATCTGGTGACCTAATCGAGGCAGGGGCCACCCAGGGCAGTCTCTTTAGGACAGTGGAGAAAAGAGAAATACAACTGTTTACTGCCTGGCTGCAGCACCCTGCGCTGTATCCTTTCAGGACGCCTGTAACACCCCTGGCTTACCTGCAGTAGACAATTCACCGTGTTGTTCCTTCTAGACTGCAATATGGGGCATGTCATTTTTGTGTCCGACACTCCCTTTAAACCTGCTTGGTGGGCTAGTTCCTCCTTTTGTCCCTAGATGAAATTTAAGGTAGGCTTCAATACTTTTTTGTTGTTGTTTTTTTGGACATGTAAAAAATCAGGTTACTTGATATCACAAAAACAATATAGCAGATAAGTAACAGTTCATTCCCATGTATTAATCCAACTTGAAAACTTGATTGAAGCTGAGACTTCTTTCTCCAACCACACCTGAAGCCTTGGTTGGCTTCTTCAGCCCCTCTCTGCCTAGGGCTGCTAAGGTCCTCTGCTCTGCTATGACTGTAATACCTGACTCCACCAGAACTGGGATTTGGAACACTAGGGAGTTGAGAGTTCTTACTTGACAACTTCCGTGCTCAGTGGGCATCCACACACGGGGCAGCAGGTGTGTAAAGGGACTCTTCCTCTCTTGGGATGCTTTTGTGGGGTCTCCCAGTCTCCCCTTACCACGGAGGGTGAACACTCGGAGTTCCCTTGATGTGGGAATGCAGCTTTTGTGTATCAATCAGAATCCAGACTGGAAAGCAGAAACATACTGGTTATCTTAACAGAGAGAATTGAATTTAGGGAAGGGGTTAGACAGGCATAGCAAGAAATGACCTGCTCGAAGTCTGGGGGAACAAAGGAAAGAAGTTGTGTTGGGAGAATCTGGGAGCTGAGAGGAGCCTCACAGAGCCAAGCCCCACAGGAATGGAATGTGTGCTGCTGCTGGTGCTGATAGTTCTAGGATCTGGAGAAGTCAGGGAGCTGGGACTCAGCTTCTGATGTGGGAGTGCTATTGAGGAGGGAGAATGGTTATAGAAATGTTAAAAAACCCAGACACTGAACTGAAATCCGACTCAAGAAGCACTACAGGGCAAGCGGTATTGCTCGGATGCTGCTGGCATAAGCAGTGCGCAAAGAGAAGGGTGGTGTCCCCTTTCCCTCCTCCAGCCTTACTGTTTCCCTTAGTAGCACATAGGCAGAACTGATCAGGGAGCCCTGGCAAAGGGGAAAGGTGGTTTGGCCTCTCCCAGCCTTCCCACCGTGACAAGGCTAAGCAGTGAAGGTTGAGTTTGGAGCTGAGAAACTAGCTTAATAATCAGAGCACCATGCCTGGTGGTCACTTATTTCCTTCCTCAGAACCTCGGCATCTGGGTATGCTTTGATCAAGGTCTTCTTGCCCTAGTAAGGGTCTCTCTTTGACGGGAGTTACTCTAGCACACTTTTGCTCCCGTGTTCATGGCTCACGTCTGTTCCGCGGGGAAAAATCCCACGTGCTTCCTCAAAGGTCAGCCTCCTCCACTCAGCGGTCCCACGGCTGCCTCCCACTTCTCACCCTCCCAGTATTTGCGGAGCGAGCCAGACGTGACTTCACTGTGTCCACCAAAATACAACCACAATATCTGGCTCGTGAGTGATTTCTTTAAAGTGCCTTTTCTTTGACTGGGGATGACAAGGGAGAGCATCTTCATTCTTTGTAGTTCATCAAAACTCATCTGAGGAAAATCTTGCTCCAGCTCTGGCTTCCTTCAAACCTTTCATATCATCAGATGGGTGAGGGGTGATGAGCTGTGCAATTGGTCTTCTCTTCCTCTTTCTAAATCCAGCCTCAAGATCTTGCACCTCGTTGTGGAGTAAGACATCTGTTGATTTATTAGTTCCTCAACTGAAATTTCCATTTTATCATTCTGTTAAATTTTAATTAATAAATTCCAAATTAGAGGAAAATATTATATGTCTTACAAAAATGCCATTTATACCTTCTCTTCCTTACCATGTATGAAGCTTTATCAAGATAACAAAAAGGAAAAGACATCATCGTTTCCCATGGTGTTTTTGTGACCTAAAGGGAAAGTAGAAATACAAAGAAATCATTAGAATGCAGGATGCGCAAAGTTGGGAGGAGCTATGTGGAAGAATGCACAGATGAAGGAACTTTGGAGTTAGGTTTTAAACAAAAAATTTGCTGGCTAGAGAAAGAGCTACAGGGAGCTAGAGAAAGAGCTACGTCCGTCCCTGTCTTTCCAGGCAGGGATGGGAGTACTTACAATGACTTGGGGCTGTAAAATAGAAGATGTCAAAGGCAAAGAAGAAATATGACAGTGATTCCACTGCACTCGGTCATATATACCAAGCAGCTTGCTTGGGTTTTGGAGGTAATGATGAACTAAAATCAAGTCTTGATGACTCACTGGGTGTGATAATTGAGGGGCAAAAAAAGTCAAATAAATCACGAAAATATTTTATATCACAAAATTGGCTTTATAGCCTTGCCAATGGCTAGATATTAGGGAGATTGGAAGGCTGGTGATAAGATGTCCCAGATGATGGGTCTGTGATGCCTGTGGGGCCTGTGGGTGGAGACATTCAGCATCAGTGCGATAAGTCCAGAAGTCCGGTGAGAGCCCAGGCTGAAAGGAGAGCTGGACACATTGCCTCACCGCTTTCAGTTTGCTTTGCTCTCCATCTCATGACACAAAGCCATGAAAAAATGGGTATTCGAATATGACTTTTGAAACCACTGATACATAAAATAGACACATCTCTTATGTGCATGCTCATTTGAAATAAAGCTGCATAGGTGATAGATAAACCTTAGAATATTTGGTCCAAATGGATATTTAAGAGACCACTGAGGAAGACTATTTCTAAAGACATTTCACCTCTCCCCACCCCAAGCAACACCTTAATTACAGCCACACAAAAATGCATTCAAAATCCAAATTTTGTTGCAACACAGTGCCATCTAGTGTTCAATCCGACTAATACCAAGAGACAATTCCCCAGGGATGCATTGAAGCTCATTCGGACTGAAAACCTGACCCGGGTGTTAAAGGAAAAGTTTTAGATGAAAAGCAAAGTCTCATTGTCTAGTCTTCCTTCTAGTGAGTGGTAATGCTCTGTATGTGTTTAGACATAAAGAAGCAGATGTGTTCATCAAGTTTGATTCGGAAGTCGTGCTTTTAACCTAGAGCCATGCACCTTCCTCATCTGATGAAAGTCTTCCTGGCATATTTGCTTTTGAATAAGATTTTTAGTTAATTATAATATAATTATTAGAATTTGGATTATCCATTTTAATTATAGTCATTAAAATTTTATGTAAATATAATTACCCCAAATATTATGTTGGCTTGAAATTGCAAGATTGGTTTGCAGATAGTTGTATTCTCAACTGCTAGACTCAGAAGGGCAGAGGCAAGAAACGTACCTATTTGTCTTAGCGGATTTTCACATCTGGAACAGCATTGCAGAAGTGTGTAGCTTGGTGTGGGAGCCTTCCCCAGGACGAGCGTAACCTGTGTTCTTGCCCCAGTGTTGTCATTAACCTGCCGTATGACCTACAGCAAGACGCTTAAGCCTGTGAGCCGTGTCTGTAACTTAGGAATAAAACAGGGTGATCTTTCTCATGTGCTTACCATAAACTCGATGATATGCTTCCTTTATTTTATTTTGTCAATCTTCACTACTTCACTTTGCTATACATGTTATGTTCCTTGTTTTATAAATGAAGAAATTAAATTCAGAGAGGAGAAAGTGAATATGCAGGCGGTCAGCTTGTCCGTGGCAGACCTGGTGGGGTGAGCCAGGGTGACCTGTGTCCAAGGGGACCCTGTCTTTGTATGCATCGCAGATATCATATACATCGCATCATTTAAATTCGAGGTACAGTAAAGCATCATTCAGTAGAGCCTGAAAGTTTCTTCACAGAAGCAAATGTTAAGAGGATTTCATAGATCTACCCCTATCTATGTCTATTTCTGTATCTCTATCTGCCTCTATTTCTATTGATTATCATTTACCAAGCTAGGCATCTACCTATCTACGTATTATCTCTGCCCACATTCATCTATCTATTCGTCTATAAGCTATATCTGTATTATATAGCTATCGATCTGTTTATCTGCTTATCTATCCATCTATCTATCATCTGCCTATCCCCAAGAAGCAATTGGTTCAAGGAAAAATATGTTATTAATAGTGATGCCAACATTAGATGATTTGGGTTTGGCAGTCTCCGCAAAGGAATGCTAATCT
The DNA here is from genome assembly GCF_000001405.40 of Homo sapiens. Taxonomy (NCBI): domain Eukaryota; kingdom Metazoa; phylum Chordata; class Mammalia; order Primates; family Hominidae; genus Homo; species Homo sapiens. The sequence goes on along the minus strand of NC_000002.12, from coordinate 7,426,192 downwards.
TAAGAACTTTATTTAAATACCCCATTTCATGTTTCAGCTCATGGCAACCTTACAGTTTAGATATTGATATTTACTACTGTCCAGATAAAAGGCTGATAATACCTGCTTTCTAACTTTCCTGTGATAGAATTCTGTCTGGAATTAAAATAAAATCAAGCTGTTATTCTTCAAGACCTCACGTTAGTAAAGGTTTTTATGAGTTTGTACTACCCAACTTTTGTGACTGTGAAGGGAGTGGGTTTTCTCATGTGCTGCTGGTGTGGGTATAAATGGGGCAGCCTGAGAGTAGAAATCTGATGTTATTGTTCGTGTCTGCAAATCTGCATCCCCTGTCTCAACAGTCTGACTTTTTATTCTACAATTTTTTTCTACTCATGCAAGTACAAATACTTGTATTCACTGCATTATTTATTGCAGTATTTAAAATACTAACTTTGAAGACAATGCGATTGCCCAGCCAAAGAATAATATTAAATAATGTAGAGTCCATCCATATAACACCATGCAATCTATGTAACTGTTACAAAATTATGCTATATTTGTGTGTACCGTCATATAAGGAGATCTAAGACATAATCTTCAGTGAAAAACTGCAAGTTGCAAACCTATATATTGAAAGCATATGTGCATGTGTGTTAACCACATTTACAGAGTGGTTATTATGTTCCAGACATTGGTCATAGAAGTTTACAAATATTAACTCATTTAATTATCATAATAGCACTATGAAGAAGGAGCCATCATTAATCCTCTAGATAAGGAAACTGTGACGTGGAAATGTTAAATAACTTGCCAAATGTACCTCTCTCTCTCTCTCTCTTTCTCTCTCTCTCTCTTTGTCCCTCTCCCTGTCCCTCTTCCTACCTCTGTCTCTACTTCCACATTCGCGTATGCAATGGTGTCTACATAGGTAGCAACATTTTTTCTTTTCTTTTCTTTTTTGAAATGGAGTTTTGTTCTTGTTGCCCAGGCTGAAGTGCAATGGCATGATCTCGGCTCACCATAATCTGTGCCTCCCGGGTTCAAGCAATTCTCCTGCCTCAGCCTCCCAAGTAGCTAGGATTACAGGCATGTGCCACCATGCCTAGCTAATTTTTGTATTTTTAGTAGAGATGGGGTTTCTCCATGTTGGTCAGGCTGGTCTTGAACTCCTGACCTCAGGTGATCCTGCTGCCTCAGCCTCCCAAAGTGCTGGGATTACAGACGTGAGCCACCATGCCTGGCCTCGAAGGTAGCAACCTTTTAGTCAGTTAACTAGTTAACCTAGGAGAGTGAGATGAATTGAGATGGAAGGAAACATTTATTCCTCTATATATCTGGAAGTTGCTTATTTCAGATATATAAACAAATGAGTGTCATCTTCCCTCTCTGGTGTGGGATACTGGGTCTGTACTGAGCAACTTTCCCAGGTCCTTCAGCAGATCTGAGGCAGCTTGTGAAGGTGGAGGTTGTGTACCCCTCCCAAAATCTGGACTAGAAACAAAAGCAGTCGGCATTTGAAACCTTCCAGACAGCATGCCAACTTTGCCATCTGCTCGCCCAGTAGACAACGTGCGTAGGTCTTCCTTCCAATACTAGATCAGAACCCTGAGCTCTTCCAGAGCTTTCTTTCAACTACCTTCTCTGTTGTGTGTATCAAAAGCTAGACTTGGACAAGGAGATTTTAAGAAAACTAACCCCAGTCACTAGTTCTCCAATCATTCAGAGCTGTGAGAATGATTTGGAAAGTTTTTCTAAAAAATAAAATAAAATACACATTCCCATGTTCAATCTTCCATTCAAATTCAGTTAAATTAAGATAAGACCCCAGAATCAATATTTTTGGAACGTTTCCCAGGTGACACTGAAGGGCAGTCAAGTTTAAGAACCAAATGATGCTGTGAACTACATGATGTGTAGGAAGGTTCTAGTTCAAAGAAACTGGCTTTTTATAAAAGACGTAAGGGGCCTATGAGGCCTATGGGGTCTATCTGAAGGAAGAGAAATAACCATGACCTGGAGATACATAGAACAATTCCCAGATCCCTAACAAAATGGCCTGGTAGAAGAGCAGGATGTAGGGTCCCATGAAAGCAGGCTAGGGAGCGAAACAAAGTCGGGACAGTAGGCAACAATTCAAGCTTCACATAAAGGGTAACCATAACTGGTAAAGTGAAGGTTACTTCGGACCCAGCGCTTACCTCCAGTGAGATGAGAATCAGTGCATGGGCATTTTGACTCACTGTAGGACGCTGTGGTTTAGGATCCCTTTGTCCAAATTTAGGAAGATGGATGTCAAACTGGGGAAAGAGATCTTTCTTTTCCTTGCTCTGATTCTTCTGGGTAAAGACCAAGACTTTGAGTATTTCTCACATCTTTTTCGTTCTGTTGCCTAGGCACAGGATCATGGCTCTTTGCAACCTTGACCTCCTGGGCTCAAGTGATCCTCTCAGCTCAGCTTGCGGAGTAGTTAGGACTAAGGCATGCACCAACACATCTGGCTAATTATTTTTCTTAATTTTTTGTAGAGATGGGGGTTATTACTATGTTGCCCGGGCTGGTTTTGAATTCCTGGGCTCGAGGGATCTGCCCACCTTGGCCCCCCAAAGTGCTGGGATTATGGGTGTGAGCCACCGTGCTGGCCTCCCAGCATCTTTCCTCTCGCATAGGAGCCTAAGATTAGCTGGAACAAGACTTTGTCTGTGTGAAAGAGATCCAGACTGATTCTCTGGAATTCTTCAACAGTCGATTGTTGGATTTCTTGCCCTGCCAATGGCTAACATCCAACCAGGCCACTGGGTGAACTGCTCTGTGGTGGGCAGGAAGTAAGATGGGTGCAGAAATTATCAACTCTTCTTTATCTTGCCTGTCTCATGGTAGAAATAAGGAATTGATCCCCCTATCAGTGCCCTTTCTGAATATTCAATTTGGCAGGAACTCAATTATGTTTCTTTCTGATCCCTAACCTTAGAAAGAAGTGCCAAGGAGCTAAAAAATAAAAATAAAAATAAAATCAACAACTCACCTCCAAGACAAAAGGGATTACTATGCACAGGTCCTATGTCTAAATGAGGTTGCTGAGGTGTTGACCATATGAAAGGAAGTTTCCAACTCCACCCCTACACCATGCCCGCTCTTGCCCATCATTTCTTCTGTCCAATAAACCCTTAATTCATACCAAATCATGAATGTCATTCTTCTCATTGCTTTACTCTCCAAATCAGTTGATCACCAAACCCCATCAACTGTTCTCCCTTCAGCTCTGCTGTAACATGCCCTTCATGTGCTCTATCTTCAAACTCAATGCCTATTTAAAGCTGTTGACAGCACGCCACAGAAGGTTCCCGTCCTTGTCCTCAGACGTAATGCATGGTTCCACCAATGCTATGGAACGTAGACATTTTTGATACAGTCTATTATAGTCTTCTTCTATAAGAAAAGTGTAGTTATTTCATAACAGAGCTCCCTTGCCTTCAAGTCTCCCTCATCCAAACTCAGTAGTGTAGCAAGCAGAATAATGTTTCTAAAATGCAAACCCTATCTTGCAAATCCCGTGTTTAAAAAGCCTTCAAGGTGACATATTTCTTCAGCAGTAGCTTTCAAACTGTGCTCTACAAAGTTGCGGCAGTTTCCTGAAACATCTGAAGAAGAGAGAAGGCACTGGGTTGAATTCTAAGACCCTGCCATAATCAGTCAGGTAGCTCTGCTGGTATCCGTTTTATACATTTGGATTCTGGCTCAGATTTTATTTTGAAAGGGATCAACTTCTATTTTTAAACCTGGTCTGCAGAAAAAAGGCAAATTTCCTTAGTTTGGCTCACAAAATTCTACATGGGTTCCTATCTAATTGTTTACTCTCTGCCGTTTACTACTTTTGCTACCATTTCTATGTCCCTTAAAATGTAGTCACTCTTGAATTTTGTCTGTGATTTTGATCTGAAACAATCTATCACCTCTCTGCTTTTATGCACCTAATGTTAGGTATTTTTCTTTACTCTTCAAGACACATTTTAATCACTGCCTTTATGAAGCCTTCCTGCCCTCCCACCCTGCTCCCTCACACTCTCCATTGGCTCACTCAGCCCCTTTCCTGTGCTTCTTTTTATGTGTTTGTCACACTGTCCTTGGTTTTGTGGAGGCCAGTTCACCATCCTAACTTATAAATTCTCAAGAGCAAGGACCAGGGCTTGTTGTGTGTTGCATTTTGGATTACCCCAAGAAGCAGACTGTGGGATGACATTTAGGTACAGGCCATTTAACAAAGGAGCTCCTTTGAGGAACACACTTGTGAAAGTGGAGGTGGGAGAAGAAGCATAATTAGAAAGAAGAAGAAGTCAGATGTGATGGAGACCCAGGGACAGCTTCCATACCTGAGGAATTCTGGAGCTAGCTAGTGGTCGCTGGCAGTTGTCCCAAATTGAAAAGAGATGGCCAGGCATTGATAAACCTGATATTTAGGGACAGATAGTGGCTCTGGGCAGAAAGATCATCTGATGGTGTTCTCAGCACCGGGGACAAACATTTCTTCACTGAAAGGGGATGAGGGTGACATATCAGTGTGTACCACACTCTGCCTACTGCCTATCAATTCTTAGGTTTAAGTAAATGACTGACATAAACATTAATGGAGAGAAGGCAGGGTATGGGGGGATACACACGCTGCATGCCAATAGAAATTTTGTAAACATGGCTCGTGATTAAATAGAAACACATTAAAATATTAAAAACATGATAATAAGAGACATTTCAGTGAAAGGCAGCAACAAGGTGGCTAGATGACATACGGGAGACATCAGGAATGGTTGAAAGCACATGCTCCTCCTCACCTCTTTCTGGTTCTCTGGTGCAGTGACTCTTTGTCCCTGTGAGCTGAAACACGCCCTTTGCAGAAGTCATATGAAAGGGAGGTGTTCTCCAAGGTTCAGGCTGTGGATAGGTGCCAGAATTTTACCTCGTCTCTATTCATCCAGAGGTTCTAAGTTCTGCCCATAATGATCTCATCTCTCCTTTCCTTCAGGAGCCCACAGGCACTGGTGGAAAGACATAGGGAAAGACATGACATTAGAATAGGACAAGAGGGGTGCGGGGGCAGTGACATCAGTTCCTCCAAGACTATCAGAGGAGAGTCACACACTCCGTTCTCCCAGAAGAAGATTCTCTGTGGTGTATTTGGATATCTTTTAAAACCCTGCTACAAAGTCAAACCTCCTTAGCAAGACAGCTTTAGTCTTTTGAATATTATTGGTCCATGGGAAATGGCCCTATTTGTGAACATCTGATTGCTTAGAGGGGTTCTCATTTACAGACCACTAACAAGATGAAAGTGCTAATTTTAAAAGTACTTAGCCTAGATATTTAAGCAGCAGCAGCCCTGTAAGTTTGTAACTGCTGTTTCTGTATTGGTTGTTATACCGGAGCCATTTCATTCTCTTGCATTGAAATGGATCAGATAAATCACATTAGCTGGGTTTACAGAAGCAAGCAATGACAGGTTCCTCAGAACTGAAAGCTAAATAGCCGACTGGGGTCTGACTTTCCTTCATCATGTGCTCTATCTTCAAACTCAATGCCTATTTAAAGCTGCTGATAGCACGCCACGGAAGGTTCCCGTCCTTGTCCTCAGACATAATGCATGGTTCCACCAATGCTATGGAACGTAGACATTTTTGATACAATCTATTAAAAAGAGGGATTGTAGCTAATTCAAATGCAGTAACTTCTAATAAAAAAGTAAAAAGTACATGAAATCACATGCCGCATTTGCAAAGGCAACTGGGTAGAATTCACACAAAGAAGCTCTCTGTTCTGTCACTAAATTATCTGTACTGGGCAGGCAGAATTGATAAGAGAACTCATTTTATGCACACCTCAGGAATAGAACAAGAGTATATCTCATGATCTCCCAGAATAGCAGGGAAGTTCAAATTACTAAGGGGAATAAAGCTCCTGTATGCTTTTAGATGTGGCCATTTTGAATTCCCCCTTTATGTTGTTGCAAAAGCCTCTCCTGCAGCCCCTGGGGTGCAGGTTACCTGTTTATATATAGCCTCACTCTCTTGTCAAGGTGAACCCTCACACCTCACTGAGCACTATCATCTCATGAGACAAATACACTGAAATTGTGCAAGAAACCAAAATGAGCCTAAGATGACTTTATGTAGCATAGTATTTTGCAACATGGTATTTCAGGACAGTTTATCTATGTTACGTGATTAAATGGTTTAAGTGTGTCACTTATTTACTTTCCTACATTGAGGTCAAATTCAATAATGAGTAAATGGAAAAGCAGCTACTTTTTATAATGACTTTACATAATTCATTTTTTAATCAGACACAAGAATAGGAAAGTAGAGGGAAAAGAAGACAAAAATGCTAGAGAAAATTATCAGAAGATTTTGATAAATAAGAAAACAAAACTAAAAATGACTAAAGGTAACAGATTGAAGAGGGAAAATATCACTGTGTGCAGATTATAGAAAGTTGGAAATACAAATATAGAGATCTAAATCTAAATCTGTTTATTGAAAACAAGAAAGTTGAATAAAGGCAAAAGAGGGCCATCCAGAAAGTTCCCATAAAACATAAAGCAGCAAGTCTGTTGCTCAGGAGGACTGAAAAATAATAAATCCCAGTCTTGAATTTGCCACTCACTAACTCTGTGACCTGCACAAATCTTTTCAATCTTTTGATCTTAATCTTCCTTATTCATAAAATTGTAATTATAATAGTATCTTCCTCATGGGCTTTTATAAGAGATATGGATAGTATATTGTTTAATGTCTCAAATATCATGATTAAAAACTGCAGCTAGCAAAACCAGAAGTGGAAGTAATGTGGTAAGTTAAGCAATGGTGATAGAGGTCGTAACTTTTAAGTAACATTTAATTATTTTTAAATGAGTTGACCAGTGTCTTAATTACAAGTGCAATTATGCAATATCATGATTATAAAATTATTAAAAGAGAAATGACAACATTGATTATAATATCCATTTAACAAAAGGAAACTTAAGAAGTAAAATCTTGTCATTGAATAATTCTAAAGGACCATTACAGAACTCAATTTAAGAATCATGGAAAGGATTTTTGCAAAGAAAAACTCAACCTTCTTATTTTCAACTGGTGATTCTTTCACTTGCTCAATGAAGTGAATTAGACAGAGACACTCCACTGTAGAGAGCACAGGCTGATGGCAAAGGAAAAATGCAGATAATAAAATAAAAGCTTTGAGTGCTCTAGTCAAATACTACAAGTGACAAGGGAGAAGCCACTTATTTTAGCTTAGGTTTTAGGAGAAAAAGGGGAGATGACTTTTGCACAAAAATCTTGAATGAGTATATATGCAACAGGTAAAGAGGAGGGAATGTTCATTAACACATAGGGTATGGCACTTGCTAATGTACAGAGTTGGAAGAGAGGACCCCAAGTTTGTGAAAGATTTCTAAGTTTGCTACGGCTGTGGTGTAAATACGCTGGGAAAACAGGAGGCTGCAGAGGTAGGGAGAGCTTGAGAATGAAGCCATGATTGTGTGTCCTACTTAAGAAAGTTAATCTCATTTTAAAGACACTGAGAGCCAGGGAGTGACTCAACATGTTGCATGAAGAATGGAGCAGCTCCAGTTCTGATCCAGCACACAGGAGGCTTGAAAGTCAACACCCTATCCCAGCAGCAAACAAAAGACTGAACAAACTAAAAAATCAACAACTCTTCTCACATCGATAAGGGAAATGAGGTCATAGGGCAAACTACTGTTCCTCAAATTGGAGAGAAAGATAGGCAAATAGAGATTTACAACTTACCAGAGCAAAAATCCACAAGCAGAAGCTTCTGTAGGAATCAGTGCCAGGGTGGGAAAACCCAAATTGTAATTCACAAATTGCTAAAGGCTAAGTTTGAGTAATTGTGAGAGTTAAAAACAAAAAGGGGACCCAGTCATAGGAGTATTTCCACACTTTGTGAGTTTTACCAATAGAAATTTGACCCAGGTTCTTATAGTAAATATCGGAGAAAAAAATCCCCTTGTGCTTCCAACAGAGGGAGGAGAAAAGTAGCCATTTTAAAATATGCCAGAATATTATGTTCTTTTTTTTATAGGATCTTCCCTCAGGAGAACTATTTAGCCAGATCCTAACCTGTTGGGGCTTTATCAGAGCCTCACTGAGCTGGAGGAAAGGAAATACCAACTCCAGCCAGCTGCAATCTTTCACATGGAGGAAGGAAAACACCTAACTCTGGACCCACTATTTATTCTGTACCACCTAAGAAAGTGAAAAAAACAAAACTAAACTAAAGCATACTTGTGAATGAGCCAGAGGCACAAAATCATTAAAAGACTAAGACCTAATTAATTATAGGACTACAGAATGTTTTCTTCCCCATACACTTTACCACCACATTACTAAAGGCTTACATACAGCAAGTTCTTTCTACCCAGTATATCATGTACAGCTATCAAGACAAAGTTGCAAGTTTGTAAGGCATATTATCTTAGTCTGCTTAGTGTTGCTATAAGAGAATACCTGCAGCAGGGTAGTTTATAAAGAAAAGAGGTTTATTTGGCTCATGATTCTGGTGACTGAAAAGTTCAAGATCAAGCAGCTGTATCTAGTGAGGGCCTTATACAGTTTCAACTCTGGGTGGAAAGCAGAAGGGGAGGAGGTATGTGCAAACAGGCAAAAGACAAACTAAGAGAAAGAAACTGAGGAATCCAGGCTCTTTTTAACATCCCTTTTCTCTTGGAAGCTAATGCTTTCTCTTGAGAGTAAAAACTCACTCACCCTTAAGGGAGGGCATTTAATCTATTCATGAGGGGTGTACTTCCATGACCCAAATAGCCCCCACTAGTTTGTACCTCCCAACACTATCATACTGGAAATCAAATTTCACCATGAGTTTTGGTGGGGAAAAACCACATGCAAATTATATAATATACTAAAGAGCAGAAAACAGTTTAAAGAGACAGAACACCCAAAACAGACTCAGATATGGCAGGAATGCTAAAATCATCAGACTGTGAATTTCACACAACTGCCATTAATATTCCAAGGCTTCCAATGGATAAAGTAGACTTCATGCAAGAACAGAAGGGCAATGTAGGCAGAGATGTGGAAATTCTAAGAAAGAGTCAGAAAGAAATGCTAGAGGTAAAAAACATGGTAACAGAAATGAATGTCTTATAGGCTTATTAGGTGACTGGAAATGACTAAAGAAACAATCCCTAAGCTTGATGATATAACAACAGAAACTTTCAAAACTGAAAAGCAAAGATAAAAAAGACAAAACAAAAACTCACCAAAATATATAAGACTGTGAGACAATTACAAAAGGCATAACATATGCATATTGATAATACCGTAAGGAAAAGGAAGAGAGAATGGGACAGATAAATATTTGAAACCACAATACTATTTTCTCCCAAATAATGTCAGATGCCAAACCACAAATACAGAAGCTCAGAAAACTTCAAGCAGGATAAATGCAACAGCAACAACAACAAAAAATACTCTTATTATATTCAATTTGCAGAAAATGAAACATAAAGAATAATTCTTGAAAGATACCAGGAGGAAAAAAGTCAGCTTAACTATAGAGGAACAAAAATAAATATTACCTCTAGCTTCTCAAAAATTATGGAAGCAGAAAAAGAGTGGAGTGAAATATTTAAAGTGTTCTGAAAACCACTTGAGTTTTGTACCCTGTTAAATTATCCTACAAGAGCAAAGTAGGAATAAATACTTTCTCAGACAAACAAAAATTGAGAAAATATATTGCCAAAACAACTGTCTTCAAGAAATGTTAAAATAAATTCTTTATGGAGAAGGGAGAGAATATAGGTTGGAAACTCAGGTCTACATTGAAAAAAGAAAAAGCATTAAAGAAGGAATAAATGAAGGTAAAATAAAAAACATTTATGTTCTATTCTCAATTGATCTAACAGTAGATTGTTCAAAAACAGTATATTTGATTATTTATTACATGTATGTATATATGTTTGTATATGCTTATGTATAAGTAAAATTGAATGACAGCAATGATAAAATGGACAGGAGGGAGAAATTAGAATTATTTTATTATTATAAGGTGCTCTCACTAGCCATGATATAGTATAGTGTTATTCGAAAATGAACTTGGATTCATTGTAAATGTATATTGTAAATTCTAGCGCAACCACTAATGGAAATTTTTTAAAAACATGTAACTGATATTCCAAGAAAGAGGAGAAAATAGAGTAATAAAATGCACAATTAAAATTACAAAGGCAGAAAAAGACTGAAAGACAAAAATAGAAAAAAATAAGAAACAAGGACAACACATACAAAACATTCCAAATATATTAGCTATTTATTTAACTCTATCAGTAATAAATTTAAACATCAGTGGTCTAAATACATCAATTAAAAGGCAGAGATTGTCACAGTGGATCAAAAACAAGATCCGTCATTCTCAGCAAACTATCGCAAGGAAAAAAACCAAACACCGCATGTTCTCACTCATAGGTGGGAATTGAACAACGAGAACACATGGACACAGGAAGGGGAACATCACACACCGGGGCCTGTTGTGGGGTGGGGGGAGGGGAGAGGGATAGCATTAGGAGATATACCTAATGTTAAATGAAGAGTTAATGGGTGCAGCACACCAACATGGCACATGTATACATATGTAACAAACCTGCACTTTGTGCACACGTACCCTAAAACTTAAAGTATAATTAAAAAAAAAAGTTGCTAAAAAAAAAAGATCCAACTGTATGTTATCTATATGAAACACACTTTTAATATAAAGATATAAATGGATTAAGTGTAAATTCATCGAGAAAGATAATACCATGCTAATACTAATAAAAAGAAAGCAGGAGTACCTGTATTAGTTTTAGATAGGACCAATTTCAGAGCAAGAAATGTTATCAGGGATAAAGAGGCATTACATAACAATAACAACAAAAGATCAGTTTGCCGAGAATACATAACTCTCCTAAATATATTGGCCTAACAAATACATGTTTAAAAAATTAGGTAAAAACTGATAAAACTGTAAGAAGAAATAGCTAAATCAACTGTTAGAGTTGGAGACTTCAACACCCCTCTGTCAGAAATAGACAAATTCAGCAGTCAGAAAACTGGTAAGGATATAGTACAACTCAACATCATCATTAATTAACTGAATTTAATTGACATCTTAAGACTACTACATTCAACAATAGCAGAATACACACTTCTCACGCTCACATGGAACATTCACCAAAATAGACCACATTCTGTGTTATAAAACACACCTTAACAAATTTAAAATTTAAAAATTTTAATCTGTTTAAAATAGATCAAAGACAAAATGTCAATCAAAATAAAAAAAAACTTCGAACTAAATGAAAATGAAATCACAATGTATCAAAATTTGTGGAATATAGTGAAAGCAATGCTTAGAGGGAAATTTATAGCATTGAATGAATATATTAGAAAAAGGAAGATCTAAAATCAATGGTTTAAACTAGCACTGTAGGAAACTAAAGAAAAGCAAAAAAATTAATAAGCCTCTACTATGGCTAAGTAAGAAAGAAAAGAAAAAAAACAAACTACCAATATCAAAAATGGAAGAGGTGACATTACTCCAGATCCCATGGACATTAAAATGATATAAAAGAAATAACATGAATAGTCTAGAACCACAAATTTGATAACCTAGATGAAAAGAACCAGCTCCTTGAAAGTTATAACCTGCCAATACACATAGGAAGAAATAGGCAATGTGAAGAGGCCTACATTTATTTTTTTAAATTGAATCAATAATTAATAACTTTTCAAAAGAGAAAGTGTGAAGCCCAGATGGGTCCACTGGTAAATTCCATCAAGTATTTAAGAAAAAAATACCAATTCTTTACAATACCTTTCAGAAGATAGAAACAGCTGGAATACTACCTAAATAATTCCCCATGAGGCCAGCATTATCCTAATACCAAAACCAGACAAAGACAAGACAAAGAAAACTACAGCCCAATATCTCTCATGAACATAGATGCAAAAATCCTTAACAAAATATTAGCAAATCAAATTTAATAATATAAAAAAAGTATACACCACAATCACGTGGGATTTATTCCAGGTATGAAAGACTGGTTAACATTCAAAAATCAATTAATGTAGTTCATCACATCCATAAACAGGCTATAGAAGGAAAACTGCATGATTATATCAATAAATGCAGAAAAAGCATTTGAAAAAGTCTAACATCCATTCATGATAAACATTATAAGTACACTGGGAATAGAGGGTAACTTTCTCAAGTTGATAAAGAATATCTACAAAAACCCTACAACTAACATCATGCTTAATAGTAAGAAACTCAAAGCTTTCCCACTAAGATCAGGTACAAGGCAAGGATCTTTTCTTTTTACCATGTTTTTTCAACGTCATACTGAATATCTTAGCTAATGCAATGAGACAAGAAATGGAAGCAAAAAAACCCATACTAACAGGGAAGGAAGAAGTCAACATTTTTCTTTGCATATGGCATGATTGTCTATATAGACAATCCAAAAGAATCAACAAAATAAAACTCCTGAAACTAACAAATAATTATAGCAAATTTAGGAAATATGAGGTTAATATATGAAAGTCATAACTTTCTCATATAACAATGAACAAGTGGGATTTTATATTAAAAAATCTTATCATTTATATTAACATTCCTCAAAAATAAAATGCTTAAGTATAAATTTATGAAAACACATACTAGAATTGTATGAGAAATACTACAAAGCCTTGATGAAAAAAACAAGAAGAACTAAATAAATGGAGAGATATTCCATGTTCATGGATAAGAAGACTCAATATTTTCAAGATGTTATTCTTAACTTGATTTATAGGTTCAGTGCAGTCCTAATCAAAATCTTAGCAACTTATTTTGTGGATATCAAGAAACTGATTCTAAAGTTTATACAGAGAGGCAAAGACCCAGAACAACCAACACGGCATTGAAAAAGAAGAACAAAGTTTTAAGACTGACACTGCTCAACTTTAAGATTTATTATAAAGTTATAATCATCAAGAGAGTGTGGTATTGATGAAAGAATAGAGAAATAGATCACTGGAACAGAATAGAGAGATTAGGAGTAGACACACATAAATATATTCGACTGATCTTTGACAAAGAGTAAGGATAATACAATGGAGAAGAAATCGTATTTTCAACAAATGGTGCTGGAACAATTGGATATCCACATGCAAAAATTACATAAAATGAATCTAGACAAAGACCATACATCCTTCACAAAAATTAACTCAGTACGTATTACACATCTGAATATGAAATGTAAAACTATAAAATTCTTAGAAGAGAACATAGGAAAAAATCTAGTATGACCTTGGGTTTGGTGATGACTTTTTAGGTGCAACACAAAAGCCACAATTTTGAAAGAAAAAATGGATAAGCTATACTTTATTGCAATTAATATTTTTGCTCTGTGAATTCATTGTCAAGAGAGTGAATAGACAAGCCACAAACTGGGAGGAAATATTTGCAGAAAGAAATCTCTGATAACGGACCGCTACCCCAAATATACAAAAAACTCTTAAAACTAAATTGTAAGAAAATAAACAATTCAATAAAAGTGTCCTAAAATCTTAACCAACACCTTGCCAAAGAAGATACACAGATGTCATGTAAGCATATGAAAAGATACTCCACATCATATATAATTAGGGAAATGTAAATTCAAACAATGAAATACTGCTACACACCTATTAGAATGTCCAAAATTCAGAACATTGACAACATGAAATTCTGATGAGGATTTGGTACTCCAAATCTCATACATTGGGAACTCACATATATTGCTGATGGGAATGCAAAATGGCACAGCCACTTTCTAAGCCAGTTTGGCAGTTTCTTACAAAACTAAACATACTTTTACCATATAATCCAGTAATCATGTTCCTTGACACTGATCCAAATGAATTGAACGCTTATGTCCACAAAAATACTTGCACATGGGGTTTATAGCAGGTTCATTTATAATTAACAAAACTTGGAGGCAACCAAGGTGTCCTTCAGTAGGTAAATGCACAAACTGGTAATCTAGACAATAGAATACTATTTAATACAAAAAAAAAAAACTTTAAGCCATGTAAAGACATGGGGGAAACATAAATGCACATTACTAAGTAAAAGAAGCCAATCTGAAAAGGTTACATAAGATATGATTCTAGGTAAATGGCATTCTGGAAAAGGCAAAACTGTGGAGACAGAAAAAAATGTAATTGTTCCCAGGGGCTGGGGAGAGGGAATGATGAATGGTGGATCACAGGGGATTTTTTGGGGAAGTGAAACTGTTCTGTATGATACTATAATGGTGAATACAGGCCATTACAGATTTATCCAAAGCCATGGCATGTATGAATTTGGGGTGCTAATGATGTGTCAATATAGGTTCATCAATTGTAACAAATTTCCCACTCTGGTAAAAGATGTTGATAGTGGGAGGTTATGTATATGTGAGGGCAGGGAAAATATGGCAAATACCTGCACCTTCTGTTCAATTTTACTAGAAACCCAAAACATAATTAAAATATTTATTTAAAAAAGGGGGTCAGAGTTGCAAGACACTGCTGGCAACTGCAATTGCACACATGTGAAATAATAATGAATACTTGACAATAGAGGCCTTAAAACTCCACAGCGAAACTGAGATCAGGGCTGGAGAGTGTGGTTACATATAGGAGTCATATCTCAAATAGAACCTAGAGAATTAGGCATGGAGTATAGGAAGTGCAAGGTAGAAATGAGGGTAGTTCCTGAGACTCTAGTACTCTTTCTTGGAAGCCTGAGATTTTAAACCTACATTAACTTACATGGCAATAGAAACAAACGTAGGAGTAGGATTGGCTCAGTTGGTGAAAGCAATGTCATCTCAAAGTACTACAATGCTCTCCATTGCACTGGTGAGAATATTAGCAACTTTGAGTGCATTAACTTAAATAGTTCTCAAAAGAATGTGGTATATTAAGCACTAGCATACTCATTTATTAGAGGAAATATGGTTAGAGTGGTTAAATAACTCCCAAAACCACTCTGTCCTCTTCCTCGAGACTCTAGGCTTGAAGTCATCCTTTGAGGTTCATGTTTTCATTTGTTGACTTGGGTATTTTTGGGAGAGAACAAGTGTTTCTTTCTTGTTCTAAAGTCTAGGAAAATGGATTCTGCCAACTGAGGGAATCAAGGGTCAACTGGAGTACTGAAATTAAATGTGTAATTCATTACTTGCTAGTCCAGAACAGGGTTGAAGGTAGAGCTTGTTCACTAACACCTGGGTCTACAATGAATGTTCCTGCCGGCTGCAATTCTCTCTGGGAGAATATTGAGTAATAGATCAATCCAATAATCTCTATGAGTGTGACACCAAATCTGAAGCAAAATGGGCACAAATCTGGAAAGGAATTAAGATGCAGAAAGAGGAAAGAGAGCAGAGATCCAGGTGTGAGAATACCTGAATGTGCTGGAAGCAGGAATTGAGCAAGTCACTTGCATCTCTAAGCTTCTGCTTTATCAGCTACAATACAAGGAGGACACCTTCTTTGCCCAACTGCTACATGATCCATGTGGAACACCTCATGTGTGTAAAGCAATGGTGCATCCAGGGGCCCCTGCTGCTAGACTATGACTCTGGACTCAGGATTTTGCCTCTGCCTTTTCCTGGCCAACCTTTCTTAGCTCCTCACTGTAAATTAAGGTAAGACATTTCAGAAAGTCTTCCATGACTCTAACACTTTAAAGCTCTCATTGTCTAGGCAGTGAATGAGGTAAGGCGTTGCATTGTTAAATGCCAAATACCAACTGTGTAGGAGAAAAAAAAACTGCCACCTTATTTAGGATAGCAATTATTATGAGGAGTAAGTTGCACTTTGAAACAGAAATGATTTTATGTTGATCCTTTCCCTATGAGCATCAGGGGCTGAGCTAGGAAGGAGTCCTCAGCCAGGTTTTCAGGCTGTTGAGAGCACATTTTTCCCCTGCAGCAGAAATGTGGCAAAAAGAGAAGAACAAAAGCAATATAGGACCTCAGTTTTCATAATTAAAAACAGATCCCCAAACACTGATGCTGAGCATGAATTCTGAGCAAATGAAGTAAGTATTAAAACAGTAATGCTCATGATATCTGCTTAGTGGCCACCAAATGTACAACTACTCTTTCGCAGTTACCATCTCAGAGATACAGTATACATTGGGACTAAGTGTTCTCATGACTACCTTTAGGCTAAGCAGTTTCACCAGGAATTATGGAATGAAAAATATCAGCCTATCTCTAGCTCTTCTCTACTCAAGAATCTTGGTGTGTTTTTTTTGGTTTTTTTCTTTTTTAATTTTGCCTGCTATTCTGCAGTGAGAGAGACTTTCAGAAATATTCAATACTTTCTATCCTGGTACTAGGAAAATGAGGATATAGAAATTTCATTCGAATGAACTTTCCAGGGATTTATAGCCTCTGGAGTTACTATAGTAAGTGTGTATCTTCTGATGAGTAATCCACAGGAAAATCACTGGGCTGAAGAGTTCAGTGCTTGAATATTGTGTCTGAAATTACAACAAAATTTAAAGAACTCTTTGAAAAATCTTGTAGAGGATTTATCAATAGTAATGCAAATTCAACTTTTGATAAAAGACAGAGCTCTCAACAAACATGATAAAAATGAGCCAAAGGTACCCAAGCCAGCTGACATTTGTTTATGATGGAAGGATTAAGTTTAATTCACTTTTGTTCTTAAATGTTCACATTTACAACAACCAAAATAACATGTATTTAACTAATGTATAATTTGAAAAAGCTTTCATATAGTATGTTAAATGTAAATGTCTATTACCTCATTTGATATAACACATGTACTTTAAGAAGTTCTTGTAAACTAATATTTAGTGAATTAATCAGTGGTTTACTTCTTCATTCTGGGGCCAGTGTGGGTCTTCAATTGAGTGTTAGGTGATAAGGAAATGCATGCTGCACACAGAGCTCAAGGATCTCATTATCACACACTTCGTATTGCTAGATGTGTTGCTTTGGGAAGGCCGTGACCTTCTCTCTGGGACTCAGTTTCCTTGCCTTATGGAACAAAGGAGCCAGTGCAGGCTGACATTTAGGCCCTCGGGAGCTTCCTCAGGATGAAATGACCCATTGGGTCTCCCATGTGGTGAGCCTCGGTTAGCAGAAGCCAGGGCTTGCTACCCAGGGCATTAACTACACATAGTGGTCTCCATCAGTGGAAGAGTGAGCGCAAAGGCCTTCATCCTCCAAGATGGCCTGCATACACATGGATGTCCCCAAGTTCAGTGGCACCACCGTTAGTCTAGTGCTGTGCCCTTGAGCCGGGCAGGCCCTTCAGCTTCCCAAGCCTTCATTTCCCATCTGCCCAGTGGAGATAAGAACACCTGCCAGGGCTGTGCATCCTGTGAAATACGTGAGATGATGTGTGTCAATCCAGGGCACAGGACTTGGCCCCTAGCACCAGCTTGGAAAATGAAAATTCTTCCATTCAGGGTCCCAGGGGGTAGAAAGTAAGAAAATATAACAATAAAGGAGGGAGGGGGAAGGAAAGATAGATTGCCATTCTTTAAATAAAATCAGGGAGCGAGGTGTGAGAAAAATAGAGAAAGGCAGAGAGTATGAGAGAGAGGAATAGCTACAGGCACTTGGAATAGTGCTGCAAGATTCTCATAAGTAAAAGCTTCTCTTAAAATATTGGAGTTCCTCCATATGGGAAGCTTGGGGAGAGAAGAGAAAAAATTAAATTAAAGCATTTGAAAGTATATTATAGTTTTATCTCTTTGGCTCTGCGATTTCAGAAATAATATAATCCTATGGAAAACATGCTGCCAGAGGATTTTGTATAGTGGCGCCCCGACAGGATGGGACTGAATGATGTCAAAAAAGCTTATATAACAGTTTTGTTTTATTCATTTACATAAATCACATTTACCGTAGGTGTTTTATTCAAAATAAAGTTTGGGAAAAATAAATTGAACAGATGAACCTAGGCAAACCTGGTGATTTTTTCATGAGTAGTGTTTGATGATAAAGGCATAAAAGCATAATGTGGTATCATTTCACCAAGGCACAATATGGATCACCCATATGGAGCAGAAGTTGATAATACTGCAAAGAAGCAAAAATAAACAGAACAGATGTACTTGTAAAATCAAGTCTGCACCCACCCCTGAGTACCTGCCTTGTACTGGAGAAGTTTCTACTAAAACTCCAAACTGGCTTCAAGTCCCCTTCCCACAGAGACGCTTGGGAAGCCAGAGATGAAATCTCATATGACCAAACAGAAATGAGAAAAGGTTTTCTAAAGCAGCAAGCTCCCAAGAAAGACTGAACCAGAGCCTGCTGGATCCCCCAAAGAAAGCCGACCACTGACAATGCCTCAGTTGTCAGGATCAGAAGGCATGGGTTCCAATCCCGACTCCTCCTAGCTGAGTCTTGGAGAAATCTTCAAATTTCTAAGCATTGGTTCATCAAAGGTGAAGTCTCAGAGGTGTTACCTACTTCACAGGGATATTGTCAAGCTTAAATGAGAAATGCAGGGAGGAAAAAAAAAATGCAACGCCAAAAGCACCAGACAGACCGAATTCGGTCTACATGGTTTTGTTCCAGGCCTTTTCTGAGGGAAATGCCAAAGAGGATGTGATATAAAGTGTTCTTGTTTTAACAAAGAGGTAAGGTCTTTGGGAAGTCTAGGTTTATTGTCTGATAAAGATTCTATGTAGAATCATAATATTCCTGAGAGTATGTCAGCCTTAGACTATTCGTAATATTAGTAACATGTACATAAAACTTTATAATTTCCAAGGCAGTTTCTCAAATGGATTTTCTTCTGACCCCACCTAACCCTGTAAGGTGGGCAATGCGGGGAATAATCCCCATTCAACAGATGAGCAGACTGTCACTCAGAGAGGGACTTGGGACAGCCAGGACTGGAGCCCACGTGTTTCACGACGCCATGCCGCTTGTCACTCACACATTCACAGACGCTTTTATCGTAGGAGAGGATTTTACATCTCATCAGCCATGAAATATTGAGCCTATGTCTGAAGGCTTGGCTGTCTTGCAAACACAAGAGGCCCCAGTAGTTGGTGTTTAGCTGAGAGTATTTGAAATCACATTTGTCATGTGTAAAGTATAGAGCTCTTTGCAAACTGTAAAGTGCAAATATGCATATACAGTGTTATCTTTTCATTACTGGTTTCCATTCCAACAGCAGACGAATGTCTCCGGCTAGGAGGAAGACCTCAGACCTTCCCACTGTGATTGCAGGAAACTCACTTCCAACCCTCTGCTGTGAGCCAAGCTCTCCTGAGAGCACTGCTTTGTCTTATCTACACAACTTGGGAGAAAGTTGACGGCACTGCTTCATTTAGAAATTCCATGCTCTGAGCAAGTTACCTGAATCCTGCAAAGCCCCTTTGCACGTTTCACAAAAAGTACTTGGAAATTCTTTTCCCCATGGAGACTCTCCATGGCTGTGTATTTCAGAGAGAAGGAGGCAGACATGATTTCAATAGCCCAGAAAAACAATCTAAGGAAGCTGGGACCAAGGGAGAAGCAGAGCGCAGGAGGGAAATTCTCTTCTTTGCCCATAGTAAACGTGTTCATGTGGTCAGCAGCTGGAATGCACCATCCATGGCCCCTGATGTCATCAAGTAGCCACCCATCTGCTTGGTTTCCAAAGCAGCTAGGAAAAAATAGCGTCCCACATCCCACGCACTCCAGCTGTCCTCGGCATCCAGTGCTCAGTGACTTTTTTTTTTCTAAAAATAAAATGAAATAAAATCATCACTTTTCCAATCAAGAAAGCACTTGTTTAAAGAACAATTATGTGAGACAGAAGCCATTGTTCTAAATCTACCTGTAGGTTTGTTGAAGCAAGTGTGGAAGTCACCCCTTTATCACAGATAGGCATCCTCTGAAAATTGAGCAGCAAAGCCGGCTGGTGTTGGAAGTACCTGCTTGTTATGTCCATTTGGAGGAAGAGAGTTGCTCTCTGGGTTCCCCTGGGCCACGGTGCTAGGTATGGGACACTGTTAGCTCTTGGGAATTGACTTCTTGTGTAATATTGTGAGCTTCATTATTTCTAATTGGATCGCAAAAGCATCCCTCCGTAGAATGTGGACATATGTCAATTTTCAAGAATAGAACTGGCAGATATTTGCAGACATGCAGCTTTTGGGTATGCCAGCATTATCTCCAGTCAAATTCAATCTCAGAGGAAACACAAATCAAGCAAACATTTCCCCTCAGACTTCAAGTTTTAGAGCAGAAATTCCAAACAAGAGTCAGATAATTGAAAGAGGAGAAAGGGGTCTGATTTCTCATTGTGGCCAGGAGAGTCTGCCCTCCTATCTTTTCTGTTTTTCTTTTGAGACAGAGTCTCACTCTGTCGCCCAGGCTGCAGTGCAATGGCACAGTCTCAGCTCACTGCAACCTCTACCTCCTCGGTTCAAGCAATTCTCCTGCCTCAGCCTTCTGAGTAACTGGGATTACAGGCGCGTGCCACCAGGACCGGCTAATGAGCCTGCACACCTCTCTAGCGCAGCCCTCCAACCCTCTCTTAGGTCCCCGTTATGCAGTTGTACTGCACTGCAGGCACAACCTGCTTGGGATGACATCCCAGGTGCATGCCAAATAGTCTCCTTTTCATTTGTCCTGTCAGCTCATCTTTCCTTTAACATAGGCAATACTTGAGAAATTCCCCGCCTGCTGTTTGATTACAGTAAAATTATATAAAATACATTTGTTTCCCTCACTAGAACATCTATTGTTTATATATTTAAGAAAGGCTTATAGGATTTATCATGTACAAGCCATTCTTCAAAGTGGCGTACATGAAAGAGCTCACTGAATCCCCCCAGCAGCCCTGTAGTTTAGGGGTGGTTGTTGTGGCCATTCCACAGATGTGATAACTGAGGCCAGTGGAAAAAAAACACTTTGTCCAGCATCACTCAGTGAGAGGGTGGCAGAGTCAGCACCCAAACCAAGGGTGCTGACTCTGGAGCTGGTCTGGCTCCAGACTTCAAGCTCCATCGCTGTACTCTGAACAGCTAGAGGTCAGGGGTCCACCCTACAACTTTTAATTTATTCCTCACCTATTCTTTGCCCGTTCAATAAATTCCTGTTGATCAAAATATTGGTGGCAATAAAACCTATGCAGGCACGTGATAATATATATGTGTAGGTTTGCACTGGTAGTCACCGTGAGTGCAGTTTCAGAATGGACATTTTATATCAATCAATAATTTAGGCATAGCAAGACATGACACAGAAACACTGTGGAATAAATCAGGCAGACATCATTAAACCCATTTTACAGATGAACAAAGTTTTATGGATTAGATATATAAAAGAAACTGATAATAAAATAGCCATGTAAACTTATCTTTTAGTAAGATAAAATTTCACATGTGATTTCCAAGTTCAAAAGAAAACAAGCAATTAGAAAAGCAGCCGGCATTTGATTTACGTCTGGAGGACCTGAGTACATTTTAAAAAAAATCTGTCCAGAAAGCTCCTGAGTATAGGAAACCCAGGAGAATGTATTCTAAACTAATGCTGTAGAACATAGAGAGGTGACAGCTGCATTGTCTCATCCTAGACAAGGAACAGAAAATTGGACTTAGCTACAGTGTGGAGAACACAGGTGCACCTGTAAAGCCCTGGAGAGGTGGCAGTAAGTGGCTCCCACTAACATACCTTCTTCTGAAAGGAGGCAGGGAAATGCAAGTGTGCATGGCCCAGAAGGGAGGATGTCCGCTTAATGATTCTGAACTGACAAGGTGCTGGCTGGGTGTTGGTCAGGTAGCCACACATCAAGTGGTTTTCTGTCGAGCCTTTGCTTTCAAAAGGGGAAAGCAGCCCCTCGTCAACTCCTACATTAACTACCACAATCCTACCCTGGAGCTGAAGTGGAAAATAAAGAAAACTCACTGAGTTCATAGCCTTGACTCACAAAGCCAAAGAGAGCCAGTTTCTGATTCCGCATGCTCACAGGTTTCCCTTGGTAGTTAGTGAGGGCACATTGAAACTTTGACAGAAGTTGAGAATGATCATCTTGTAAACTTACCTAACTGGAAAAGCCAGAGCTTGTCCTTGCCCTCTGGGGAGCATTTAACACTTCACAACATAGTGTTGCATGAGTGAAATAGGGATTGTACCATTTTACTATAGATCTTAAGAGATATGATTTAGATTGAATATGATAAAATTTCCGTAGCACTTTATAAACGATGAAGTTTTGCAAACATACAACAAATTGGATCCACTTGATTCAAGACTTTTCCTCTGCAAATTGATGTCATGTGGAGCAGATACTAAGATGATGATGAATCTAGAAATATCTCCCTGGATACTAAGCTGGAAATGTGCTGATCACATAGAGGCCTATGGAGGATTTGATGGAGAAAAAAAAACATTGTGAAAGGACCCTCTCTCCCTTTGTAAACTACCAAATTCATGCAAATTAATATAGCTCCAACAATCTATAAATGCAGGAGACAGAGGCAACCTTAGCTAGATACCTATCAACTGGCTTTAGATTGATATGAAGATAAAAGATTGAAATCAAAGAAGCTCCATCTTCAGATTCCGGAACAGAAACAAACCACAGCTGTAAAAATTGGTGAGGTAGCACCGCTGTGGTTCCCTGTTCAACCCTAGAGGATTTAATTGAAGGAGCCCTTCTGTATAATTTCAATACTACTTAAAGTCTTAAAACCTCTGATATTTGTAAATAGCTGAATTAATATAACATTTACTCTAATGGTAGCAATCATTATCATTTGTGCTTGGCTAATCTTCATATTCACCTTCACATGCATTTTGATTGGGGATCCTCCCCAGATACAGGTGATGTAGGATGGGCCATTGGACACATGAGCCTGATGCCATCGCAGACACCTGCTGTGCCCCAAACGCGCTGGGCCAACTGGGTGTATGTGCGCAGGGGGAAGGTGGGTTCCTCTCCAAGAAGCCTCAACTACAGGTAATATGTTGATTTCCTTGCAAATCTTTTAGTCCCCTGAATTAGGTGGTGATAGAGGTTAACAAGTAAGGAAGTGCATTTTCTGCAGGGTTTCCAGGAGCCTTGAACAGAGCACAGGTGAAGAGGATGGATTATGCAGGCGCTGGCCACACAGCTGTTCCCAGGGACCCTTTAGGAGCCCTCTTACCGGCTACAGGAAACGGCAAAGGAACCGCAGCTGAATCAGGAAAAGGCAGTGAGTCCTTGTTTTCCACTTCCTTCTGCTCCCCTCTACTCCAGCCCCAGACAGACTGAAGAGCTGGCCCTTTTCCTTCAGGGCACCCAGGCTGAAGGCAGCTTCATATTTGTTTTTTAAGCTCTCTCCCTCTTTCTCTCAGTTTGCCTCTCTCTCTTTCTCCCTCCATCTCTGTCTTTCTCTCTCCTCTTCTTTCTCTGTCTCTGTCTCTGTCTTTGTTTCTTTCTCCTCTTCTTTGCCTCTTTCTCTCCCTTCCTCCATCTTTCTCTCTGTCTCTGTCTCTGTTTCGTCTTTCACTGTTTCTCTCTGGCGCAGCTTTTTAAATCTTGGACAATTCTGTAAGGGTCACTTCACAGCGTTGTGTTCCTCTAAAGTCCTCCTGCTACATCTTCAGATCCAATATTTCGTCACTCTATAGTTTTATTTTTCCTTTGAAAGTATTTTAACAAACATGCAAATCTAAAATTACTCCAATCTCAATTATCATGAAAATGCTAAAAAAATCCACCAAGAACAATAAAAACAAGTTTCTTTAAAGATGTTTAAGGGCTAATGAACGTTTTACAAAATGCTTGTCAGGATGAATCGTATTTCTTATTTTACTTATTAATCCGGAAGAGGGGGTGCACTGTGTCATTTCTAAGTTTGCAGACAAGACTAAAAATGCTGTTGAATAGAAAGACGTCAAGCTGACAGGGATAGACGGCAGCAGGAGGATTGCTCCAGGCTGCCTGAGGGGGTGGGAAGTGGCAGATGAGTTTCAGTGTGGGTTAGTGTGGGGACACCGTGGGGAGAGTCATTTATAAAATGATTATCTCCCAGCCATCAGACCCATGACACGGAAAACACCACTTCAAGACATCAGGAACTAGGATCTGAACATACAAATATTAGGACCCTATTAACAATGTCCTATAATTTACAAAAAAGCTGTGTGTGTGTGTGTTTGTGTGTGTGTTTGTACACATACATTCAATAATAACAAATAACTTTATATGTACATTATATAAAAGTGAGTTAGGTTAATGATGTAGTTACAATTCCATGGCTACTTAATGATTAAATATTAGCCATTCTTCTTGATCTCAAGCACTTAGACCCCAGAAGGGAAGTCACACATAAAACCCACGTAGTACAGTTTTTCCTGTGCTGTTTCAAACAAAAAGGCTGACTGCTACACAGCATCAGAAATCCTTCAGAAGGAACATAGTAGAAGAATATTGCGTAAAACAGGACTTTAAAACTTAACATCGCATATACCTTACAAACGTTGTTGAAAATGTTAAACATTCTATTACATGATGTCCTCCTTAGGATTTTAGTGCTATATATAGATTTTCCTCTCTTGGATAGAAAAGAGAGAACATTTTGCTTTTTTTTTTATGAATCTGTGAATTTTATAACTGCTCTTTTTTTCCTCTCTGTGTTAATTTCTAGGAAGTAAAGAGTCAGTATGAGTAGCAAGTTCAGGGGACCTTACAGAAGAAAGTAAAGATACTTTATCATAGGCTTCCCTAGTTTAATTTAATCTGAACCAGACGCCACACGGCTAACAGCCGATGCAACAAGCCATGGCTACTTCAGTTCCGTGGGCAGTACTCACACAGGCCTCCATGTGTCCACACAGGACACAGCTTGCAATCCAGTCTGCCTTATTCTTAGAGGCATTCTCTTATTTTCAGATTTGTCCCTGTCCACACTCTACACATAGCTTTGTTTCAGTTTCCCTGTCCACCTTCTGCATGTAGCTTTGCTTCAGTTACTTTGGCTTTGATCTGTAACAGTTTTGAGACATCTGGTCCATCTTACCTTTTAGCATATTCCACTTTTAGCTGCCAGGCCCAGCCACACACAAGGGGATGTTTGCTGAGGTGAGACAGGGAGCAGCTCTTTTAAGTTTCTCTTCAAGTTGTCCCTGTAAATGGAGTCATGGAATCATAGAACCATGATTCTGTTTCAATGGAGGCCAGTTCGGCTTCTTAAATAATGAATGATCAGGCACAATTTGTGATATAATTCAAAGAAAACATTTATTACTGGGATATGGAGCCAATTGGAGGCAAATATTTATTTCTTCCACGGGTACCTACGACTACGCATGCTATTTATAGGAGATCAAAAGTGTTTCCTTGATCCTCAAGTGTGTTTGCTGGAGAGAATGAGTCATTCCCAAGGAAAGATCTTTCAAGGAAATGATAGATTCATGCTTACCATATGAATAAACTTTCTACAAGTTTCCCTCTATCATCTATAAATAATACTTTCCCCACTTAATATCTGTCTATAAATTTTTAAATAAACTTTATATATTCTTTATTGACATTGTCTTATCAGAATAAAGATAAGTTTTTACCCATGTACAACTCAATATCTGGCACATTTTATCTGTCCATGAAGTGTTTGTTAAGAAACTGAGTTTGAGTTCAATCATCTCGAATGCTTGCTTGACCTTCTCCAGTTTTCTGAAGACAGGTTTGTGAAGTGAAGAATTTGCAATAAAATGGTCGATACGTAAGTATCTAGATAATTGAGTGGTACTAGTCAAAATTGAGAAGAGTCCTTGGATTTTGATCAAAACACTTTACAGTTAAGGAAACTAAGTAACTTATTCTAAGACATACAATGAATTTATGGCCCAATGGAAACTCCCAGATCAGAAACCCAGCACCTGCATGTCAGTGGCTTCTGGTGCAGAGTCTTTTTCCCGAGAGCATCTCATAGATTCTAATTTGGAGGACCCATCCTTTCCTCCAGAAATGAATTTAATAATTAAGCTGGGTTTGATTAACTCCTGTAATGTATTTCCTGTCTCCTGGAAGTCACTGCACACCGTTCTTTATGTCTCATCTCTACGAAATTTGGAGGAAACAAAATTTGGAGGAAAAAGTAATGTGAAATTTGAAAACATGACCAAGTGGCTTTGAATATAATCTCTTGAAGGAAAAGATGGTGCATTTTTCCTTGAATGCAGACTACCTTCATAGCATGACAGCATTCTCATATAAGATCATCACAAGGACCTGTTGATTCCCTCTTCTTAACAGCTGCAACAAGAATCCATTCTCTATGTTTCTACATCGCAGAGTGACTATTTCTTAGTGATTGAAACAAAAAACATTTAGCATGCCTCCCGCCTCCTTTTGACACAAGCCTTCCTATCTCTTGATTACTCCTTCTGAGAATCATGTTTCTCATACGAGGCCTGCTTTCTTTTCCCTAAGGGAATCACTTCATTTCTTCATTGAACCACTTGTCTTTATTGGAAGCAACAGTCAACAAGTGACACTGTTTTTAAACAGTGTCTTTCTCTTCTCTCCCAAAAGGATCAGACATGCAACTCCACACAGGCCAGTGCTGTGGTCCCATCCTAGACTTTAAAGTCTGACCCAAGTAGAAGACAGAATGACCACCGTGAGCAGTACTTGAATCCAGCAGTGCTCACATGAGAGGGTTGCTGTGGTTTACAGGGCTCTAGGCATTCCCTGGCTCTTCATTATTTCACGCCTAGTTCTCCAGCTGTTCTGTAGATTTATTGAGCTAGTCAATATCTTTCCCTCACGTCCCCTTTTGCTTAAGTTATCTAGTTTTAGTATATGTTGCTTGCAACCCAAACAACCCTAACTGATAACACTGCTCTAGTCCAGAACCACGCCACCCCTGGACATGGGTCACTGCAGCTTCCAAACTGGTCACCTGGCCTTCAGTGTCTCACTTTCAGTTCATTCCTGTATATTCATCTTCACTGACATCACTCGTAACATGACACATCCTGATGAAATCCATGAGGGCACGTAGGAGAGGCACAAAGCCATTCCTAGATACTTCTGGAAGGACTTCCATTAGGGAAGGATGTCTGGAGACATAAAAACTGAGAGAGAGTTGATGGGAGAACATGGTTGATATGGACTGCATTTGGGAAAGTGGTGGATACAAAGAGAGAAAGATGAACCTCTAAGCACCAGAGGTAAGAGAAGATGGGACTGAAAGCAGCTCTGTGTGACAGTGCAGCTCTGTGAGACTTGATGAGGGTGCTTGTCCTTATTCTGAGAACAATAGGGAGTCATTAAAAATCTTTGAGCCGAGCAGAAATATCATCTAATTGGCACTTGAAATATACAGAAGAGCCCAGAAATGCAGGTGAGGATGTCGGGTTAGTGCAAATTTCCATAGCAGCATTCTGGGGGTCACACTCTCATGGTCATTGCTTCCAAGTCTTTCTCAGTTTCTCTTCTCACGTATACTGTTTAAATGCTGGATTTCCTCTCCTTTTCCCACAGCATTCATTATTTCTGGGCAACCTAATATAAACCTGAACCTAACTTTCCATGTAGTGTATTAATCGTGTATGTTCTTTGTCTTTCTTTTCAGTCCAGTCTCTCACCTCGCCCTGCTTACTCTAAACGAATTATTTGGCTTTCTCAATATACCATGAACATTTTTGCACCCTGAACATTTTTAAGTCCTCTTCCCTCTATGTAGAATGTTGTCCTCTCCCTTCTTTACCAAATTCAGCACTACCTAAACCCTCCTCAAAGTTTCAGACCTTTACGTCTAACTGCCTGCTCCATATCTCCATTTGGGTTTCACAGATGCCCATAACTCAACATTACAAAAATAACTTCATTCTTTTCCTACCACATCTGTTTCTTTCTGTTTCCTCATCACAATGAAAGTCCCAAAACCTGCCAAGTTATTTGAGTGAGAAATCTTGGCCTTACCCTTTTCCCCCTTCAGTTTCCCTTGGTGTAACCTAAAAACATTGAATTAACCAACAAATCTGATAGATTTTATTTCTTAAAAAATACTGGCTGGGCACGGTGGCCCACGCCTGTAATCCCAGCCCTCTGGAGGCTGAGGTGGGTGGATGACCTGAGGTCAGGAGTTCCAGACCAGCCTGGCCAATATAGTGGAACCCCATCTCCACTAAAAATACCAAAACTTAGCTGGGCATGGTGGCGCGCCTGTAATCCCAGCTACTCAGTAGGCTGAGGCAGGAGAATCGCTTGAACCCTGGAGGCGGAGGTTGCAGTGAGCTGAGATCACACCATTGCACTCCAGCCTGGGTGACAAGATCTAAACTCCATCTCAAAAAAAAAACAAAAACAAAAACAAAACAAAACAAAACTAAATACATCTTCTCTGATGGCATTGCTTTAGTTAAGGCTGATATTTTTTGACTCATATTACTGCAGTCATATTCTTAGTAATTACTCCATCTTCACTACTCACAACTTAAAAGATGTATCCTTCCTGTAACTTTCAGAGTAAATATTTACAATTAAAAATATGATTAAAATATTTCAGTAGCTCTCTATGGTCATAGTGATGTCTAAATGTCTTAGAGTACTATATGTTTACATACAGTACACTGAGTCTAAATGAAGTCGATGGCTTAATGTTCTTATCATCATGTATCAGAACATGTTGGTGTTCTTAGCAATATTTGTTCTTTGTCTATCTCTTCAGTCCAGTCTCTCACCTTCTCACCTCTCTTACTCTAATAAAATTATTTGGCTTTATTAATAGATTGTGATCATTTTTGCACCACTGTGCATTTGTAAGTGCTCTTTCCTCTGCTTAGAATGTTGTTCTCTCCATTCTTCACCTTTAACCTTCCAGTAAGATGTCATCTTCTTCCTTTCTGGGGGTTAGAGCCTTTCCCTGGGCTCAAAATGCAACTTGCTTTGATCTCACCCTCATAACATCTGATTATAGCTAATTGCATGGGTCCCATGCAGGTTAAAGTTGCTTAAGGTCATGGACTCTGCCACATTCCTCTTGTGCCTCCCATGGCCTTTCTGCCACTCAGGCAATGCTTGGTGAACCATGATCTCTATGTAAAGGGAGAGGTGAAACGTTACCTTGGTCAGCATCATATGGCTTACAATCTTTTTAAGTGAATCATTTGCTATACTAACATTCTCCTTATATATTTTTAATGAAATCTGCAGATTTACATTTATTTTTTCTCATGGTGTTAGTTCTGCCACAATGAACAGTTCTATACTATTTGAATATTTTTACTTTAAGATCTTAAGTATGACTTTTCAAAAGAAGACATACATGCTGCCAATAATCATTTAAAAATCTCAGCATCACTGATCATTAGAGAAATGCAGATCAAAACCCCCATGAGATACCATCTCACACCAGTCATAATAGCTATTATTAAAAAGTGAAAAAGCAAAACAAAACAAAACAAAAAACAGACGCTAGCAAGGTTATGGAGAAAAAGGGATGCTTATACACTAATTGGTGGGAATATTCAACCATTGTGGAAGACAGTGTGACGATTCCTTAAAGACCTAAAAACAGATATACCATTCAACCCAACAATCCCATTGCTAGGTATATGCCCAAAGGAACATAATTCTTTCTATCATAAAGATGCATGCATGTGTATGTTAATTGCGGAACTATTCACAACAGCAAGGACATGAGATCAACTTAAATGCCCATCAATGGTTGACTGGATAAAGGAAATGTGGTAAATATACACCATGGCATAGTATGCAGCTATTAAAAAGAATGAGATGATGTTTTTTGCAGGAACATGAATGGAAATAGAGACCATTATCCTTAGCAAACTAACTCAGGAACAGAAAACCAAATACTGCATGTTCTCACTCTAAGTGGGAGCTAAAGGATGAGAACACATGGACACATAGAGGGGAACAAAACACACTGGGGCCTATCAGAGCGTGGAAGGAAGGGGAGGGTAAGATCAGAAAATATAACTAATGTATACTAGGCTTAATGCCTGGGTGATGAAATAATCTATATAACAAATTCCCATGAAATAAGTTTACCTATATAACAAACCTACACATGTACCCCTGAACTTAACATGAAAGTTAAATTAAAAAAAATAATGATCCCTAAAGAAAACTTACAATAGCAGAATCTGTAGTCAGCAAATTCTGATGTGGCCACAAATAATTTAAATAAAAGTAAAATGATCCTGAAAAAAAATATTCTGGTCTGGAACTGACAAAATTGAGGAAACACATTCGCAAATGAGAATGGTCTAGTTTATGGTGATTGATTCATCAGTGCATTTGACTATCCCTCCCCAAAGTTGTTTTCTTAAATACAAATGTGCCTATTTTTGTGGAACATTAATAAAACAGAGGGTTTTAAAAAGTAAACAAAAAGTGGGATTTTGCTATCCTAGAAGTATTCTAGTAATTATAAAAAATCTAAGCAAAGACAGGTATAATTTAGGCAAAAAATATTTTCTTCATTTTTTGCTTATATGTTACACATTTTACAACATGGCTAATTTGAAGCGTGTCTTTTTTATGCTACTAAAGTATGTTTCAGTAAGTACTTTCTGCTGTATTCACCTTTCTGAGTTATCACATGAAATAAAGCATTTGAAAGTGATTTATAAACTTTGTAGAACTGTATACATATCAAGTACTTTTATAATACTAGCAATCAGTCATTAATTACTATCTACTACATCTGTAAGTTGGCAAGCTCAATCTAAGTACAATTTAGATTTAAGCATCCTGATCTCTGTTCTTACATAATTTGCAGACAATTTTAGAGAAGCCAGAGAAATGATAAACTATCAACACAACACAGAATATAGTGGTGACCAAAGGGCTGGTCCAGCCATGTCAGGAGAGTTCAGAAGGTGGGAACATCAGTTACGACTGCTTTCTCAAGGAAGTAGAATTAGAGCTTTTGGCCTTGAATGATGAATGGAATATATAAAGTATCCTTTTATTTCGGATTTGGATAGAAATTTTAAGATGTCCCCCAACACCATGCCTTTGGTGTCTACACCTGGAATACTCTCCTGTCCTTGGGTGTGGAGGGAGTTCTGATTAAAAAGGGTGCCACTCCATGATTAAGTTCTGTCATAAGGCAAAGGTGATGAGATTTTGCAAATGTAATTAAGGGCCCAAATCAGGTAAGACCTTAATCAAAAGGGAGATTATGCTGGGCGGGCAGGACACAATCAGTGAAAGCTTTTGACAAAGGGAATGGCCCCTCCCTCAAGAGAGATGCTCCCCTGCTGGCCTGGAGTAAGCAACCATGAGTTCTGCAGCCATGTGGAAACGAATTCTGCCCACAACCTGCAGGAGTTTGACAGCAGACCTTTTCCCATGAATCCTCTAAAGAAAAAGCATTTTGGCTGATATTTTGAGCACAGTCTTGTGAGACTCTGAGCAGAGAACCTGGCTAAGCTACGCCTGGCTTCCTGTCCCACAGAAATCATGAGATAATAAATGCGAATTGCTAAGTTTGTGATAATTTTTTATGTAGCAGTGGAAATTGAATACAACAACTATTCCACTAGATTCTCCAATTTATACCTGAAAACTCCTCTAGACCTATCATTTGGGGCTTCGCAAGTCACTGTTCTCTATGGCATCCTTTGCTGTCTGAGCTGTTCAGAGGCAGGCGGAAAGGAGTCACTGCCAGTCAAATTTTGTGATGAGTGACCACTCCCCACTAGGAAATGAGAAAGCTGCTGACCCAGAGGAGATCCTACAGAATACAGTAGAGATTTGCCAGCATACCTGAGAATCACAAACTCCATCGCTGTATCTGATTCTCTCAATTTGCCCCCAGAGGCTCTTGGTGGCATAGCTAGCTCCTGCAAGAGCTGAGAGAGGAACCCAAGTCTTCTGACACCCAGGCCAGTGTTCTCGACACTAGCTTGACCTCCACTGAGTCAAGGCAAGATCCCACCCAATAAACCATGATCATTATAGTCTCAATTCCATGGCATCTTATTAAAGTTCAAAAGAGCAAGAAGAGAAATTATCCAGTTTTCTCTGCCTTTATCACAGAGGCAGTTTTTTTCCCATGATAAATTAGTAATAACTCTCAGGCACATTTGGCAAGCCAAAGAAAAATGGGTTTTTTACAATGCATTGAATAAACATCTTCTGCTTGAATATCTCCTATACTTCACTGGCTTCAATACAGTAGAAGTTTATTGACGTACGTACTGCAAGCTATGTTTGAATGATTGCTTCATATATTATGCTATGCTACATTACATCGTGTTCCTTTTCTGCTTCCATAGCCCAAAGACTTATTGGAATCAGTTGTTTCAGACTCATAAAATATACATGACTTAAAAAAAAAAAAGATTATCATAGCAAGAATTTCACCAGTCTTTTGAAGCTGCATCCTTGATTATTTGTTGAAATTCATTTCATTTTTCTATCATTATCCCAGTGCATGTTAAGTCCTACCATCGAGTATAAATGTACAATCTGCTCAGCGAGGCAGTTTGTAATAAGCTAGCATGAAACAACGTTTTCAGTGTTATGGTTTGTTGACTTTTTTTTTTTTTAAGAAACTAACATCCATAAAGCAGAAAGTTTGTTTGAAAGTGTGAATTCTAAAATGAGCCTTTTCCTAAAGCAATTCCATCTAAAATTTAACTAAACTGTCTTGCCTTTATCAATAAACCATCTCCATTCCACACGGTAGACATTTTTAACAGGAAGATTTATGAGATTGTTGAAGCAGCAGGGTTGAGGAGAATGCACAGAAATTGGAGGCCAAAATCAATGTCTGGGTGTCCTGTTGCCCCTTCATTCTGCGGCACGCCAGAGGCCCATGTGCATGGACTCCTTTGCCTTCAGCAAGAGATCAAGGGTAGGGGTGGGGTTGTATGTTCAGCTCTCCTGATGCAGATGACCACAGGTGCTAACTTTCTTCTAGAGTCAGGGCACTCTTTCCACATGATGCCCCCTCTTGGTCTCTGCTGCAGGGTGATGACAGCTTCTCACTCCTGGTCTTGCTTCATCTTTGTTGTTTTTCCCTAAACACTACATGTCATTGTAAACAATGTGTTTTTAAACCCTCCTCCATATCAAATTTGAATGTGCCAGTTGTTTTTTTGCAGGGACCCATGATTGCACAGTTATGGTACTTGGGTATGTCATTTACATTACTTGTGCCTGTAATCCTCTTTTTCCTTTTCTAAAACTTAGGGGAAAATATTCCTGCTCAGATTGCTTCATGAGCTTATTAGTGTATAAAATGTGAAAATACACAGGTGAATGACTTTAAATACTTAACATTTTCATTCAATCCATGTATATTGAAGGCTTTGTTTATGCAAGACATTATAAAAAGTCATGATGCAAGAATACAAAAATGAATTCGGCATAATCTCTGCAAACTGATAACTATAGTGGAAGGCCATGGTGAAAACCAAAACTGATACCAACAATTTGACATGTGAGTTTAGTGTAGCTAAAATTGGGGGAAGAAGGGGTGTGAAAGCTTCCAGCAGAAGATGTCATGTGAACTGGATATGAAAGAATGTATGAAATTTGATGCCAGGATGGAATTGCTCATCAAGGATGAGAGAGTCATGCACAAGAGCAAGAGATCTGGCAAAGACTGGCCATCACCTGACAGGCTCCAAGTACTCCATGTGTTTTCTTATATGACAGGTTTCAAAATGAGAGTCATGTTCTTAATGGGCTGCTCCTGAGGCTCTAGCTCAGAGGTTGTTTCTTCAAGTGTGGTCCTGAGATCAGCAGCAGCCACCTTACCTGGAAACTCATCAAGAAAGACAAATCATCTGCCCGCCCCTGACCTGCGGAACTGGAAACTCTTGGCGTGGGTGGAGCTCACAGCCCTTGCTTAGCTTCGACCTCCTCCTCCAAACTGGAGATGACATCATCAACCTGGCAGGGCCACTGGGAGAATGACATGAGATAATACTGCCGAAATGTGAAACTAAAGACTGCTTCTCTTTAGTGAAGCTCTATTCACTGTCTCGAAGCTTCAGTGTACGGAGGGGGCGCATCCCACGGGCATTCTCTCCAGCTGCCCAGGTGGGTTTCATTCCCGTACTACACTCTGCTTCAGACTTACCGAGAGCCATTCTCCACAGCAGGACTTTCCTATCCTCTATTTGGGAGATTCCTTGGTCAATGTCTGTGTCACTGAGTCTCACTGATTAGACAATAGACCCCATGATGGGAGACACCTGGCTTTTTTTATTCCATTGGATACGTAATGACTATAGCACAGTATATACTCAGTAAATAGTTCTTGACTGACTGCATGAGAAGTCCCTGGAAATAGTTACTGAACTTTTAAATAATCATGCAAACAAGATCCAAAGAAATGTCACAAATAGCTCCTAACCCCTTAAAAACAAACAATTCCAGACACCTAGAATGAACAAAGCAGTGCTAAGTCACTTTTCTCATGAGATTTTTCACCAATAAATTGTGAAGGTGAGCGTCTTGGCCATTAAATACTGCCTCAGCCAGCCACTCTCTGCCATAACTTAACCACATTGTCCTGAGCTTGATCCTTCTGTCTCTATCTCTGTACACCTGGGACACCTTGCAGGCTCAGACTTTAACTCTGGTACCCTTGCACCTGTTCCGCCACCTGCCCCTCCACCGGGTTACTGTTTCTCTATTCCTGAATTGTGAGGCTGCCTTGGTGTGACTCTTTCTGTTTTATCCTCAGCTGCTATGGAGCATTTTCTCTCTCTCATTCATAAGTGTGTGTGTTTACAAACACATACTTACATTTCTTGTATGCAATGTGAGTATATATATAATGGCATATAGATAGATATAAACATATATCAATATAGATATAAATATACATCAATAAAGATTTTTATTTCATGATAAATAAAAATATATATCATGTATATAATGTGAGTATATGTATAATGGCATATAGATAGATATAAATATATATCAATAAAGATAGGCTATGTCCATGTTTGCTTTTTGTCTTCTGATAGTGGAAAAGGTGTGACTTTCTGACTCTATTTCTGTCAATTAGCAATTATCAAAAGGCATTTAGATGATTCAGCCATAACTGACTTCAAAACGCCAAATACGCTGCAGTCTGATTTCCCAATGCTTGAAAAATTGGGGTGTGATAACAAACTGACAGGATGATTGTCTGCTGCCCATGTCCTGCTCTATGACAGCTGGACTTTGGTACTTCCCAGAAAAATACCAACAGACATGGAGCCTGCAGAGGTCCTAGAATTCTTGCAGTGCTCAGTGCCTGACACAGTGCTTTTCAAAGTGTGGTCCCTGGATCAGCAGCATAAGCATCACGAGGGAACCTTTCAGAAATACAGACTCTGGGGCCCTACACTAGATCTACTGACACAGAAACTCTGGAGCCGGGCCTAGCAATATAATATTTGGCAAGATAAACTGTAACCCACTAGGAGTTTAAAAAATATATATATTTAACAAAATCTCTAAATGATTCTGATGCATACTGATATGGTTTGGCTGTGTCCCCATTCAAATCTCAACTTGAATTGTATCTCCCAGAATTCCCACGTGTTGTGGGAGGAACCCGGGGGGAGGTAATTGAATCATGGGGGTCAGTCTTTCCCATGCTATTCTGATAGTGAATAAGTCTCATGAGATCTGATGGGTTTATCAGGGGTCACTGCTTTTGCTTCTTCCTCATTCTTTCTTGCTGCCACCATGTAAGCAGAGCCTTTCACCTCCCACTGTGATTCTGAGGCCTTTCCAGTCTTGTGGAACTGTAAGTCCAATTAAACCTCTTTTTCTTCCCAGTCTCGGG
Organism: Homo sapiens; assembly: GCF_000001405.40. Classification (NCBI taxonomy): domain Eukaryota; kingdom Metazoa; phylum Chordata; class Mammalia; order Primates; family Hominidae; genus Homo; species Homo sapiens. The sequence continues at coordinate 7,390,393 of NC_000002.12, read as the reverse complement.
TATGTCCGTATCAACAGCATGAAAATGAACTAACACAGTAAATTGGTACCAGTAGAGTGGGGTGTTGCTGAAAAGATACCCAAAAATGTGGAAGCGACTTTGGAACTGGGTAACCGACAGAGGATGGAAGAGTTTGGAGGGCTCAGAAGAAGACAGGAAAATGTGGGAAAGTTTGGAATTCCTAGAGACTTGTTGAATGGCTTTGCCCAAAATGCTGAAAGAGATATGGACAATAAAATTCAGGCTGAGTTGGTCTCAGATGGAGACGAGGAACTTGTTGGGAACTGGAGCAAAGGTGACTCTTATTATGTTTTAGCAAAGAGACTGGCAGCATTTGGCCCCTGCCCTAGAGATTTGTGGAACTTTGAAGTTGAGAGAGATGATTAAGGTATCTGGTGGAAGAAATTTCTAAGCAGCAAAGCATCCAAGAGGTGACTTGGGTTCTTTTAAAAGCATTCCATTTTATAAGGGAAGCAGAGCATAAAAGTTTGGAAAATTTGCAGCCTGACTATGTGATAGAAAAGAAAAACCAATTTTCTGGGGAGAAATTCAAGCCAGTTACACAACTTCACATAAGTAGCAAGGAGCCTAATGTTAATCCCAAAGACCATGGGGAAAAGTCTCCAGGCCATGTCAGAGACCTTCACTGCAGCCCCTCCACTGCAGTCCCTCTCATCACAGGCCCAGAGGCCTAGGAAGAAAAAGTGGCTTCATGGGCCAGGTCCAGGGTCCCCATGATGTGTGCAGCCTGGGGACTTGGTGCCCTGTGTCTCAGCTGCTCCAACTTTGGCTGAAATGTGCCAAAGTGGAGCTCAGGCTGTGGCTTCAGAGGGTGGAAGCCCTAAGCCTTGGCAGCTTCCACATGGTGTTGAGCCTGTGGGTACACAGAAGTCAAAAATGGAGGTTTGGGAACCTCTGCCTAGATTTCAGAAGATATATAGAAACGCCTGGATGCCCAGGCAGAAATTTGCTGAAGAGGTGGTGCCCTCATGTAGAACTCTGCTAGGGCAGTGTGGAAGGGAAACATGAGGCCCAAGCCCCCACACAGATCCCCTACTGGGCACTGCCTAGTGGAGCTGTGAGAAGAGGGCTACTGTCCTCCAGACCTCAGAATGGTAGATCCACTGAAAGCTTGCATCATGCACCTGGAAAAGCCACAGACACTCAATGGCAGCCTGTGAAAGCAGCCAGGAAGGAGGCTGTACTCTACAGAACCACAGGGCCAGAGCTGCCCAAGACCATGGGAACTCATCTCTTGCATCAGCATGACCTGGATGTGAGAGACCTGGAGTCAAAGGAGATCATTTTGGAGCTTTAAAATTTGACTGCCCTGCTGGATTTCGGACTTGCACGGGCCCTGTAATCCCTTTGTTTTGGACAATTTCTCCCATTTGGAATACCTGTATTTACCCAATACCTGTACCTCCCTTGTATTTAGGAAGTAACTAGCTTGCTTTTGGTTTTACAGGCTCATAGGCAGAAGGGACTTGCAATGTTTCAGATGAGACTTTGAACTGTGGATTTTGGGTTAATGCTGAAATGAGTTAAGGATTTAGCGGACTGTTGGGAAGGCATGACTGGTTTTGAAATGTGAGGACATGTGATTTGGAGGGGCCAGGGGTAGAATGATATGTTTTGGCTGTGTCCCTATCCAAATCTCAACTTGAATTGTATCCCCCAGAATTCCCACATGTTGTGGAAGGGACTCAGGTGGAGGTAATTGAATCATGGGGAATGGTCTTTCCTGTGCTATTCTCATGATAGTGAATAAGTCTCATGAGACCTTATGGGTTTATTGGGGGTTCCACTTGTGCTTCTTCCTCATTCTCTTGCTGCTGCCATGTAAGAAATGCCTTCCACCTGCCGCCATGACTCTGAGGCCTCCCTAGCCATGTGGAACTGTAAGTCCAATTAAACCTCTTTTTCTTCCCAGTCTCAGGTATGTCTTTATCAGCAGCGTGAAAACAGACTAATACACATACTCAAGCATGTGAGCCACTGTCCTAGTTAAATATTTGATACTAATCGTGTACCAATATTGTCTATGATTAAAGAGAAGAAGCTCCCTGCACATCTATTTCACCAAGTAGCTATATTGGGGTAAGAGATAAGCTGAAGCCAGGGGCAAGGTTTTAAGCCAATTATGGTATTGATTCCATAGCCAATCATCCACCCTATAGAGGCATCATATGGAATGCTGGGTCCATGTTTTTAAACAACTTAAGGAATGGATGATGGTCAGGAGGGGGGTCACTGGGAGGCTCTGTGGTGGCAACCAGTGGCTGTGTCAGTGTTTACTGCCTGACAGAAGGGCTGCTTGGGAAAGAGTCAGAACTGGAAGTCTGTAGGATGCAGAGCCTTCTGCGTGTATGCCCCCAGGTCCTCACTGGCTCCCATGACCCTGTGAGGTGGCAGAACAATAGCAGTCATCTCTTATTCCATACTCCATTGACTTTCCTAATTGGTTGATATAAAAATGAAGGCAAACCTAAGGTTGCTATCACAACCTCCCCCATCTTCCCACCCCCACCATCACCAGGCTGGCAGCTTCCAAACCAGCCTTGGCTTGGGAGAACTGTAGACTTCAGGGGTGTATTTGTCCATTCTCTCATTGCTACAGATAACTACCTAAGACTGGGTAATTAATGAAGAAAAGAGGTTTAATTGACTCACAGTTCCACAGGCTGTACAGGAAGCATGGCTGGGAGGCCTCAAGAAAGTTACAATTATGAAAGAAGGTGAAGGGGAAGCAAACAGGTCTCACATTGTCAGAGCAGGAGAAAGAGAGGGGTGGTAGTGGTGAGGGGGTGTTACACACTTTTAAACAATCAGTTATCCTGAGAACTCTATCATGAGGCAGCACTACGGGGATGGTGCTAAACCATTAGAAACCACCCCCATGATCCAATCACCTCCCACCAGGTCTCACCTCCAACACTCAGGATCACCATTCAACATGCGATTTGGGTAGGGACACAGTGAAACCGTATCAAAGGTCAGGCAGGAAAAAGCACATTTCCAATCAGCATGAGGTTCCTGAGGTCTCTAAACTTTCAAAAGGTAAGCGCCACTGAACTGGACTAGGGATTCCATTGCCACCCATGAACACTCATGCCCCTTGGGAACAGCACCCAAGGCAGGTAGACAGTACATGTCCGGTGGGCCTGGATTCCAACTGGGGCTCTCCATTTAATAGCCGAATGAATTTGAGCATTAAGCCTCCCTGAGGCACAGTTTTCTCATCTGTAAATGGAGAGAATTCTATCCAACTCAAAGGATATGTATTAGTGAGGATTCTCCAGAGACACAGAGCCAATAGGATACATAGAGAGATAACAAGAAGGGACTTACGGGAACTGTCTAACATGATTATGGAGAACCGGGGTAGCTGGCAGGGTGACTCAGTCCATGCCCAAAGGCCTCAGAATCAAGGAAGCTGATGGTGTAACTTTCAGTCAGCACTGAAATCCACTGGGGCCAGGAGGGAAACCATGGCACTGTTGCAGGTCTTGGAGTCCAAAGGCCAGAGAACTTGGGCTTCTGATGCCCAATAGCAGGAGGAAAAAGTCTGTTCCAGCTCCAGAAGAGAGAGAGAAAGAATTAGCCTTTCTTCTGCTGTTTCGATCTATCCAGGCCTCAGCCAATCCGAGGCCCACCCACATAGGGTGCCTGCAGATCTTGCCCCGTCCACTGATTCCAATGCCAGTCACTCCTGGAAATGCACTCACAGACACACCCAGAAATAATGCCCCACCAGCTATCTGGCATCCCTTAGCCCAGTAAAATGCACACCTAAAGTTGATCATCACAGAGTGAGAGTGAAGAATAAGTGATAGAAAGGGCCTAAGAAAAATGTTGCCATTGTCGTAGGAGCTCAATATTTTCTTCCCTCTCCTTGAAACTTTGGCGACCAGGACATAAAGGAGGTATGAATTCAAATCATTTCCAAATATATTCTCACATGCTGCTAGTGTCTGGCTCTCAGAATCACTCACCTGTTTCTTCATTTATCTACCTGTTCATCCCCTGCTATCCTGTATGTTATCAGCCATCTCAAAAGTGTGGGCCAGCCTCTGCCATGTGCATGAGAGGCCTGCGGGACAGAGGCACCCGGGAAAGGCTCCTCTCCCACTCCCACACCTCCTTCCCTTAATAGCTCATCCTTCCACCTTCCACCCCTGATGCTGAGAATTTATCTTACTTTTTCTCTACTCAGACATTTAGATCTCTAATGCAGATGGGATTTATTATAATAAACTTTTAAAGACAGGTATTGTGTATCTATTTATTTCCTACTAGAATCCAATAGTCTCTCTCTCTCTCTCTCCTTATTTCTTTCTGTCTCCTTTATCTTTCTGTCTTCCCCCTTCTCTCTCTCTCCTCACTCTTTCTTTCTCTCTCTACTTCTCACTCCTCCATCTCTGTCTCCCTCACCTGCTCTCTCTCTCTCTCTCTCTCTCTCTCTCTCCCTTCCTTCCTTCTCCTGCTCCACAGCCTTTAATAGGGTGCTCTGGATCTAGCAGGCCCTCATTTTCTGTGGTTATAATGTGGATTAGAAAACCAAGAAATGAGGCTGTCTTCCTGGCCTGAAGAAAATGGTTGGAAAAGTGTAAGTAGGAAGTCTCTCAAGTTGGCTCTTCGTCTTTTCTATGCATTTTTTGCAATTATTGTCTATAGTCCATTTATAAAAAACTCTACCTATTGTATAGCTTCAGCTTTAAGTCCAAAGTGCTGCATTTTTTAAAAAACACATCTATATTTAAAGTAAACGCATAGAGATGGATCCAGAAGTTGCAAAGATTATTTACATCAAACCCTGAAGTTGGAGCAGTTTCAAGAAACCCCAAATGCCTGTAGTTTTTCCCTCCCATGTGTTCATTAAAGTCCTGAAATGGAGTAGTCAGACTGCTTGGTTAATTGAATAAGTGGTTATTTGACCAGTCAATGAAAGACTGATAATAACAGATAGTTTGGGGGTGGTGGTGGACTAGGTTGTATTTGCTTGAAACAAACAAATGTAGACCTCTGTGGAGTGGAAACAGTTCACTCTGGTGCCTTTCAGGACAACGTTTCTGATGGTTAAGTTTCCCCAGGGAGGAAACTTTAGGGCACAGCCACACTTCTGCTTTATCTGCTGAAAGCGGTCACCTTATGTCCACAAGTTTTTTTTTCTCCTGAGGTTGGGCACAGCAGATGCTGGATAAATCAAGACAAACCCCACGTTTTACACCCCTCAACTCCCACCCAATGTGCCAGCCCAGCAGAAACATGTGCAGTTTCCGAATAGCACCATGAATTTGCACATATGGTTTTGACGTCCTAACATATTTTTGTCTCCTTTATTTGACTATCTCTTACTTGGTTTTTAGGATCTGGTGGAGAAGCCCTTCCCTTCAGGAAGCCTTCCGGCACCGCGCCCACCCCAGCCGCAGGCTCCAACACCTCTCATAGCTGCTGTCACGCTCCCTGTGTCTTCTTGCCTTTGTGTCCATCCAACTGGACAGGGAACTCCATGAGGCCAGAGAGTGTCTCCCAGCATTATACCCCTGGAAATATTTTTTTTTTTATTTTTAATTGAGGTAAAATACACAAAACGTAAAATTTATCATCTTAACCATTGTCAAGTGTACAGTTCAGTAATGGTAAGTGTGTTCAGGTTGTTGTGTAACCAGTCTCCAGAATCTTTTTTAATTTTTCAAAATTGAAACTCTGCACCCATGAAACAACAGCTCTCCGTTTCTCCCTTCCCCCGGTGCCTGGAAACCATTATTCTATTTTTTATCTCTAGGTACCTCATGTAAGTGGAATCCTATCATATCTGTCTTTCGGGACTGGATTATTTCACATAGTAATACCCTCAAGTTTCATCCGTGTTGTAGCATGCATCAGAATGTTCTTCCTTTTTAAGGCTGAATGACTATTCTATGTATATATCACATTTTGTTTTTTCATTCGTGAGTCAGTGGACATTTTTTGGCTATTATAAGTGATGCTGTAATGAACATGGGTGTACAAACACCTATTCAAAATCCTTATTTCAATTCTTTTGGATATGTCTCCAGAAGTGGAATTGCTGGATTCTATTTTTAACTTTTTGAGGAACCTCTATGCTGTTTTCTGTAGAGGCTGCAGCATTTTACATTCCCACCAACAGTGCATGCGTATTACCATTTCTCCATGTTCTTGTCAACAGTCGTTACTTTCTTTTTATCTTTATAGTAGCTAACCTAATGTGTGTGAGGTAGTATCTCTGGCAAATTTTCAGTGAATGATAAACATGGACCAAAAAAGATGGATTTCAAACTTACTTCTGATGATATTGAAGTGGCTATTTCCAGCATGGATGGGAGGAGACCAAAATGTGTGCACAAAGACAGCTTCTCATTATCCTTAGTGGTTTTCAGTCTTGGTGCTCACATTTGAGAGATCCATGTTGCTTCAAACCCTAAAAAACTGAGGCAAGATATGAGACCTGCTCTTCTGATTATTGCAATGGTAAGACATGAGACCAGGGACTGCTTAATTTCCCACACAGTGCTCTGCCAATCTGCCCTCTCTCCTGTCATTCATCTCATCCTCGGTGCTTTGTGTGAAGGTCCCTGCCCACTGTGATTTCATGAACTGAGCAGACCTAGCTAAAAACTGAAACTTAGGATCAGACCAGAGCAGTCAGAATTCACAATTCACTCCACTTATCCTAAAAATATCTTCTTTCAGTATTGCATCTGCCTCCAAAACTACTGCCCAACCTCCTCCCTTCTCCATTTTTTTTCTGGATAATTGAGATGAGCAAACACTAGTTGAGTTTATCATGGACAAGGCAATGCTCCAGTAAGTTTGCATATATTAACATACTTACCATTTATGAGAACGTACAAAATAGGTTATCACTGACATCATCATCATCGTTGTTTTCTAGATGAGGAAACTGGAACACAGGGAAGTTATGTAACTTGCTCAAGATCACAGTGAAAAGGTGGTAAAGCCAAAATTCAAAGCTAGGCAGCCTGGATTGAGAGTTGGCCATCTTAATCCCAACACAGCTGATAAAATACTCTTACACTATTTCATTCATACCCTTCTCTTCTTTACCAAAATTACTAAAAGAATAGTTTTCATTTGCTTCTTTCATTTCTTCCCCTCCATTTACTCTTCATTCCACCACATACAGCCGTACCCTCTACTCCTGCTCCCTGTGTCTCCTATGATCCCCTGGACCCCGCCCACCAGCCCTGGGCATCACCACCCTCATTTCTAACCATTAGCTCACACTCAACACGCCAGAAATTGAAAAGTGGGAAATTTGGGGAAAATTTTTCCCTAAACCTGCTGCTTGTTCTATCCCCTCTCTCTAAGCATGGTGACGTTGTCCATGCTCTTAACCCTAGCCAGACATCTGAGCCTTATCCTCTCTCACCTCATTTTGATGATGTCAAGACTAAGACTAATGTATTTTAAGTTGGCAAATGTAACTATTACCTTCCCGTTTTAGTTTTGCACTCTTTTTCTCTCCACTTTATGGCAGACAGAAATTTAGTAGCATTTTGAAGGCAGCCATGGACCAGCACTGTCTGTCCCACTGTTTTTCAGCAGACACAGGCATTAATCCAGACCTGGGATTGCCATCCTGTGAGAACACACAAAGGAAGACATTCGGTGAAGAGGTACCCTCTTCCAGAGGTGCCCCAAAAGGGCAGACCATGGCAGCCTCACCTTTCTGGTTTTGAACTAGGTCCCTCTTCTTGAGGGCAGTGCAATGGAATAGAGACAGCACCTCCCTGGGCAGCAGGGGAGCTGGCTCCAAGCCACACGCTGGTGCCATGACCAGCTGCCTACCTGATGCCCCTAATCTTCAGTTCCCTTCTCTGTGAATTGCCAGCATTAACTCTCCTGAATGCTGCACCACAGGCTGCAGCTAAGCACTTTGTGAGTTTCAAGGAGAACTCAGGGGTGAGGGGGTCCTTTCTCCTTGACAGAATCTGCAGACTGTGGTCACAGTTTCCTAGCAACCGTCTCCATCAGGTGGGAGTCACAAGAACACACATATCGGGTGGAAGAGTGGATTTTCCTTTCTCATTTTCCTATGATTGGTCTTAATAATGAGGGAAACCAAAGAACGCATAGGAGTTTTCCTGAGCTATTTCCTCCGCTGATGAAGACGTGGCTTTTCTGTGTCCCCAGTGTCCCCTTATGCACCTCTTGGGACATGGAGATTAAGGAGCAGAAGACATGGGCATTCTGGGCCCTGGGGTCACCCTGCAAGCGACACCTTCAGACCCTGTTTTCCATTCCTCTTGTGTCCACCAGGCCCAATCCTATTCAAAGCTGCTTGGGTCACCTCAGATTAAGTCACTGCTATAAATAGAATTTTGTCCCCCCAAAATTCCTATGTGGAAGCCCTAGCCCGCAATGCGATGGTAGTTAGAGACAGGGCTTTGGGAGGGTCATTAGGTTGAGATGAGGTCATGAGGGTAAGGCTCCCATGATAGGATTAGTGCCCTTATAAGAAACAGCTCTCTCTCCATCTCTTTGTCTTTCTCTCCCTCTCTTTCTCTGCAGATGCACCAAGCAAAGGCCATGTGAACACACACAATATGATGTCTGTTTACAAGACAGGAAGAGATGCTTCACCAGAGCATGACCTTGCTGGCACTATGATCTTGGACTTCCAGTCTCCAGAACTGTGAGCAAGTACATTTCTGTTGCTTACGCCAACAGAAGTGTGGAATTTTACTATGGCAGCCCTAGCTGACTGAGACACTCGCCATTCTCTTTGAAACTAGATGCCACCAATGTGAAAGTCCTTACATTTTCCTGTGAAGTCTCCACATGTGCATGCTGAGCTCCTGAGAACAGACCCTGTCTTATATGTGACTCTAGTCACAGGCACTTCTGAGTACCTGCTCTGTTAGCCACTGTGCTAGAGGGAACTGAGATGAATCCTGCCTCATGGAATCCAGAGGAGATAGCTGTGCATGCTAAGAACTAGAATGATACACAGAATGCCAGGCAACCTCCACTATAAATGGTATGAAGGGCCTGATTCTTAGAACTTCTTTATCAGGTTTGCTTTACTGATTGAAAAACAATCTAGAATATCAGTGTAAAAAGTTAAAAAAAAAAAAAGAGTTTAGAGGAATAGAGTTTGCCCAAGACAGTTAGAGGATACAGTCCCCAAGACCTCTCTTACTTCTGACATGAACCTCAAGGTTGGCGGGGGGATCCACAAACTACCCTCAGTTTTGAAAATTTACTAGAAGGGCTCACAGAACAGTTACACCCATGGCTTTGGTTTATTGCAGGGAAAGGATACAGATTAAAATCAGCCAGAGGAAGAGATGCTTAGGGCAGAGTCTGAGAGGGTTTCAAACAGAAGCTTCAACGGCCCTCTCGCCTTGAAGTGAGTTCACCTCACCCTCCTGGCATCAATGTGTGGCGATAGGCAGGGAGTGCTGTCAACCAGGAAAGCTCTCCTGGGTGTCTCTATTCAGTCTTCCTGGAGCTCTAGTCTGTAGGATTGAATGAAACACTTGAGGTGGTGATTGTTTTGTCCCTGAGTCACTGGATCTGGATGACTCTTATCAAAATTGATGAAGGGGACGATAGGGGACTGGGGAATTTCTTTAATAAGCTGGAGGCAGGAATAAATTGCCATTTAAGCCTCACTCCCAGGCTGAGTCCAGAAAAATTATTTTTAGGTGTGTATCTATGCTAGGCTGTAGGGTAAATACAATAGGCTAGAGAAAGAAAAGTTATTTCTTAGAAGTCAAGTATTCATGAAGTAGGCATAAAATAAAACTATTCAACTAAGTGCTTTGGATACATAGTAGAAAAAAGATATAAAAATATTTTGAATCTAAGAAAGTCAAGACGTTATGTGACTCAAGATGGTCTGCATGTGACAATAGTTGCCAAAGCATGTATTGTGTTGGAACCGCTCACCACACCATCAGCTGAAAGAAGGTTGAGACATTTGGTGTCATATCTAAAGACCTTTTTGATCTGGCCTCGGCCTATTTTCCTTGGGGGTTGAGTGCTTTCTCTCACCTCCTTTGCCTTTGCACATGGTTTTCAATCTATCTGAAAGGAAACGTGAGCCAATACTACCACTACCAAAGTCTTTTGGCCTTATGAGCACCATGTTTTCTCAAGCCTCACCCCATGTATAAAGCCATCCCCAACTCCTCCAGGTATAGTCTTGGGACATTGACTTCCACAGCTGTTCTTCACCTACCTTCCCCAGTCTCCACAGAACCACCACCACCACCACCACCACCACCACCACCACCACCACCACCACCATCACCACCACCATAACCACCACCACCGGCAACTCCAATGTCATGGCTTTCCTGAAGCCCGTGCAGTGTCCCTAGATGGTGCCCCTGCTGCGCTTCCTTCCCATGCTCCTCTTGAGAGAGATGTCCATACTCCCACATGTAGCAGAGTTTATATAGAGGCTTATACTCACTCCACTGCCAGACTGCAATCCTTGAGAAGAAACACAGATGTTTGATTCATTGTTGTATGCCTACAATGACCAGCATCTAATAAGAAAACTAGCATTGATAGAAGGAGAGAAAAGAATAGAGCAACTCTGCAAGAATATAGGTTGAATAAGTATGTGTTGGCTGAACAATGTAATTTTATTAACGAGGATACGTTTTACCACTATTTACATAGAGGCTATTGTACTCTGCTGGAACTCTCATTGCATTAGTTTCCTAAGGGCTGCCCTAACAAAGTACTACATCCTGGGTAGCATAAAATAAGAGGAATGGCTCCTCTCACAGCGTTGGAGGCTAGAAGTCAAGTCAGGGCACTGGCAGGGTCATAATCCCTCTGAAGCCTCTAAGGGAATCTCCTTCCTTGTCTCTTCCAGCTACTGGTAGCCCCAGCCTTCCCTTGGCTTGTGATACACAACTCATATCTCAGCTTCTATCCCCACATAGCTGTCTTCACATAGTCTTCACTCTGTGGACACCTGCCTTCACATTTTCTTCTTTTTATAAAGACACTTGTTCTATTGTATTAGGAGCCCACCTCACTCCAGGATGACTTCATTTTAACTTAACTAATTACATCTGTAACATGACTTAGTTTCCAAATAAGGTTGCATTTTGAGTTTCTGGGGTTAAGACTTTCACATATATTTTTGGAAGACATGATTTAGCTTAATACTGGTTTTACTCTTGCATAGACAGGGTGATTTATACTTTCTTGCAGTGTCTATGTAACTTGAAGCCTTAATTCATTAAGATTAGTGTGATTTTTATTTTGTTACTTTTTCTTCATCCACTCATTTCCTTTGTCACTTTAAAATATATATATATTTTAAAGTTGAGACAGCAGCCAGGGCTGTAGGCAGAGCCTGACTCTGATGGCCCTCTGGCCCTTCAGATGGGCAGTTTCTCAGTGGCAATGACAAGAAACCCAGGCAGCCACACGCACACACATGCCACATGGCTTTGCAAACGAGCGGTAGAGGCAGGAATATCTTCAAAGCATATGGAAAGCAGGGAGATGAGGAGGTGCGCTGGAGCCAGGACAGTGACGAGCTTCGCAGGGCTCTGGCGTGCAGGGGAGGGGACAAAAATAACCAGCAAATCCCTTCTCTGCGGAGAACCACCAGTGAAGAGGATCGACAGACAAGTGACGGGAGGAAACAGGACGTGGATCTGGGCTTGCAAACCGGACAGGTTGTGGCTCCAGATGGCAAAAAAGGAAGAAAAGGAACCATGAGCAACAACAACAGTTTTATTCAGTTTGAACATTTACAAAGTTTTCTTTAATTATTACTCCCTTCTGGGACTCCAGCTGCACAAAGAGTTGAGGGCAGACGCACCAGGGAGGCCGGCTAAGCCAGGAGCTGGCGGCACAGCATCTACTGAGCCCGGCCAGCTCGGGACATGAGTGGGCAGGAAGCTCTTGATTGTGTTTTCCAAGGGACTCAGGTGACAGTCTGTCAGGACGTGTGGCTTGGGTTTCTCTCCCTCAAGGTACAAGTGCTTTGAGCTGCGCTGAGCAGACAGCTGGGCTGAGAGTGGTGTGTCTCACTCCTGGTCAGTCACTGCCCCTGGGGGCAACTGCGTGAACGGCTGCCTGGCAGGATTTTCCAGGCCTCTGGCAAAGAGCCAGAATATGCACTGTGCAGAAGAAGCCAGGCACACTGGATGGGAGTGTGGAGAAAGCAAGAGTGGATGTTTTCAAAATATTCCTCTGCAAAGACAGAAACTCCCAGGGCAATGTCAGTTCCTCACCTGCAGTTGAGTGTGTGTGTGTGTTTGAAAGGTAGGACTGCGCCCTGCCAGAAGTACAGGGGGTGGAGGCTGTGGAATGCAGCCTGAGCCTCGCTAATCTCTGCTCAGAGCCCAGGACAGCTGCTGCTGCTCTGAGAGCCTGGGTCTTCTCATATGCCCCGCAAGTTCCAGTCCTCTGGAGAGAGAAGTCTGAGGTATGCACACACAGAGGGCAAGGCTGCTATCTGCTCGCACAAAAAGCACATTTACCATCACCCAAAAAGTGCATCCCCAGGCAGGCCTGGGCCGCTATCTTTTCAGTTGAAACCATGACAAGTCACGTTCACAGGTGTGGATGCCAACAGATTCTAACCCAAGCATGAGAGTCTTTGACTTGATTAAAATGTTGCACCACATGCAGTAGAGATATATGGTGTTTCTTGGTACACATCTGTATGCATTCCTCTGCCAGTTGCCCATCTTTGCTGCATAATATTTCTCTATGATATGAAATTATTTTAGACTCCAAATAATTATACCTTGCTTTAATGGAGTGTTTTTATTTGAGAGATCAAAATCTTCAGTGCCGTCATGAAATTGTTTTCTTTGTCCTTACAGAATATTTCTTTTTCTCCTATGCATGCCCCACTGCATATAGAGGTGTCGTAGACTCTGAACTCCTTGAAGATATGGTCCAGTCTTAGCATGATCTGTTTCCTCATTTCCCAAAACAGAGCTGGATACAGTAAGAACCCAGTGATTATTTATTACAGCAAACACAATGAGAGCCAGGCACCCTAGGTGTGAACTCAACAAGCCTGTGGACATGAAGTTGATGCTATCAGTCACCAAATAACCTCTGAGAAACACAGAGTACAGAGTCAGCATAGCAACCTCTAAGGGCAGGGCCTGAGTCCCACGAATCTCAAGGCCAAGGTGGTGGAGTGATCAGTTGTTGGTAGGTGTCATCTGACGGGAGGAGTGGGAGCCTGGAGGAGAGGCAGGGTGCCCTGCCAGATAGGTCTTTGACTGAAAGCCATGCTGATTCTGATGACAGTTTTTGGTGATTTTGGATAAATCTCTTGGTCCATCAGGGAAGACATTCCAGGTGAAGAGAATGCCCCGAAAAAAAATGAGAATGGTCATTTCTGATGACAACATAAGGAAGCCAATTTGCAGGAGTGAAATGTGCTGGAGATAAAGAAGTATGTCAGCTTCCAGCAATATCTTCTCCACTGAGCAGGGAAGACCACTCAAGGCTCAGACTCTGAAATGATGTGAGTCTTCAGAGGTTGTACCACTTCCCTAATGAGAACACACCAAAACCTCCACATCAGCAATGGGTCATTCTGTCTTTCAGCTAAAAAAAAAAATCATTGAAATTTCAAAAAAGGCAGTGTAAGGGGCAAAAACATTTTGGATGTTATCATCTCAAAGGTTGCAGCAGATTCTAGGAACAACAGGGAAGTCTCATGTGCACAATGCAGGGGCCCATGCCCTGAATGCTTCAACCAACTCTGGTTTCATAGAGAAAATGGAGAAATGCTCACTCCAAGGCCAGCTTCGATGAGCCTGACATTGAACAAGATACACATGCTGGCTGCCTTGGATGGCAGCTAGGACCGTTCCATTTATTCCAGGGCAACTAGAGTGTGGTCTGGAGGCCCAAATGTCTCTTGTCTCTCACACACTCTGGAGTCTCAAGCCCTGTTGACCACCCGGCCTTTGTATTGGACTCCTTTTATCTCTTCCCTTGGTCTGCAGGCACAGCAGGGCTGCTCAGAAAGCCCTCTCAAGACTATGTTAAGTAAACCGAAATTCCATCATATTACAGTCTCTCAAAATAATGAAGGCGTTCTACAGACCAACATGTGGGTGATTTAGATGCTTCACTGTCAGCCATAGACTGAGGGAAGGTTAGAACTTCTTGTCCTCACTTTGCACAATGGGCAGCAGAGGTCTTGAAGGGAAGAGACACACCAGGGTCACACAAGGAATGGGAGGCAAGGCAGGGACTCTAGGCCTGGCTTACAGCTCCCAACCCAGTGACTTCAGCACCAGATGGTTGCCAGGCACTGAGCATGGTGAGTTCACTGGCAATGAAACAGCATCCCAGGAAAGGCTTCCAAGTATTATAACTAATTAAAGGTTTGCATGAAGTTGGATGGTTGGCATTGAGCTGCTCATGCTTTTGACATTTTTCCAGATTAAAAATAATCCACCATTCATTGTATCAGAGATCTTCCATGTGCCCTCAGTTCTCAAAAGTGATTCCAGCCTTGGTCTCCCTTTTGCTAAACTAGTACTGTTTTGGCCCAAAGTGAAAACTCGGCAAATAAGGCAATTGGAACAGATTGGGATTGCGAGGCAGTTTTTCTTTTGGATTCTTTCTCTTCCTGCCACCTTTTCTCTTCCTCTCTTCTTTCCCTGTGTTGCTTTCCTTTAGTGTGTTACAATCAGAGAGACTGAGGCTCTTCAGAAATTCAGAATTTTGTCCAGTGGAAATACTGGCGTGAACACAAGACTCATTCATTAATTCATTTTGGCATTCAGATGATCAGTTATTCTTTTATTCTTCAAGTCAATAAACAGGCACTGAGCACTAACTCTCCGTAAAGTGTTGTTCTAGGAACCAGAGATACAAAAGGGAGTAGGGCCTGGCTTAGGCTAGACTCTAGAAAATAGAGTCTGAGGCAATGTTTGCATATTATTTCAATCCCAGAGAAGCCAGGATGAAGGAACAGGGCATTGACAAGAGAAGAAGGGCAAATACAAAGTGGGCATTACCCAGCTGACCACTGCTTCCCAGAGACTCACCATGGTTCTGGGCATCCCATGGGACATCTCTGGGTAAAAGGTACAGTAACACCACACCTGGGAGGCATTCAACAGGAAGAATAGAGAAAGGTGTGCTTCCTGGCTCTCCCCAGGCTCTTGGGCCCCATGAGTCACAGTTTGTCTTGCAGGATGTCAGCTCCCCTGAACCTCTGGGCTGGGCCACCTGAGTCCTTGGGCAGCTACTGAGAAAGTGGGATTTTATGCCCTGGATATGGCCATTCTTCTGATTCCAGGATCCAGCAGATAACTGAGGGCATGAAAGACAGGTGAGGCCTGGAGAATCCAAGGTCACAGGTACACAAAGTCGAACAATGGTCTTTAAAGGCTTCAGGGTCAGTGTGGGAGAATGAGAAATAATAACAGTAAACTACTATGTACTAAAGCACCAGCAATGTGTAAGGCACTGTGGTAAACACTCTATATGAATTATTTAATTTAATATTCACCAAGAATAACAGGTGATTTCTACAAATAACGTGGATTAGAAAACTAAAACATATAATACTGATGATTTATCCAGGCTGTTTAGCTGGCAAGCTATAGAGCTGACAGTCACATGCACAGGACCTGTGGTTACTTCCCAGGTTTCCTCCTAGTTATTGCCACAAGGCAATGCCAGTGCTTTCTTAGGGCCCTGTTAGTGTCTTCAGGGGTTAACCCTGAAGGCTGTGGTCTCGGAGGCTATGTGGCAAAGGCATGGATGGTGGCCTCCTCTAGAGCTGCAGGTGCCATGGTCCCCATCACCCTTGGTGCATACTTTGAACTTGCTCTGACAATGCAGGGAGTGGGGGCGGCTAGTGGTAATACTAGAGTGTTTTCTCTAGAAATTTAAAACAAGCAAATGTATTTACACTCTACAAATTCAACACTTAGAACAGTGCAGAATAATAGAGACTTTAGGTCGGTGTTGAGTTTCTGAAGGATCTCCATGTAGATAGGGAAATTTTTCTTCACCAGGGTTCAGAACAAGTTGAGAACTAAAATAAAAGAATGGCAGGTTGAAGCCAAGATAAGCCCTGGATCACTGTGGTGTCTATGTTGACAGACATAGGCAGTGTGAGAGCCCAAGGGTCCTGCTAGGAAGTGTGATGCCAGGTTTAGGCATTTAACTACCATCCCTCATGGAAGCATGGATCTTAGCCTCCCCAAACCAAAGACATCCATGAAGAGCAGCTCCACACCATCCTCCAAGGAGCAGGGGAATAAAAGGGAGAAGTGATTTGGATATTGTTTGATACCCATTCCGGTCCGCAATTTAGAACTCACCAATGTAAGAGTGTTCTGTGAGCATTTAGAGAGGAAAGCAGGATTTACCGAGCTATTTGACTGCATCTGTAAAAGAAGACTGTCTAGGACAAGGGAAGAGAGAGAAACACTCCATCTTGGGCCATAAATTCACTTTGGGACACCATCTCTTCAGTGTGATAACCTGGAGGTCATTCAAAATAGAATATCAAAATAGTGGATATGTTCAAAGCAACATTGTAAGAGAAGGAATAGCATAATCAAATTGTTGCTGTTTTGCTATTTTTTACAGTTTATTATTTTAAAATGTAAGTTTCTGTATAATTTTCACTATTAGAACTAAATATTCATGGGAATCAGTGTTCACTCTTCCCCCCCTTTCTTTGTTAAGTTTTCATTTTATTTTTAATAGCTTCATTCAGATATAATTAACATGCCATACAACTTACCCATGTAAAGTGGATAATTCAATTTTGTTAGTGTACTCACAGAGTTGTATCACCATTATCTCAATAAAATTTAGAACATTTTTATCAAAAAAAGGGGGGGAGAAGTGAGACCCAGAGGCTAGGAAAACCCTTCCCCTGGAAACCATTCCTGTATAACAGTAGGCTAAGCCAGGTTAAAGGGACTACAGAGCTCCCAAGCCATCTAAACTTGATGGAAGCCTATTTATAGCACAAGCCTGGATAAGGGGAATCTGTGAGGGGAGACTCCTGGGGTGAATGTGAGAACATTCCATTTGTAGAGCACCTGCCATGTGCCAGGCTCTGAGCCAGTTGCTTTCTCCAGACCATGTCTAATCTTCGCACACTCTAGAGGTGGGTATTACCACTATTCTCATTTCACAGGTGAGGAGCTGAGCCTCACAGATGAAGTTAAGTGTATGAAGACCACATGGGTAGAGGGACTTAATCCCAAGCCTGGGTGGCTTTCTATGGTCATGATTTTACATGTCTGAATTGCTGGTGCCCATCCAAACTCTGCCAGAGGAGGACTGTGCCCCTGCCTAGATAGAGGCCAGTTGCAAGGTAGAAGCCCCCAGTGGTTTCAGCCTGATGCCAAGGACAGTTTTTTCCTTTACTACATCTCTCTGCTTGGGTTGCATTCTCCACAAGCAGCCCTCTGATTATGATTTGGCTCCCATGGGGCTTTTCTACAGGTAGGGATTGTGATAGTCTTACAGGAGTGTCTGTATCTGGTCTTTCCAACAGATGCAGCTCCCCCTGCAAATTAATAAATCATGATTCTGGTTATGACCATTGGTGTCTGGGGGATTGGTTTGTCTTGATCAGCATCCCTGAGTCTAGTTAACCCTGGGGTCCTCGGGAGACAAGTTCACAGACCTGAAGGCCAAACACTGGCAGAGCCAGTGGGATTTAGGGGACCTGGAAGCTCCTATAGACACCTCCTTTAAAATCGGTCCCACCTTCACCTTCAGACATCCACCCACTATGTCAAAGCACCCAGACCATCTCCTCTTCATTTTACAACTGCTTTATGGCTGTAATAAAAGAAAACAGGGATTTATTTAGGCTGTATAGTGTGTTCATGTCATGCATTCTCAAATAAAAAAACACACACACACGCAAGGTGCCAGGCACTGTGTCATGTTATTACAATCCAGAGATGACAAAGACAGAGCCCCTGCCTTGAAAAGTCATACAAGTTAGTACAGAAAACTGCATGAAACAGATCATCATAACACCACTTAGCAGGTAAAAGGAGCTTTACAGGAGAAGTAGGGCTGTTTCCAGGAGAAGAAGGTGCAGTGGGGGAAATGATGTCACAGACAGAGGCAACACAAGAGCAAAAGCCTGGGATGATCAAGACCCACCTGCACATTTGCGGGGCCTCAGGTATGCTGTGAGGCTCAGGAGTAGACCGAGAAAGTCTGCATGAACCTGTGGGCCTCCTCATGTGGCTCCAGGAGCTCTGAATTTCTGTAGAAAGGTTAACGAGAAGTGCTATTGGTTCTTTGTGGCTCAGAGGCACTACAAATTGTGACTGTCTTTGGCCTTGGCCTGGATTCCTAGAGCCAGCATATTCCTTAAGTTATTCCACCCATTTCCAGTCTCCATTTGTCTTCCCAGAGTGGGAAATGGTTTGCCCCCGCTGATGAGCTGATCAGTAGCGGAGCTGAGACCAGGGTCTGGCTTCTTGTTCAGGGATAGTTCTTTTGTGATTCTGTGCATTGCATGGACTCTGCTGGCTCTGGTGCTTCGATCTTGGCATTAGAGCATTTCTGTGTACTCTCTGATAGCACTCATCACAACCTGTGAATGCTGATTACTTCTCCTTGTGTTTTCCATGTTTTACTCATCTTCGTATACTTAGTACTCAGTGTCACATCAAGCCCAGAGGAGGTGTTTTAAAGTGTTTGATACACGAATGAACAAATGCAGCATCAAAATAGTGCTTTTGCAAAACTGAGAATAAAGCGGATTAAAAAAAACTGTCAGGAAGATGACAGTCTTATTATAACCTGCATTATTTTAACTGGAAAGAACTACCAAGATGTCAAATTATTGCACAACTGCTGCCGACACATTGATTTGACTTTTCTTCTGACTCTCAGAGCCCTCACCCATTTTGTATCAGTCCTCTTACTGTTTGTGCACTGTGCATTCCACTTCCTCCTGCTTCCGCTAATTAATGTCTCTGAGTCTGGCCACAAGCTACTCTCCCGTGGAACACTGTGGAACGCATTAATCACTCCCTGCCTCTAGCTGTGCTCCTTACCTATATGAAACCATATTGATCTATTTCTCCTTGGAACCCCAAAACACGCATTGTTTTCACCCGTAATTGTCTGTTCTGCTTCACTTACACGCGTCGTTCATTAATCAACTGGGCTGTTTACTTCGTCATAATAAATGGAGCCTGTGGTAGCTTATTGTCGCTATTGGGGGTCCATAGCAAAGAGTTAGAAGTTTGTATAGGTTAGTGACTCTCAAAAAGTGAGTCTTCAGATTATAAGGCCCTCAAGGCGGGGGCTTGCAGGGAGGCTCCTTGTATTCCTGAGCGTTTTTGTTTTTGATCATTTTGTTATTAAGAAATCTAAGATCTGGATATTGAGTTTATGAATGGTTCAAGTTCAAGGTCATTGATTAGGGCTTTTCATCTGCAAACTTTACCAGGATGTCCTGTTGGTCTCCCTCATTGCCAAAGATCTGATTCCTTAGATAATGGAAGCAGAGGGACAGGGAAAAAAAGACGGTTTCTCTTGTATTTCAGGAATGACTTCATGGTGAAGCTTATGCATTAGTTCAATGTAAAATCCTTGGAAGGCACCAGGTTCCTACCCTAGCGGTGAGAATGATAGTGCCAGGTAATCACTACTCTCCAGGAGATTTGCTTCAGGGACAGTAGGGCAGAGAAAAGGAGGCCCAATCAGTCTGAAGGATCCAGGAAAGGATGTTCTGGTGCTTGGGCTGATCCCTAAAGGGTAAATGAGCTTTGACAGGAAGGTACTAAGGTCAGGGTGACAACAAGCACCCATGATCAGAGGCATGGGTGAGGATGGCTTATGCTTGGAAAATCAAGGAGTTCTGATTTTCTGGTAATAAAGGACATAGGGTCAGAGGGGATGTCATGAGCCATACAGATGGGAAAGTCCACATCCCACACCTTGAGTCTGGATTTTATTCTGAAGGCTAAGGGTGGTCCTGAAAACACTAAAGTGTGTGTATGTGTGTGTTATGGGGGTGGGAAATAATGCATTCTGATATCTGAGCCAGAAAGTGCCATCAGGCACCTGTGGGAAGTAGATTGGAAGGCCTTCAGATGGCGGCAGAGGCCAGTTGGGTGGGGGTCCTGAGAATAAGGACCCCTCCAGCCATCTCGCAATCTATGGGACCCCTCTTCCCAGCAGAGCTTACAAACCAAAGAACCCCTGCTGACTGCCCCCAGTCCTGCTAGAGGTGCAGACGCTGGGGGAGCTGTCTGCGGCCCTAACTGTCTCTCATCAGTTGCCCAGGAGGCTCATCCAGGCACTTCAGAAGGCAACTTCCTCCTGCGCTCTCTCATCAATTGCCCAGGAGGCTCATCCAGGCACTTCAGAAGGCAACTTCCTCCTGCGCTCTCTCATCAGTTGCCCAGGAGGCTCATCCAGGCACTTCAGAAGGCAACTTCCTCCTGATCCGGCTCCTTCCTGCAAAATTCACTCAGAGTCCTCTGCAATCGGACTAGACACATTCCCTGGTGTAGACCCAAAGCTCTTATGTTCCTGGCCCCCAACTCAGTGTCCTGCGCTCTCCTTCAGCTCTTTAACCCCCAGGCTCACCTCCTGATTCTGCAGAACAGAGTCCAGAGGCTCTGTCTCTCAGTTCCTTTACTCCACTCAGATACCCTGTGATCTTGTAAACTTGTGAATGTCTTCCCAGTTTCTTTGCACTAGATTCAAAGATGAACTGGGAGAAATGAGGGGATATCCCATTACCTTCCTTCCTCCCCGCCTCCACTCCCTTCCTTTCTTTCCTTGTTTTAATTATAAAGTGATAGATAGATAGATGATAGATAGATAGATAGATGATGGATAGATAGATAGATAGATAGATAGATAGATAGATAGATAGATAGATAGATGATGGATAGATAGGAGAATGCAGTTGAAATGGGGTCTCATGCATGTACTCTCAGATAGGAATGAGAATCATGTCAAAACATTTGAAGCCGCCTGTGCCCTTCTTGGCTCAGTCCCCTTTTTCACAGTGTGGAGTTGGCCACTCTCCTCAACTGTGATTTTACCATCCCTTCCTATTTAAATAAGAATGACTTTTTCATAAAAGTATGACTCTCTAAACAACATATTACCTTTTGAAACTTATATAACCGCAATTATGTAGTATTTGTTCTTCACAATGTGTTTTCTTTCTCCACTCCACCTTTCTTTCCATGTTGATGTCAGGCACCTATAATTCATTGATCTTTCCTGCTTTACATAGTGATTGCAGCCACGGTATTTTTTTTTTCTTTACTAAACATTGTCTGTGTTCCTTCAATTGACATTTGGGTGGTTTTCAGTCTCCTGCAGCAACCGGTTCTGCTGTGGACATTCCTGAACCTGTCTCCATTCCTGCACAGGCAGTGTTGCACCACGACCTCAACAGTAGTGAGTATTCTGGGTACCAAACATACAGATATGAAAGAGTTTTTTATTACTTTCACATATAAACCTTAAGCTATATGAGATGTATTTGTGTGTAGAGTCTGAAATAGAAATCTTCTTTTATTTTTCCATACAATCATACATCTTTTCTGGCTTCATGTATTGAAATTTTTTGACCATTGATCTGTTTCTGGGTTCTTATTTTCTGTTCCACTCACCTATTTCTATCCTTGTGCACAACTGTTGTCTTTACATTGCTGTATTTTTATGCATTAGAATGAGCTCTCAGTGAATTTAACTCCTTTTCAATATTTTTAATATCTTAATAATTTTTTTCATGAATAAGATGCATTTATTTAGTATCAGACTTATTTTTAGGTATTTTACCTTCCATCTTTTGGGTAGTTTATCTATGTGGTAGAAAAGTACAGTTGACCCTTACATAATGATTTCAAATTCATCAGTCTTGCTACACGCTTATAATAATGCTAATGATTTCTATATAAAGGTATAGAAATTTGTGTTTTCTTTATAGAAAATCACAGCATCAGCAAATACTGACAATATTGTTTTTGACTTCCCAGTCTATCAATAATTTTTCTTGTCTTATATCTTGGGCTTAAATATTTAGTAAAATGTTGCATAGCAGTGTCCTGGTGAGCATCCTTGTCTTTTTCTGAGTTCAGAGGAAATTATTTAACTTTTCTCTACTTAATGAAATATTCTAATATATTAAGGCAGTTTTCTTCTCTTTCCATTTTACTAATCATTTTTATCATAAGTGGATGGTAAATGTTAAGAAAATTATCTATGTATATTAAGATCATTTTTCTTCCTAAATGTGTTAATATTGTAAGTTGTATTAATGGATTTTTAAATGTGAAACTAAATCATGAATTTCTGGAATAAACCAAAATGTTTCATTTTATATTATCTTTTCTATACATTATTAGATATGGTTTGTTAATATTTTCTAGATTTTTCCCACATATATTTAAAAATTAAATTTACTTTTAATATTTTTTCTTGTACTAACTTTGCCTAGTTTTGGTGTCAAAGTTGTACCATCTTTACAAAATTAATTGGAAAATATTCCCTCCTCTTTTACTCTCTGGGAATGTTCACCTATAATTAGAATTATTTATTCCTAGGATGTTAGAGATTGCTTATCACACTGTCTAGGCTTGTCATTTCCTTCCTGAAAATATTTTGAGCTACTAATTCATTTTCTTCAATGCTTATAAAACTGTTCTTTTTCTCCATTTCTTATTGAGTCTGCTTTGGAACATTATTATTTTAAGAAAGTTTTCTGTTTTCTCTGTTTTGTTTAAATGTATTGATGTAAGGTTGATCAAAATATTCTCATATTTTAGATCTCTACTATCTATTTAGCAATGTTTTCTTTTTTATTCCCAATATTTGGTTATACTTTCTCTCATTTTTGCCTATTAAATCTTATTTGAGGTTTATCAATTTTTATTAGGAAATTACATTGTAGCATTATTAATGTGACCATTGTATCTTGTTTTGCATTCATTTCTGGCCTTTCCTATCTTTCCTTCTATTTTTTATTTTTTTAATAATTCATTCTCTATACATTTGATGCTTAGCTTATTAATTTTCAAACTTTTTTCAAAAATATAATCATTTAAGTTTATTAACTCTTTTTTAAAATATTAAGATGAATCCTCTAAGTTTGATATGTTTGATTTTTGTCATTGTACAGTTTTTTATTTTTATTTTTATTAAAATTTATGATTTCTTTCTTTCTTTCTTTTTTTTTTTTTTTCCGAGATAGAGTCTCGCTTTGTCACCCAGGCTAGCATGCAGTGGTGCGATCTCCACTCACTGCAAGCTCCACCTCCCAGGTCATGCCATTCTCCTGCCTCAGCCTCCTGAGTAGCTGGGACTACAGGCAGCCACCACCATGCCCGGCTAATTTTTCTGTATTTTTAGTAGAGACGGGGTTTCACTGTGTTAGCCAGGGTGGTTGCAATCTCCTGACCTCATGATCTGCCCACCTCAGCCTCCCAAAGTGCTGGGATTACAGGCATAAGCCACCGCGCCTGGCCCTAAAATTTATGATTTATTTCTTAACTTAAGGGTTGGTATAATACTGGATAACTTGACTGTGTTCCCTCCCAAAACCTGATAATCATCATGGGCAATTGAGAGGCAACTGAGATTAGTAAAATTCTTCAAATCCTTTTTCTTTAAGGTATATAAACCATAACACAAGGCTTAATGACATTTCAATGCCTCACTACTGTACATATTTTACATCCTAAATAAATAAACAAAAAAGAGATATACGTAGGACAAAAGAAATATCTTTGCTAAAATACCCGATATAAAATCTTGGATGTGAAAATCACTTGTGTTTTGTTTATAGTTCTTTAAAAGACTTTTGCTCACATTCTACCTTTCAGAACTTTCACTAATTCTACGTTAAGGCATGGCACATAGCTACTTAATGATGAAGCAAAGACTAGGATTCAGATATTTTCATTTCAATTCCTACTCTTTTGCAATGGCTGATTTTCTCCTTATTCTCTACCAATTACTATATTAGGACAGTAACCACTAATAATGATATCGTCCTCATATTAATAAATTATTAACTTTTATCAGATAAGAGTCCAAGATGGATTTGTGCTACTCATTATGTTCTATATGATAACTGATATTTTAATTTGCTTTTGCAATCATATCTTGCCACTGTAACTAGTAACTTTAGACAACCCAAAACTGTGGCTTTCATCTCATTGTCCTTGATGCTGATTCCCATGGGCACACATTTCCTGCCCCATAGTATTTATCATGCCACGGCACATTTGCCATGAGTCTCTTCCTTTGAAATTATCTTTTTCCTCCATTTTTAAATCACATTACCACATTGATTATGTCAATATTTAAATTCACTTGTGTTGTTCAATATCACCAACCATATTAAAATGACAGATTAAAGAGGGATTGCCAGAATCAGCCTAATGTATAATATCAGTATATAAAACTGAAAATATTTGTAGAATAGGATTTCCTGCCCTATGTCACTTTTCTTTTACTAATCATGTCCTGTGGGGCCATGTTGCCACACCTTCTAGGAATGTGCCAATATTCTTCAACTCCTATAACCTGGAAGAAGATCCTCTTCTAGAATTTAGGTTACACACAGACATCAATCTCATATTTTTGGTTATTTTTATTTTTTTAATTTTTATTTATTTATTCTTAGAGACAGGGTCTCAGTCTGTCAATCAGGCTAGAGTACAGTGTTACCATCATAGATCACTGCAGCCTCAAACTCTTGGGCTCAAGTGGTCCTCCCATCTCAGCCTCCTGAGTAACTGGGACTATAGACACATGTTGCCATGCCCAGCTTGGGTATTTTTAGATTTTTTTTTTAAACTTTTTGGTTTCACTTCTCTCTCTCTCTCTCTTCTTTTTTTTTTTTTTTTTTTTTGAGACGGAGTCTTGCTCTGTTGCCCAGGCTGGAGTGCCGGGGCACAGTCTCGGCTCACTGCAATCTCCGCCTCCCGGGTTCATGCAATTCTCCTGCCTCAGCCTCCTGAGTAGCTGGGATTACAGGCATGTGCCACAATGCCTGGCTTATTTTTTAGTAGAGACGGGGTTTCACCTTGTTGGTCAGTCTGGTCTCAAACTCCTGACCTCGTGATCCGCCTGCCTCGGCCTTCCAAAGTACTGGGATTACAGGCGTTAGCCACTGCGCTCGGCCTCACTTCTCTCATCTTAAATGTCATGAGTGCAAAATCAGATAAACCTTTTTTGACTTTCTGCCTGTAGTATTTTTTAAATCTATTTTCCATTTATGATCTTCACATATTGATGAGAGCCTGCATAAAATTGTTACCATCCATTGTTTGAAATAATATTAGGTTGGCGCAAAAGCGACTTTTTAATGGCAAAAACCGCAATTACTTTTGCACTAACCTGTAGTGGAAGATAGCTTTTCCATACAGAAATGTGGACTGTTTTATTGTATGATTCTTTAATCTTACTAGAAGGAAACATTACCATCATAAAGGCCTCATTAGTTGCAAAATATCTGAATAAGAACACTGTTAGTATTTAGGATACCCTGACTTTGGATTCATAAAAACTCAGAGGTTATGTTTACTCAAATTTACCTTTATGCTACTAGTAGTATATGCAATAAAACTTAATGAAAGTTTAGGAAGAATTAAATACATAGTTGACCAGAAAGGGAAAAAGATCAAAGCCTGTTTCTAAATCTCTCATTGTTAAGAACTCCTCTATCTGTATTCAAGCTTTCTGAGATCCATATGGAGTATCCAGATAGAAATAATTTATTTCCACATCTCTGCTTTCTATCTTAATTTGCTTGATCATAACACCCACAT
Source organism: Homo sapiens (assembly GCF_000001405.40). Lineage (NCBI taxonomy): Eukaryota > Metazoa > Chordata > Mammalia > Primates > Hominidae > Homo > Homo sapiens. The sequence continues at coordinate 7,364,579 of NC_000002.12, read as the reverse complement.
TTACCATCAGCCATTTATTATCACAAAGTTATAACCATCCGGAGACTCTCCCAAACACAGAGGCCAAATCTTTCAAGGACAAATCAGATCCTGAGATGACCAGGCCCTCCATTTTCTGTTTCAGTGAGCCTGACGTGCACGTCACTCACAGGAGATAATCTCAGGCTTGCTATTTGAAGGCTGCATGACTTTAGCCAAGTTTCTCAAATTATGTATGTCAGTTTCCTCAAGTCTGAAATGGGCATAATGCTGGTATCACTCGCCTACTGCTATTGTAAAGATTAAATAACAAAATTCATTGAAAGGATGAAATAGAGTGTATTAGCCTGTTTTCACACTGCTATGAAGATATTACCCAAGACTGGGTAATTTATAAACAAAGGAGGTTTAATTGACTCACAGTTCTGCATGGCTGGGGTGCGGCTCATGATATTCACAATCATGGTAGAAGGGGAAGCAGGCATCTTCTTCACAAGGTGGCAGTAGAGACAGCATGTGAAGGAGGAACTGTCAAACACTTAGAAAGCCATCAGGTATCATAAGAACTCACTCACTATCATAAGAACAACAGGGGGAAACTGTCCCTATGAACCAATCACCTCCCTTCCTTGACATGCGGGGATTACAGGTCCCTTCCTGGATGCTTGGGGATTACAATTCGAGATGAGATTTGGGTGGGGACACAGAGCCAAACCATACCATAAAGAGTGCATGGTAAATAACAATGTTTAACCAACATCCATTGAATAAGTGAAGTATGAATAAAAGAATGACATACTTTTATACATAACCTTTTTTTCTTCTGACAATGTTCTCATGTTCCTAGGAGGCTGTGTAGTCCTACTCCATGGCATATTAGGCTACTGATATACAAAGCAATAGCAGCAAGAATTTATAGAATGCCTCATTGGTTAGAAATTCTTGTTTAATCCTCATTCTTCATAAACAGATAGAGGTTAAGAGGAATTTCATTTCATCCTTTATGAACTTGTCACGATACTTTATCGAGAAGTCTGTGACTGGAAAATGGAAACTCAGGGTATTCCCAATATATGTGTGTGCGTGTGTGTGTGTGTGTGTGTATTTTTAAATTGTATGTAAGGCTGAGAGAGCTTTTTTAAATAATTCTTTTCATAACTAAACTTCTTGCACTATAGATTCTATTCTTTATATTTGGGTAATTTAAAATCCAATTATCACTCGTATACATCAAAATAACACATTTATTTATCACAGATCTGCCATTTAACACCTCCATGTTATGCTTGTGTCTTCCCATGAACACTTTCCAAAACACAGTTGACAGCCCTGGGTTTTTTTTCTGTTTTATTGTGGATATGGTATTCACATTGAGAAATAAGTGTGTTCAATGGAGTGTCAGTTTTCTGTACCGTGTAGCTTCATCTACATGGCTGAGAATATAAAAGGTCCTTCATAATATCTTCACTGCTGTTATTATTCTCCTACCAGTCATTTACACTATTCATTACCAAATGATGGAACAGTTAGTTATGATAAATTGACTGATGGTGTTTAACTGTTCTTTGTTCATTAATACCAAAGAAAATTTAAAAAGTATAAAACAGGAAAGGGGGGTGGGGAAGGAAGAGATCTTTCTCCAGGACCATCGCCACAAGCCAATGAAGTACTTTTCCACAAAACCAGAAGACTTCATGCAATGAGATCCTCCTACTGAAGCCCATTGAGCTGAGTAAGCAGTAGAGAGGCAGCAGCCTCTGCCTTCAAAGGGCTTACAAACATGTTGACTCACTTTTACCATTTGAATGTGTTGTTTTTATAACATCAATTTCTACCAGAAATGGTGTAGACTCTTATAACAAAAGACAGTAACTCTGAAACATTTTTTTCTGTGTTGGTTGGAGACCATTCCATCATTTGGAGTTAGTGAATTTCAGATCAAATCTAGGTTCTTAGGAAGTCTGGGGTTGAGTATTCAAGCTCAGACATGTTCTTATGTCATTTGAGGATTCAGGAAACCATAGGCCATAACCAGAGAGGCAGGCTTGGTTTGGATCCACTACTGGCACTGCTTTGCAAAAATTAGTACTTTACTCATAATAGTAAAAATAATCTTCTCTTGTTTAGCTCTTAAATCCCCAATATACTTTCACAACTAGTTTCCTCTTTGTTTTTTTCTAAAGATGAAGGCTTGCAGTGTGATCAGATTCCAAGCAAGATATATGACTCTGAGAATTCAGTAACGTTCACCTTTAAAATATGGGTGTCCTCATAGCCAAAACAGCTAACTGATGGTAAAGATGAGACTTGTAAAAAGATCTAAGTCAAAATTACTGTAAATAAATACATCTCATACTCCCAAAGAGCTGTCATGTCTAAATGGAGAATGAAATATATAGTAAAAAGAGAGGACTGTTGTAAAGAAAGATGAGCTCTAAGGTATGCTGTTAATTTTCTTTCCCAAATGACCTCTACCTTTGCATGCATCCTTAAAGAAAATCATTGCCTAGACCCAGTCCTAAGACCTTCTTTTGAATAACTCTGCTTCTCATGGGACTAACTGCTAATATCTAGAGGTAAGTGGTGGGATTTCACAGATGTATCTCAGATTCTGCACCTTTTGAGATCATTCTGACACTGAGGCCTCCAGGTTCAACCTGGATCCAAAAGTAAGCCTAGAGTTTACCCTTGGCTCTGTGGTTTCACAGCTCTTTCATTTGAAGCAAGTTGTGGAAGTTCTTTGACCCTCTGGTTTTTTTATCTGCCAAATGGAGATAGAGGTGTGTCCCATGCCTACGGCATAACTTTGAGATCACTATTTACCACATTCAGGGACCCTTTTGTCTTTACTCCTGTGGATTCTAAAAGAATGAGGTTGCCAGAAGCCTGACATATATAAGCAGGAGGTAAGTGTATGTGTGAGATGCAATGTTTATTTATGCACTCTATATACATATGTATATACAGACATAAACATATTCTTCAACATTAACTTTTCAAAATATTCTCTAAAATTCCTTCCCTTTCTGCTGTTTCATCTTTTAGTTCTGTCAGGAGCTTGGTCCCTTTACAATTTATAAATCATCCACATTAATCTGTCTTCCACCTCCTTTCCTCAGTTCGTTTCCTCAGCCACAATAAGCTCTGAATGTATGCCTATACACATGGCATCCCGAATTATAACCTCCCAAGTCTCCGGATTGTTTTCAAAGGGCTAAAAATTGCCATACTCATAAAAACAAAACAAAACAAAAATGGCAACCTTGTTTGCCTTGCCAGTCTGTCAGAGCTTGAAAAACAAACTTCATCCCAGAAAGACAAACACACACACAGCAAACAAGAAGAAGGAGCTGTCGACAGAGCCGAGAGAATCTCCAGGCCAGGGAACAATAGTAGAGAACACAGCCAGATGGCAAAGGAAAGACAATGTGTTGCAAACACAGAGGAAAAGAAGAAAAAGAGCCTAACCCCAGCAGTGGAAATGAAAGGAGATGGAAGGAGAACTTTCCCTTTGCGCAAACTTTCCTTCAAATGCCCAGACATCCCAAGGCCAACAAAGCTCACATATTTGAAGCTATGTCTGACTTCAGCCCACTCATCCCTTCATCATGCATCATGCCAGTGGAAAAGCATTAGTGACCCAGGGTTAAATGGAAGCCTATTTACCCAGCCTAACTCTCTCTGGTATGTGATGTCAGGTATATAAATGTACACATCCAAGAAGATTGAAGTCCCAATTTTGCAAATCATTGTTGGAATGAAACAAAGCCAATCAACTGCATATTTCCTGGAAGGTTTTATTTTACAACCTCTGATGAGATACAAAATAAAAAGGCGACTTTGGCGGGTATCTATAATAACAGTTTATATTAATATTCAACAGAAACCCTTTCTTCCAAGGAATCTAAAGTACTTGTGATGAGATTGGATTCTGCCCCAGCTCTAGCTGCAGCAGGAATAAATGGCAGTGCTTGGCAGCCATAGCACAAACCTCAGCTATGTCTCTGGAGGATGTGAACACTAAATTGCACAAATTACAAATTAGTCTTTGTTCACATACACTCTGGTGTAAGTTTAGTAGCTGCTGGCCCCAGAGCCATCAGGGTAGATCCCACTAGTTGACGGGTTAACAGTCGGTCATCATTCAAATAAGTTCTCATGTGGCCACTGAACTTAGCAGTGCTATAAGACACCCCTTATTGAAGATTCTCTCCATAACATGTGTGCACTTGCCTCTTACCCTATGGTCATGCAGTTCTCCATGCAGTTATCTGAAATTAATAGGATTGGGTCCATTGTTTACACAGAGAAATAAAGACTCAGGGAGGTCAGATCCCTTGTCCTGTGACATAGCCAGTAGGCGGTAGAGTCAGCATTTGTGCCCAGTTCTTTCTAGGGCCAAGTCCATGTTTCATTTCTCCACTGCTCTGAACCATGATTTGCTTTAAAGTGTGCTCTCTTTTTAACTTCACTGTGCCAAGGGAATGGGACCCAGAATTGTTAAAGCTCCTAGTTTCCTAAAGGTGTATACTTGAGAGCATTCTAGTCCCCAAACTGCTCACAACCCCCACATCTGTACTCCATGAATGCTGTGGATCCCATGAGTGCTACTATGCCTTACTGGGTGGAGCCTATTGCATGACCTGTATCTTCGGATTCTGTGCATTGGCTTTGAAGACTACCTGGAGAATGCAGTGTCTACAGAGATTGTCCAGATGCAAAACAAACAAACAAACAAAAACCACAATCATGAGTCTCTTCTTAATTCCCAAATTCAGCAAATATTTACTGAGAGCTGATTACATGCTAGGCCATGGAGGATACCAAGTTAACAAAGTCCCTCACTTTTCTCAGGTATATAACAAAGGGATGCCAGAAACCAGTCATCATGAATAATATTTGAATGCAATACAATTAATCCGAATTAACCCAAAAATCAACATGAAGAAGCATCAAAATCTCAGGCTCCAATTTGACTCACCACAGCTCTGTGCTAGCAATAGGAATGCAGAGTCCAACCTCGCCCTAAAGTAAAAGGTTTTTAGTCATCTGATAGTGGTATAAGACACAAATAACATCATATTCCTCTCTTTTAAAGTGGGAAATACAGTCTCTACTTCAAAAGAAAAGTACTAGAAAGTTTTTGGACTGGATTGAGTTTAATAGATGAACTAAATTTAATTTTCCTGCTGTTGAGCTAGAAGGAAGCTTGGAATGAGTGCAGTTTTAAAAAATATAGAGGGAGTCTCATGTTTTCACAAAAGCCGGTGGCGACTATTAATCATAGCAGCTACACATAGCATGGCAGATTAGAGCCGCTGTAAACTTACTGCCTCTTTTCTCAAATGAGCCCTTACTGTGGTTGAAGTATCCTACTGCACATCCAAAGTCAGCTGACTCCTGCAGCCTGGGTGACAGGGGTCACTGGTTCACTCAAATAAAAAGCACGTATCATCACTTACTTAGACCCAGGCTCTCTCCTAGTCACGGCAACACAACCAGCACAGAAAACAAGGGCAGGGCTGTGGTCGCCAGTGGGGGCAGCACCAGGGGAAGAAGAGCCACAAGGGCAGATGTGGAAATGAGAACAAAGACCAGGACCTCTTTCCTTATCGCTCACGCCAGCCTTGATGAGAAGGAAAGTAAACTTGCTCAAGCCTATTCTGGAAGGACAGTGATTTTCACTCAGCAAAGACCAGACATGTCAAAATGAACCCATGGCATCCACAAATGCCATTACTCCGCCACCAAAAAAAAAAAAAAAAAAAAAAAAAACAACAACAACAAAACATGTGAAAGAGGGATGTCATCCCTACTCAGTCTTATAGGTGAGAAAAACACTATCTGAGGCTAATCCAAATATCCCAGTCTTTGTGAGCAAACTTTAATTATTGCCTCTGCCCTGCCTCTGAGCCCAAGGCTCTCAGTCCACAGGCAGATGGAAGGCAGAAAAGAGGCACATCTCTCTCAACTACCTGCCCACTGTTGCAGGCTCAGAAACATCAAGATTCTCCATATTTCCCAGGAAATGCCAATTTGTGATTGGTTCCATACAGAAAAAGGAAGATTACCTTTTTTCTGAAAGTACGTTTTTATTTTGTTTAACTTATATATTAATAACTGCAATTCTCAAAGTGTTAAATGCAGAGATACTATATGACACAGCAAATCAACACCTAGGTATATGTCTAGAAATCATAAAAACATATGTTCATGAAAACTTTTATGTAAGTGTTCGTCAATGAATGACTAAATAAAATGTGGCATATCCATACAATAGAACACTATTTAGTAATAAAAAATGATTTCTACATGATACAATATGGGTGAACCTTGACAATGTTTTGTTAAGTGAAAGAAGCCAGACATAAAATGTTACTTATTATATAAGTATATTTAGATAACACTTCCAGAATAAGCCCCTAGTGGTTGGGGGTGGTGGCAAGTGACTGAGGATGGGTACCGGATTTTTTTTGGTTGATGAAAATGTTCTGGAATTATATTGTGGTGATGATTGTACAACCTTAGGAATAAATTATAAAATAAAACTGTAGACTGCAAATGAGTGAATTGTATGGTATGCCAGTGATATCTCAGTAGAGACAGTAAAAACAAACGAACAAACAAAACCCGCAAAATTGGACTAGGCCAAACCTGGCCATCAAACTCTAGAAATCTGGCCAAAAGTAGAGGCAGCTTCCAGGGGAGCAGAGGGGAAACGTTGAGGCAAAAGAGGAGAGAGTAAAGGTTCAAGCCCTGGAGGATTTGATACAAATGACTTCCTATCCTATTCAAGGAGAGGAAAAGGCAAAGAATGCCCTCAAGATAGGAAGGAATGGCTGAGGGCTAAGGCTATGTGAAGGCCCTGGACAGTCCCCTGCTCCTCCACTGAGCAGAGAGGCCAGGCCCAGGGCGGTGAGATCAGAGACTAGTGTGCACCCCGGGATGCTTTCAGATGATCACAGGCCACGGGGAGGAGGCAGCCCTTGAGCCTGGTGGTCTCAGTTACCTGAAGCACTAGGAAGGCGATGACTCCAGGAGGTGCAGGGGGAGCCCTAGTTCTGGGCATCTGCAGCTGAGAGTGTGCAAAGTGGCCCCAGGCTGTGTTTTTGAGCCATTCTGCTCCATGGTTTACCGGAGAACAGGAGTGTGAGAATCTAGGAACGTGCTGGACCCCAGCCTGGACCCATCATTACGGTCTGTGACTGTGTCTGTGGCCCCGTTATGTTCCTTGTTGGTGTCACCTGGGGGAACACCTGCTTCCCATGGACTCCAGCCAGCCTGCCCTGAGTACAAGTCACAAGGTCAGTGCTCAGTTAATCATCGGCTACCCTGGAAGCTTGGAGCAGGAAAACAAAGTCCCTGAACAGAGTTGGTCCTGTCAGCTTGGCCTCTTTGAGAGTCACAAACAGAACTCCTTTCTTCTCTGCTCCCAGGGCCACCTGCTGAACACACACAGGGAGGCCACCTGGCAGGGAGTTCAGTCCACCTGGCGGCGGACAAGGTCAGTGAGGAAAAGTCAGCACAGCCTGCCTGGAACCTGAGCCTGCTGCCTGCGCTCCAGCCACCCTGAGTCAAAGACTGAGATGTGAGCATGTTGCCCAACATTCTCCAGACCACACAGAGGACACACTGTCCCTCAGCGGAGGGAGTCCCCTCACATTCTACAGGAGGCCTCCTGCAGACTCGGGCAGGTGGAGGTAGGGCCAACAGACCCGAGGCAGTGAATCCTCACCTCAGCACGGAGAGCCACCTCCATGCACACAAGCCAGATGCACAGCTTTAAAGAGGCCACCTGGGGCAGGCACACTTGAGTCAAGAAGTTAAGGGGTATTGCCAATTTCTTCTATTTCCATTTCTCTCAGCACTTGAAGTTTTCTAAGGTGCTTTCATCCTGTGTTCTTGACCTGCCTCCGTCACTCTTAGGTAAGCCCTGTGTTCAGGCCGTCTGGAACCTTCCTGCTCTCCTTGGCCCCTGCCTCTGTGCATGGGGCTTCCTGCACGAGCACAGGAGCCCACGGACCTTCTTGCCACGTGTGGGCCCCGGCCATTCTTAGGAACTGCATTCAACTCCTGGAGTCCCAATTAGGATACATATAGAAAAATTAGAGCCAATCCGATAAAAGCAATAGAAACTATTAGAGTAATTAGTGTTTCATTTTGAGGGTGTAGTAGAGACAGGTTTCCTACAAATTAAATTAGCTTCATCTGTAATATTAAAATATCATGGGGTGTCTGAATCTCTTTCTATAGACCCAGCATGGGTGAAGTACCTGTTTAACTCCAGAACTCAGCATTTTAATTCCTAGAACTGAAGGAAGGGCGGACAGAAACACACCTGATTTAATTAAAAATGTATAGCTCTTGGCATTGCTCACAGGCTGTGTCTAAGTTCTCAGAACTCATGATTTCTGCAGCATCCAGGGGTCGGGAGCAGCAGGCAGGCCCCAAAGGCCGCCGCATGCTCCCCCAGCAATCTGCGACACAGCTTCCTGATAATCCATCCACGGTGACTGCTGAAATGACATTTGCAACCTCATCTGCAGAACCTGCTCGAAGCCAGCTTTGCTCTGCTGATTTAGAGCCACTCTGCAGGCCTGGGCTCCATTCCACAGTACGTGTGCAGGGATCCCTGCGGGGCCCACCTGCCCCACACAGAGCCCGCCCTCTCTGGACCTCCCTACATCTTCAGGCTCAGGCACAAGGCACCCCTGCCCCTCGGACCACAAGAGTCTAGGGTTTGCTGCTTTGGTCTCTGTCCAGAAAAACAGAAGAAACAGAGCTTTTGTTTTCTGTTTCAGCATGGAAAAGAAAGTCTGTTGGAAAGTCACTCTGTTGTCTTTTTACTTCCCTATAATCCTCCCTCATAACCCCACTTTTAGGCGTCACCCATGAAGGAGAGTGGGATGGGGGAGCCCTCACACTTGGCACATTCTTGCCTAAAGTTTTCTATTGTGAATCATTTCCATTTTACTAAAGGCCTTACATTTGAAACAGAAAAACTAGGATAAAATGCTTCCCCTCCACTTTCCTTTACTGTAAGTTCCATCCTTGAAACAACCAACAGAAATTAGACTCTGCTGCCTAATTATTGCCTGCAGAGAAAAGTGGGAAATATATAACAGAAGAAAAATAAACAAGGAAAAACATCAATAAATATTTCAAAATCATAGCCTGGTTAGTATTTTATAATATAGGGCTGTTCACGAAACACTGATATGTTTATTCTCATTTAATTTTTTCAATGACTCTTGTGGAGTGAACGCTATAATATCGTTTACAAATAAGGATGCAGAGTGCTTAACAATTATTCATCCCCTCCACTGATAGTGGATGCCAGATACACTTCAAAAGGATCCGTGAGTTGTGAATTTGTAGCTAAACTGGAATGTAAGAAGCTTGAGGACAGGGGCTGTGACTCACATTTTTATTTTTCACATTATCTAGATGTTATGGGCTGAGTCATGCACCATAGCATCTTGAGCATGGTGGTCTCGGTTACCTGAAGCACCAGGGAGTAGGTGACTCCAGGAGTTGCAGCAGGAGCCTCAGGTTCCCAATGTACTAGGAGTTAGAACTTCAAAAACAATATGTTGAAGTTCTAACTCCTAGTACCTTAGAAATGTGACTGTATTTGAGAAAAGACCTTTAAAGAGGTAATTGAGGTAAAAATGAGGTCATATGGGTGTGACCCTATTGTTCTTTTTTTTTTCTTTTCTCTTGAGACAGAGTTCGGAGTTTCACTCTTGTCACCCAGGCTGGAGTGTAATGGCGTGATCTCGGTTCACTGCAACCTCCACCTCTCAGGTTCAAGCGATTCTCCTGCCTCACCCTCCCAAGTAGCTGGAATTACAGGCATGTGCCACCATGCCCAACTAATTTTGTATATATATATTTTTTTTTAGTAGAAGCGAGGTTTCTCCATGTTGGTCAGGCTGGTCTCAAACTCCCAGCATCAGGTGATCCACCCCCGCCTTGGCCTCCCAAAGTACTGGGATTACAGGCATGAGCCACCATGCCCGGCCTGGTGTTCTTATAAAAAGAGTATACTAGGGCACAGACACACATGAAGGGATGACCATGTGAGGACAAACCAAGAAGATGGGCATTATACAAGCCAAGGAGTGAAGCTTCAGGAGAAGCCAAACCAGCCAATGCCCTGATCTTGGACTTCCAGCCTCCAGAACTGTGAGAAAATAAATTTCTGTTTTTTAATACCCCTGGTCTGTGGTATTTTGTTATGGTAGCCTACCAAACTAATATACTGGCTCAGTGTCATGGTTAATAGATCTCTTTTATATTAAATTATGGAATTTTAGAGAAGTAGGCAGTGCTTTAATTCCTTTGAAATGTGCCGTTCAAATTTCTTCATTCTATAAGTATCTAACACTTCTGACTCTTCTGCTGGGCTCTGTGATGACAGAGATGGAATTCGTCCTTTGCCGCCCTTAAGAAGGACAGCAGTCTAGAACAGAAGCTGTGACTAGGTCCTCACATGCCAGTGTGGCTAGAGTGAGGGTTAGGGTTAGGGCAGAGCAATGAGGCTATTATGTGGTCAGCCGAAGGAAGAACGGCCAGTTGGTCTGGACATGGTGAAAAGATTCACAGAACATGGCTGTGTGTTGCTTCCTAAAAAAATGAGGAGGCATTGTCAGTGTTAAAGGAATTTCATGTGGAAACCCTGAAAAGAGTTCTACTGGCTACCACAAATAAATAGATAAATAAATTCCTTAGCAAGGCTTAAAAGACCCTCAATGGTTGAGCCTCTGCCTTCTAAGCCACCCATTTCTTGCTACTGATCCTCACACTTGGTATCCCACCACACGGCCCCCTTGGACTGCTTGCAATTTGTCAGACACGCTAAGATTTCCCATGCCTTGGCCTTTTCTCGGGATACTTCTTCTGCAGATAAAGTCATCCCTCTAATGAGTAGCTCCTCATTTCTCTGAGTCTTTACTTAAAGTTACCTCTTCTATGGCATCTTCCCAGACATCCCCAAATGGAATGAACCACTCCCTCGTTGGCCCACATTCTAGTTTGTGCAGACAATTATTGTCAGCCCATGTGACACATTGTTTTCTGTGATTTATTTGCGTATATGACTCACTTTATTCGATTATAAGTATTTTAATAATGGCAACCATGACTTACTTAGGTTGGTATCACCAGTATTCTTAGTAGATGCTCAACACATGTGTTGGCTAAATGGATATGCAAAGACACTAGCGTTGCAAAGAACACTGTGCGTAAAAAGGCAGGCACTTGTTCCGTGGTAGGCATGTAGAGTGTTCGCAGTCAAGGCTTGAAAACCAGATTGGCCTTTTATGTAGAGTTGCTAAACTTAGCAACTAAAAATAAAGATGCTGAGGTGGGTGGATCACCTGAGGTCAGGAGTTTGAGACCAGCCTGGCCAACATGGTGAAACCCCATCTCTAATAAAAATACAAAAATTAGCCAGGTGTGGTGGCAGTCACCTGTAATCCCAGCTACTCAGGAGGCTGAGGCAGGAGAATCACTTGAACCCAGGAGGCGGAAGTTGCAGACCGCACCATTGCACTCCAGACTGGGTGACAGAGTGAGACTCCATCTCAAAAAAAAAAGCCCAGTTAAAGTTGAGTTTCAGAGAAGCTGCAATATATGATGTATATATGATGCCCCATGCAATATTTGGGGCATATTAATATTCTTAAATGTTTATTTTTTTGTCTGAAATTGACATTTAACTGAGAAGCTGGAGTGGCTAAGTGTGTGTAATAGAGATGGGCACCTTATCATCAGTAGATCCGTAGTTTGGGTCATTCCTTTCTCTTTCGCAAATGGTAGGTTAGGAAAGACATGGCTGCCTCCCCTTTCTATGTTCTTAATTCGGTAGTCCACACTAGAGTCAAGTGAAGTAGAATTAATCTTGGAGACTAAGTAAGATTTTGCACAATGGAATCATAAATGCTGTACATGGAGAAAAGAGAGAAAAGAGTGGAGAAGACTTAAATTAAAAAAAAAGAAAAAAAAACCCAGCCAATATGGTCTTGGCCTTCATGAGAGATTCACACAGCTTTTGGGATATATTTCCAAAGCTGAAACTTGAAGGGAAATCACATGGATATTATGCCACCCTTCCCAGAATTTTAAGCAGAGGCCAAATGAATGTTTCCCCAGAATCCCCGATCAATTGCAACTACTGACATTCACGTCGGTCTCGTGGCACCTGCTTCCACCAAATGCTAGTGTTTAACATTTCTCACAGTGTTTCTAAACTCGAATTTGCTCACTGCTACCAGCTAGGAACAGATGCACCAGAGAGAACCTATTTGAAAGTGGGTGGCTTATTATGAACAACTTAGGGTCTATAAAAAAATCTCAACAAGAGCTGGAAGAAAAAAAATAAAAACTGCCAGAAGCTCTAAAAAATCTCTTCATAAGAAAACAGAATAGTTATCTGGAAATTCTGCAAATATGTAAAGGAACCTTGTTTTAGCAATGTTTTGCACTTTGATATAAATTCCTAAAAGTTACCTCTAACTTGAACACAGAATTGAGTTACTGCCCTGCCAGAAGGATTTCTTCTTCAGGCCACAGAAATGATCTTGTCCAAAACCCGTGAACAGAGTTGCCATATTGGGTGAACATAGACATCCTTTGCTTGCTTCCAATTTCCTAATGGCATGGCAGTATTACAGCCACTGCTACTGATTTTGTAAAATTGTTTCCCACAGTGATTCTGTATGATGAAGCTTCCAGTCTGTGTTGTCCAATGGGGCAGCCCCTAGACACAAGGGACTACTGAGCACTGAAATGTGGCTAGTTTGAATTGAGAAGTGCTGTCCATGTAAAATCCAAACCAGGATTTGAAGACATAATTGTAAAGAAACATATAAAACATCACTAATAATTTTTATATTGGCAACATGTTTAAATTTCAGATGTTTGCTTAAATAAAATACATGATTACAGTTAATTTTACATTTTTTAAGTGACTCCAATAGACTTAAAATCATACTTTTGGCTCGCCCTGTGTGATTCCCATTAAACTCCATGGCATATTTTAATCAAAGACCAGTAATCATTTAACTCTTGGAAAAAAATGCTGTGATATTCTAAATCTTCCACCTTTGATATGACTCCAGGTGTCGAAATACCTCAATGTCACAGTGATGAGAGCAGATGTGAGAAGGATTTTTGTGAGACTCTGATCAGCAAATTTATCAGACAACAAGTAAAGAAGGAATTGAGTAGACTGTTTAAATCATGCAATCATGCACTAGGCCTGGCCTTGTACTTTGATTTGTTTTATCCCAGCACAAGCTCCTTAAACATTCTCATAAACTTTATTGAACAACTGGTGGTTTTTTATGCCATGATTTTCACGTCAGTGAGGCTAGAAGACAAGGTTTCAACCTGTAATATAGCAAATTGTTAACAGTCTCTGGTCAATTTTCTGAGCCTTCTCAGAGTTCCCAGAACTGGGCACTAGTTACAGGGGAAATGGGGTCAGACTGGTGACTGACAAGGGCTTGGTGAGGAAACTGGCAGGTGTAATACAAGGTGCCAGAGGAGCAGAGAAGGAGGAGTTCCTAGCCCAGCTTGAGTGATGGTAGAGAGGACACCCGAGGACTTGAGGACTGATGTCACCTACAAGGATCTTACAGTCTCCATTGGTAAATAATTGGTAGATGTCATGTTCTATGGGTATGTTATCAGTAGCAAGCTAGATGGTATCCGGAAGCCAAAGGCATGGTGCCTCACTGGGTCTATAGCAACAAGCAGCTCAGGGTGTGGAGCACTGGAGAGGAAAGGACTCTTAAGAATCATATCATGCAATATGAAAATGCCAGTCGTTTGCCAAGCTATGCTGAAGGTGATCCTTGCCCACCTCATCATCCCCATCATTATCCTCAAACTTCAATAAAAATATGCCTTGGGTGGAGACTTTTTGGCAGCATTTTGTAGGGATTACAAAAAAAGGTCAACAGGACATTATGGTTCATCTTTGCCACATTTAGGAAGACAGCAGAGAACAGCTGAAAACCAAGACACAGGGTTGTCAATAATTAGGTGAAAGTAGCAAATCAGAAATGGAAGTACTAGGAGAAACATAAACTTTATGAGAATACAGGATGACATGGAGCTGGAGATTTGAGATAAGCCTCCTACCATTTATGAAAATAATGTCAATTTCACATGAAGCTTTAAAACAAAACTTGAGACAAAATAGAAACGTTGGGTGCAATGAAATCGCCACCTCAAGCTATGCCGGGGCCGCCCTGGGTGAGCTCTGTCTGTAGATAACTGATGTGCTCTGTGATTAAGAGCTGGGAAACACCGGATGGTGGTCTTCAGGTCTCTCTTTGTGCTGCAGTTCTGTTGGTGTTTCCAGGCAGGGCCTCTCCCCTTCTTGGGGCAAAAGGAACAAATGCCCTTGTCCCTCATCTCCCTCAGAGATCCAAACAAAATCAGGACAGGGGCTTAGGCCAAGGGAATCAGCACTTGGTGACTGAGGCAGAGGAGTGATGGAGACCTGAACCTTGCAGGGTAACCAGGAAATACCCAGAGAGATGAGGAGAATCAGGGCACGCGATGGCTCAGGATGAAGTTCTGCATCAGAAGATATACCTCAAGCTGTGCTGCTGGGTGGGCCCCTCCTATGAGCTTCCCCCAGAGGTATTCCAGAGCACAGAGACAAGAGCTGTGCTCCGTGAGGACATGAGGGTGACCCAGGCATGCATTCACCTTCCTGGAAAATTGATGGAAAAGAAAGGAAGTAGCAGATTGTGGCTCAGTCAGAAATGAGGTGAAAAGAAGAGGGACCCGGGCATTTGTCCCCTTTGGAACCCCGAGGACCCCGCATCCACTAAGCCATGTAGGGCTGGGTGTGTCTAAGAGCAGAGATGAGAAGAGTCCCACTCAGTAGCCAAGTCACATCTGTGCCACCAAATTAACAAAATATTCCCACTTAATATACAGACCGCCCCCTCCAGGCTTATCTAACAAGTCTGGATTCATGAAGTAGAACAGCAGACCCCATATTGTATTTATCCAGATATAACACAAAGGTGCATGATTCAAAGAGGCTTTGCTTTGAATTTTTGCAGTGCTCAGCTGACTGCAATTTACTCTGTAGACCACGGGGGATTCGGAGAACTCTAGTGACCATAAGTGGCTCCCTTGAGGCTGGAGCATCAGATTAGGTCAATGAAGTGGCCAGAGGAGAGGCCAGTGTGGGAATGTCAGCAGAGGCAATGATCAATGGAATTTCTGGCCGTTCCAGGGAGTTTGTACTGGGTCCTAAGGGCAGTGGGAAGCACCCCAGTGTTCTAATGGGAGAGGCGCAGGGATGGCCTCTGAAAAGAAAAGCGTGGCTGCATTTCACGGAGCTACTACTACATTCCAGGCAATTATTTCATAAAGAATATAGTGATGAGTGAACCTCAGAATCTGTCCTCTCTTGAGAGGAAAGGATAGCATGGAGCAAAAGATAAAATAAATGCAAAATAAAATTTATTAAATGCACAGGCAAAAAGTGTTCTGGGAATTCAATAGAGAAGAAATGATTTTTTAAAATGGGTAAAGAGACTAAGAAAGTGAAACAGAGAAATTTCAGACACACGTGCCTTATCTGAAAGGTGGATGGGCAAAAAGACAGAACTGGGAAGAAGCTATCCCCATTTCCGGGCTGGGGTAGCCACAACTCTAAAATAAAGCTTCAGAAATGAGTATGGTGCTGCTAATATGCTTTGAACCATAGCCTTTGAAAGTAGAATCTCTCCTTTAAAAAATTTTAATATAGTCCTCAGTTTGACCATCTTTTATACACAAGTGTCTAAGAAGAGAAAATGTGTTTGATTGAAAGTTCTGTGCTTGGTGCACACATCCCTAATATACACATCACACACAGCCATGGGCAACTGTGGGAACGCAGACCGAAACCCCCTGCTCTTGCTCCCCAGCTTCAGCATCAGCAGGAACAGCAAACCTCGCCCTCACCCTGCAACCAGTGCTGCCGTATTGCCACGGAAACCTGCGTGACATCCAAAGTCATAAAGCCAAACACAACCGTGGAGAAGTCAAACTACATCAGGAAGCAGGCTGAGTTAACCATGGAAAAGGGCACTAAGGTTAACCCAAGTGCTACTGAGGTTGCAATTTAACCCCAGGCTGGAGGAAGCAGGGTCCCAGAAAGAAGAGAAAGGTTAATGGATCCAAGTATAAATGTTACCCTTCCTCTTAACCAGCTGCCTAATTCTGCAAGTCCTGATAGGCACTGGGATGAAAATGTGGGCTCCTTGGACACGTCCTAGACATGAGGTCAGGAGACCTGGATGTGCACCCACTCTGCTACCTCCCAGGGCCACAGGCTTTCGCAGGAGGTTCATTTCTAGAAACCTCATTTTCATCTGGTAAGTGGAAGGAAGAGACCAGAGGTTACTAAATATAGTTCAAGTCCAAAAGTTGCCATATTTCCTCATTTTTGCCTCACATGTCCCGAGAGGCAGGTGCTATTCTCCCCATTTTACAGAGGAAGAAACTAAAGCTCAGAGAGCTTAAGTAACTTGCCCAAATCACGTAGGAGGTTAAATAATAATGTAGGGTGTTATCCAGGTCAGGCTGACCCCAAGGCCCTCCCTCAGCAGACAATGGTTTCCTTGGTGGCAAATGGGCTTAGCCATCCCTCTTGCCTCCTGCACAGATGTTTCTGGAGCAGAAAGAAATGAATGGATGGGATGAAGTTCTGTGAAGTACATCATGCTCTGTCCACTTCCTAGAAGAAGAGCTCTAGGAGAGTGGGGACAGGCCTGGGGTAAATAGCCCTGGGAAGTCACGGTCCATGCCACCCTGGCCCTGCCTTACATATGGGTAAGGAGGAGAAGAGAGTGAAAGGAGGTCTCGCTGAGTCTCAGCCGGATAGACTCTAGGCCCTCAACAGCTCTCCGACAGAGAGCTGGCTCTCCCACTGCAGTCAGCTTGGCTTCCAACACACTTGTCCAAGGGTAGAGAGGAGAGTTGCCAGGCCTGGGGGAGCTTCACCTCTGAAGTCTGCCCTGAGGGTCTGCTGCTGAGAGTGACTGCAGGTAGCAGCTAGGGCACTGAGTCAGCGGATGCCCTCAGGACAGCAGGTCACCTTGAATAGGCTGATCTCGCCTGCCAGGCTGCCCAGTTCCCACAGACTGGCTGAAATCTGAGCAAGCAAGGTCCAGTGGAGGCCAAATGGGAAGGGCCTCCACAGGTGGTGTTTGCTTCTGGGGAAAGTAATCTGGGGAGAAGGAACCAGTGTGCTTCAATATAAATGCACAGGCTTAGAGAGACAGGGCTTGGACCGGAACCTGCATCTGAACCCTTTAACTTAGGGAGTTGAGGCAAGTTATGATTCCCTGAGCTCACCTCCTACATCTGTGAAATGGAGATAACCCCTAGCCTGAAATATTGTTGTGATAATGGGATAAAATAGTGTGTAAAGTCCCCATCACATAAAATTTAGGATATCCTAACTGCCGTAACCGGGAAGCTGAAGACAATGATGACCACAATGATGACGACAGCCTCCCTCCATTATCGGAACCACAGGGTGCCCATCCATCTCCAGCAGACTCTGCAATTTACAGGGCTCCGCCACTGCCTTCATTTCCCTCATTTAATCTGAGCTTCACAACAAGCCCACTAGGCAGGCAATGTAAGGATTCTCCCTTTTAATGGATGAGGAAACTGTGGCTCAACAGGCTAAATGACCTTCCTAAGTGACAGAGCTGGCAGCTGCAGAAGCAAGGACTGTCACCCGGGTTGGCTGATCCTGGCCCCTCTTTCTCTAGAACCTGCAGCTGGTGCCATGGCTCCAAGACTGGGCCTCCGCGAGGAAGCAAACCCACCCTATTTCTAGGGTTGCATTTAGGTGGCGTGAATTCTGGAGTCTTTTTTGTCCTTTTCACTCAACAAGTACCAGGCTGAGTGCTTCCCCTTGAATAAATAGGAACATAAATTCCACTGCACACATTTTCTCCAAAAAAAAATAAAAAATAAAAAGACAAAGCGTGCTTAGGTTTCATTATTTTTTAGTTCCTTCTTTGGAACACTAGCTGTGATCAACTTGAGAAACTGCAATTGCCCAATTGAGGCTATCTAGGAAAATCTTCAAAATCTTTCTCACGCTTTTTCCAACGTGCTGTACAGAAATGTCCTCAGGTGCATCTGAGAGAATGTGGGAGCAAGTGCCAGGAAAACCAGGAGCTTATCTGGCCCTGCCCTTTACAGGGTGGCTTGGGAAAGTCTCTGAAACACTTGGGGCCTCAGTGTCTTCACATTTAAATGGGAAGAATGGAAAATACCCCCTGCACCCACTGGGCACACGTCACTATCAGTGTACCTGGAACTACACGAGGGCACAGAAACAACATAATGCAAGGGTTTCCTCTCATCCGGAATGCTCAGGATTTCTCCACCGAATTGCCCATAACTCCCACCTGGGCAACCTACATAAAGTTTCCACTTACATAGAATATCTCACAGGCCACTTGAATTGAATTGGCAGTGGAGTCTAGGGGTGAAGAGTCCAGATCTGGAGTCAGACTGAGCTGTACACATCCTAGCTCTACCACTTACTAACCATAAACTCTGGCTATTGTTTCATCGGTAATATACGGGTGCCAATAGCATACCAGTTCATAGGATGGCAGTAAAAATTAAACAAATGTATCGATGTGAAGCATTTAGAAGAGCCTGCGCAAATAATATCATTTCAATATTCCCTATGCTCCCTCAGAGTTGTCTATCACAGTAAATTCCTCCACCATTCATCTATCCATCCATCCTTCCTTCTATCGATCCAATTGCATAAGAAAAAGATGGGGAAGTCATCTTAGCATCTGATCCTCACCCCTGCCACATTGGGTCCTTCCAGTTCTAATCCTTTATTTATCACCACTTCCAGGACTTTACCAAAACACCATTCTCTCCTAGCAGAATTCCTGTCTCCAATCTCATTAGTATAGTCAGAATAATTTTTTAAGGTAAAAATCAGATCGTGTCATCCCCTGCCTCCCAGTGCATTTAAAATTAAACCTAAACTTTGTATAACGGCCCTGCATAATCAAACCCCTTCCTATTTCCCCAGCCTCACTTTGTATCACTCCTTCCTACACTCTCAGCTTGGGACACACTCGCCTCTTTCAATTTCCTGAATGCACATGGCTCTTTCCAATATTAGAATCCTCACAGATAACATCTGCTCTGCCTGTTATGTTCTTCCCCTTCTCCTTGTAGGCCGACTCCTCACTCTTAAGATAATAGGCTTCATATTACATCTTAAAAATGGTCTTCTCTGAAAAAAAAAATGTGATTGTCCTTTGCAGCATATATTGCCATATAAGAGTAAATATTTATATCTGTGTGGACATACACAGTATCTAGAACTGTGTCCAATATGGTGGCCACCAGGAACTTTTGGGTATTTTGTGCCTGCAATGTGGCTAGTCTGAATTGACATGTGGTAGAAGTATAAGTACACACTGAAACGTGAAGACTTCTGCTGGAGAGAAAACAATCGCATTATCAATTTTTGTACTAATTATATATTGACATAATATTTCAGATACGCTTAGTTAAAATAGATTAGTAAAATTAATTTCATCCTATGTTTTAACTGTGGTTACCAGAAAACTTACAGAACTTAAAATTGCATATTTGGGGAGCTATTGGAGATCACTGATCCAAAACATAGAGGTTTCCAGTAAGTACTTCATGGGATGAATTAAAGAATCTTCCTGGAGTATCAATAGTCCTTGAAAATGAGGAAAAATCCCTAAATAAGTAATGAGTAACAAATTTAAAACATGTTTTTATATTGAAAAAACATGAACATGTTATGAAAATAACGCCAATTTCACATGAAGCTTTAAAACAAAACTTGAGATAAAATAGAAATGTTGGGTGCAGTGAAATCGCCACTTCAAGCTATGCTGGGGCCGCCCTGGGTGAGCTCTGTCTGTAGATACTGATGTGCTCTATGAATAAAAGCTGGGAAACACTGGATGGTGGTCTTCAGGTCTCTCTTTGTGCTGCAGTTATGTTAGTGTTTCCAGGCAGGGCCTCTCCCCTTCTTGGGGCAAAAGGGACAAATGCCCGGGTCCCTCTTCTTTGCACCTCATTTCTGACTGAGCCACAACCTGCTACTTCCTTTCTTTTCCATCAATTTTCCAGGAAGGTGAATGCATGCCTGGGTCACCCTCATGTCCTCACGGAGCACAGCTCTTGTCTCTGTGCTCTGGAATACCTCTAGGGGAAGCTCATAGGAGCGGCCCACCCAGCAGCACAGCTTGAGGTATGTCTTCTGATGCAGAACATCCTGAGCCGTCCCATGCCCTGATTCTCCTCATCTCTCTGGGTATTTCCTGATTACCCTGCAAGGTTCAGGTCTCCATCACTCCTCTGTCTCATGTCACCAAATGCTGATTCTCTTGACCTAAGCCCTTGTCCTGATTTTGTTCAGGTCTCTGTTTCAGCAGTTCCCTCAGAGACCATCTTAGGGCCTCATCCCAAAGACCATGCCTCATCCCAGAGACTATGATAGCGCATGTATTTGATGCCTCCACGGCCACATTTCTGCCACCACTTAATGAACAGAACAGGAGAAAACCATCCCCTCCAAAAGATCTGCCTTCAGAAGGCAGCAACTCATAAGACCAAGCAAATGTTTCCCCAAAGGAGTGAGTGTCACTGGGCTCCTGATCACTGAAAGTTAACAAGCCCCAGTGATGAAGGGTCCCTTACTAAGAATAATGTTAAAATATTTGTATTTGTGGCCGGGCGCAGTGGCTAACACCTGTAATCCCAGTACTTTGGAAGGCTGAGGTGAGTGGATCACCTGAGGCCAGGAGCTCGAGACCAGCCTGGGCAACATGGTGAAAACCCCATCTCTACTAAAAATACAAAAATTAACTGTGTGCGGTGGCACACACCTGTAATCCCACCTACTCGGGAGGCTGAGGTGGGAGAATAGCTTGAACCCAGGAGTCAGAGGTTGCAGTGAGCCGAGATCATGCCACTGCACTCCAGCCTGGGCAACAGAGTGAGACTGTCTCAAAAAAATATATATATATTGTATTTGCATAGCACTTAAAAACAAATGCCACGTTTCCTACAAGTTTTCTTATTTGGTACTGGAATCAGTTCTAGGAAGAAGGTATTTCTATTTCCATTTTACAGTTTTGCAAACTAAGACAGGTTGCATGACCTTCTTTGGGACCCTTCACATGCTCAGTTCATCTCTGTTTACTGCACGGATGAAGGAGGTGATGAGCTGATGAATGAGTAGGGACAGATCTGCTGCATGACAGGGCCAGGGGACGTCACACTCATGCTCTTTCAGAATAGCGCAGCACTATCTTTTGAAATGGTCCTTTGACCCCTTTGGTAGGGGTGTCTGGAGGAAGGTCTTGGAGCGATGTCTGTTAAGAGTGAGTGAGTGATAGTCTAGTGGCTTTTTGTGTGGGTGTTATTTTCTTTCTTTCTTTCTTTCTTTCTTTTTTTTTTTTTTGAGATGGAGTCTCGCTCTGTTGCCCAGGCTGGAGTGCAGTGGCCTGATCTCAGCTCATTGCAACCTCTGCCTCCCAGGTTCAAGTGATTCTCCTGCCTCAGCCTCCCGAGTAGCTGGGATTACAGGTGCCCGCCACTGCGCCTGGCTAATATTTGTGTGTGTGTGTGTGTGTGTGTGTGTGTGTGTGTGTGTGTCTGTGTGTGTGTGTATTTTTAGTAGAGACAGGGTTTCACCACCTTGGCCAGGCTGGTCTCAAACTCCTGACCTCCTGATCCACCGGCCTCCTTCTCCCAGAGTGCTGGGATTACAGGCGTGAGTCACCGTGCCTGGCCTGTGTGTTATTTTCAATGTTTGTCTGGCCACTGCCATTCCTGGGGGTGCAGTATTTAAACCTGCTGTAAGTCTGCACAGAGGGTTTCTAAATCTGGCATCTTGGTGCAAAGGGAATCTGTAAGGACTGAAAAGAGATCATTGTTTAAAGCAATGTTGGAATATCTTGTCCTATAAAATCAGACAAAATATTTGTTAGCACTAAGTTTGTTACTTTGGGGAAATAAGAAAATGAAAGAGAAAAACCATCTTTGTCAAGGCAGTTTGGTTCTTAAGTGTTGCAAAAAAGTACAGAAGGACCTAAGATTCAGACAAAGTATGTGGAGGGAAAGGGAAGAAAAGAAAAATCAACTAGCATTAAGAAACCTTGCTAGACAGTGTTGTCCTTCTGTGTATGTGGTGGTAATGGTGGCGGTTGTGATGGCAGTAGCAGACAAAGGGTGATTTTTGTCCTAAGAAAAAACATTTGTTAACTTCATATCCTATGTCCAGTGGTGAGTGATTCCTAGGAAAGGTCCTTTGGCCCTACTTTAATGAATTATAATGAATGGTTGGAAATTAGTGGATCAATATTTGTATCATACTAGCAGCCTCTCAAGTATTTGAGAGCAGTCTTTTCTATATGCTACACTGAATAGCTCCTTGGCTGACATTATTAACTTTCACAGCAAATTGTCTTTTGTTTTTAATGCAAAGGTAAGCTTAGCTCAGCCTTGTTAAAATTAAATTTAATTAAGCAATAATAGTGCTCATTGTGCCTCAGGCACTAAGGAGGATACAGAGATTAATATTCCATCTTTGCCCCTTAAGGTGAAACTTCCTTTAGGGAAATTCTACATATTGATGTGTAATCAATAGGAAAATTTCAAGCTGAAGGATGATTATACTATGAAAGGATTTGTATGTGTGTGTGTTGTACTTCACAGGAGTATTCACTGTGAAGTTATTTCAAATGATGAAACACTGTTGATTATATCTTTCATAGAGACAATTTACAGTGATGTTTTCAAGAATCCAACCACTATATCACTCCACATTTAATGCCTGTTCATTAAGAAACTTTACTGTATATTCAAAAATGAAGACTCTTTTTTGTTTGGAAATAGAAAAATTGAAAATGAACACCAAATACTAGATAAAATTAGGACATTGACAATTGTTAGAAAAGGTTATCTAATTAATTTTCATTGATTGGATTATCAAAATCATCAGGAAAGCCTATGTTAAAAAACACAAAAGCAAAATTGTTAGGAAATTATCATATCTCTTAACTAGAATTCACTTGTATAACTTCAGTACAATGTGTAAATAATTAAGATACACTTCCACCAATTAAGAATAGAATGTACATTTTCATATTATGTATAATCTACATATATATTTACACATATGTAAATACGGGCCAAAAATCCATCTAGCAATGCGTATGGATCAATTCCTATATATATAACATACAGTATCATCCTGAGTGCTGCCAAAAGCAATTGAAAGTCGTGATTCTTATGTTTGTGGACCTTATGGTTAATGTGGGGAGAAGAAATGCATCACGGAGGTAGGAATGAGCTTGTCAAGCAGCAGAGCTGGGTGAACCAAGCCTGCTTGAGAGTCCTGGCTGCTGAGGGTGAGGGATCACCAGGAAACAACATTTGTACTTTATACCTCGCTAGACCCCAGGTCCCTCAGCTCACAAACCCAGGCATTACTTGTTTGTCCATTTGATTTTTTTAAATTAATCAATTAATTTATTTTTTGTTTTCAAGCCTCCAGCTTCTAGGTTTCCCATTTGCAAGACCATGCCACATACGAGTCTTAAGTTCTGGTCTCAGAAACCACTTCAATTTGGCCTTCAGCAGCCCTAGTGTATTAGTCCATCCTCACACTGCTATAAGGACATACCCAAGACTGGGTAATTTATGAAGAAAAGTGGTTTAATTGACAGTTCTGCAGGGCTGGGGAGGCCTCAAAAACTTACAATCATGGCAGAAGAAGAAGCAAACACGTCTTTCTTCACAAGATGGCAGGAGAGAGAAGAATGAGAAAGAAGGAGGGGAAAAGTCCCCCAGAAAACCACCAGATTGGCCAGGTGCAGTGGCTCACACCTGTAATCCCAGCACTTTGGGAGGCCAAGGTGGGCAAATCACCTGAGCTCAGGAGTTTGAGACTAGCCTGGGCAACATGGTGAAACCCTGTCTCTACTACAAATACAAATTAGCCAGGCATGGTGGTGGGTGCCTATAATCCCAGTTACTTGGGAGGCTAAGGCAGGAGAATCACTTGAACCCAGGAGGTGGAGGTTGCGCTAAGCCGAGATGGTGCCACTGTACTTTAGCCTGGGTAACAGGGGAAGAATCTTGTCTCAGAAAAATCATCAGATCTCGTGAGAACTCACTATCAGGAGAACAGCATGGAGTTAACCACCCCCCATGATTTGGTTACCTCCCACTGGGTCCCTCTTACGATAAGTGGGGATTATGGGAAATACAATTCAAGATGAGATTTGGATAGGGCACAGCAAAACCATATCACCTGGCAACTCCATTTTCCTGGCCACTCTACCATATGGCCAGTCTACCATAACCAGCCTTCTCTCCTACCTAAAGCTCCTCTCTCCCACCAGTGCCTCCTCCCCAGCCCACCCCAGTGAGCCAGTCTCCTGCTCGAACTCCTACACATTTCTCATTTTTGTAAGTTGCAGTATAAACCTATCAGGATCCTGTTATATTCCTCTACTTTTGCTAGAAGGGTCATTTCTCCTCCCCAAAGCTGAGGCCTACGCCAATGGTTTGGATTTATTTCTGGCTGCCTAATGTGATGTTTATACTGTTTTTTTTCTTTTATATTAAAACTTACCTTCTCAACTAGATTCTTACTACTGGCTTTTATGCATATTTAAATCTCCTCCTTTCAATCCTTCACCTCCTTCCAGCTTCCTTCCTTTCAGAGATAAACTTCTCATGACCTCTTTCCTACACACTCTGTTTGATCATCTTCTGTCACTTTTAAACCCACGTCACTGGGGCTTTTGGTGCCATCTTATTTGATCTCTAAAAATTATTTGGCTTCTTGACCCAAAGTTCTGCTGTAGGTTGAACTGTTCCCTCCTAAATAGTGCCTTAACCTCTGGTGCCTGCAAATGTGACCTTATTTGGGAATAGGGTCTTTGTAGGTGTTATCCAGTTAAGATGGAGGACATTGGATGGTACTAATCCACATGACTGGTGTCTTGATAAGAAGAGGAGAAGAACACGGAGGGAAGCCCATGCGGTGACAGAGGCAGAGACTGGAGTGATGTGTTCAAAGCACTGACGGTAACACTGGCAACTAAGAGCATAGCATGGGACAGATTCTCTCCTAGAGCCCAGGGAAAGAGCATGGCCTAGTGACACCTTGATTTTCGGTCTCTGTCCTCCAGAATCCTGAGAGAATAAAGTTCCCTTGTTTAAAGCCACTCAGCTCATGGTATTTTTTTAGAGCACCCATAGGAAATTAAAACAATGAGTAAGAGAGAAAGTTTTCTAGTATTGGGCCATGATTACTTTAGTTCATTCATTAGCACAGCCTCCTGTTGCCTAACACAATGTCTCATTTCTCAAACACCCTCAGGGAATTCGACTAATCTGGTAAAACTATTGTAACTAATCTTTTACAGAGGTGCCTATCTCATACTTTCATTTTAAAGAAAACTTCAAACCTTTGATCCAAAACAATCATCATCTATGGCAATTTCAAGCCCTCAGAACACTAGAGAAGTGTGGAATGAGGACTTCCAATCTGTGTCCTTCGTGCCTGGGGGGACCAGATGTCCTGCGAGCTCACACAAGCCTGTCAGTTTAGGCCTGCTCAGAGGCCCAGTTGGTTGCTGCCTCTTTTCACTCTACCAACTGAGCTTATTTGGATAATAAATCATGACGTTGCCCTATCCAATGTCACTCATTTAGTGACTACGTATTCTGTCTTTTGGTAGCCCTCATCTTATAGAAAAAACGCATTTTAATCAAAACAATTGAACTCATGGAAATTGAAAGTAGAAGGACGGTTGCCAGAGGCTGGGAAGGATTTTGGTTCGTGAGAAGAGGTGAGGATGGTTAATGGGTCCAAAATATATATAGAGAGAAAGAATGAATAAAGCCTACTGTTTCATAGCACAACGAGGTGACTGTAGTCAATGCTAATTTTATTGTATATTTAAAAATAACTAAGAGATTATAATTGGGTTGTTTGTAACACAAAGGATAAATGCTTGAGGGGATGAATATCCCATTCTCCATGATGTGATGATTATATATTGCATGCCTGTATCAAAACATCTCACACACCCAATAAATACATACACCTGCTATTTACCCACAAAAATTAAAAAGAAAAAAGGACAGAAAAATGTATCGCCCCGTCCGGGAGGGAGGTCGGGGGGTCAGCCCCCCGCCCGGCCAGCCGCCCCGTCCAGGAGGTGAGGGGCGCCTCTGCCTGGCCGCCCCTACTGGGAAGTGAGGAGCCCCTCTGCCAGGCCACCACCCCATCTGGGAGGTGTACCCAACAGCTCATTGGGAACGGGCCATGATGACAATGGCGGTTTTGTGGAATAGAAAGGGGGGAAAGGTGGGGAAAAGATTGAGAAATCGGAGGTTGCCGTGTCTGTGTAGAAAGAGGTAGACATGGGAGACTTTTCATTTTGTTCTGTACTAAGAAAAATTCTTATCCTGTTGATCTGTGACCTTACCCCCAACCCTGTGCTCTCTGAAACATGTGCTGTGTCCACTCAGGGTTAAATGGATTAAGGGCGGTGCAAGATGTGCTTTGTTAAACAGATGCTTGAAGGCAGCATGCTCGTTAAGAGTCATCACCACTCCCAAATCTCAAGTACCCAGGGACACAAACACTGCGGAAGGCCGCAGGGTCCTCTGCCTAGGAAAACCAGAGACCTTTGTTCACTTGTTTATCTGCTGACCTTCCCTCCACTATTGTCCTATGACCCTGCCAAATCCCCCTCTGCGAGAAACACCCAAGAATGATCAATAAAAATAAATAAATAAATTTTAAAAAAAATGTATCTTAACAGTGACCCATAAAGGGTCTACGTGGTGAGCCTTCTCTCCAGTTACTCCATAAAGACACCAATAGACCCTCAAAGTCCACACAGGTCCTCCTTGTGTAAAGACATATATTTTTTTAAAAAATTATAAATTGAGAAAATAATGTTTAAAAAAGATAATAATAGCAGAATAATAGCCGAAGAATTTTCATAGCTAGTGATCAGGGTAATATATTTTATTCTCTACAAAATGTTCATAATTTTTTTTTAATTTAACAATCCATATTAAAACATTTTCCAAGTTACTGAATATCCTTTTAGACTCACCATTTGTATGGACTTCTGTTATTCCATCGTGTGTAACACTACTTCTTGAATGATGTGTCCACATGGCTGGTGAGGCCCTCTTCCTTCCATTCAGTCCCATTCAACGCAATCCCATTCAAACCCCACCTAGTGCTTCCTGCCCCTGGACACTGATCTGCACAGTTCTTCACAGGAGCAACTGGTACCTTCCCACTGCCAAATCTAATGGGGGATTTCCATTGGCTTTCTTTTGGATTGGTTCTTCATAAGGAACCACTGAGTTCTATAAGCTCTAACTCTTCAGGATCTCCTTTTTCCTTGATTGTTCCTTACTTTCCCTGGGCCTCTCTTCACAATCCCATATTTCAAAATTATGCAACTGTCTGTTCTCCACCTCCTTTGAAAAATTTCACAGCCACTACAAACTTAATTTGTCCAGAAATGAACTCAAAATCTTACTCTCAGAGGGAAGGTGAAAAGAAGTGTGTTCATTTTTCAAACGTTTCATAGCAGGAAGTCAATAGATGCAGAAAAATAACGAAGCATGCAATTAAAAATAAACATTAATAACTTCATATTCCTAATGATCCACATATTTTTTCGAAACATTGGAGAGTTCTTGTAGAAACATAGCTCTTGTAAAGAAATGTTTATTTTAAATATTTACATTTCATTTTTCTTTAATTCTTTTGTCATTTGTTAGTTTCAGGTAATTTTTAAAAATATGATTGATTTAAAAAGTTATGTCTAATATGCTTATGTTCTCTTTCTGTAGAAAAATGCATACATACATAAATAGCTATATACATATATGACATTTATACCTTATCTATATCTGTTATGTTTGTATATACATATGTAGGTATTCAGAATGAAATACAAATTTTACTCAGAGAGAGTGTGAGTGCTTTTTAAAATTTTTTTGAACCTTTAATCTTCATGTACTTCTTTTATTTTAGTTCTTTATGTTGAATAATAACATATTTTTTAACTTAAAAAATTTCTACTGGAAAAACCAGCCTATTCCTCTGATGTTTTCTATCTCAGTAGACATGATCACCACCCCGGCCATCCAGTCTAGAAAACTAACATTTCCCTGTGACCCTCTTCACTCATATTCCTCATTCCCTATGATCACCTGCCAGGTCCTCCCAAGTTTGCCTCTGAAATCCTTCTCAAATGACTCTTCACCTCCCACTCCCCCTCTCCTCCTTCAGACTCTTCCATCTTTCCCTTGAGCCTCTGCAGGAGTCCTGTCTCTCCTGGGCTGGCTTCCTTAGATGCTTGCTTCTTCCAGAAGGATCCAGCGACTTGCCATACAGCCATGCTACTCTCTAGCTGAAAACTCTTAGAAGGCTTTCTATCATCTAGAAGACAAAGCACAATTTCTGTTTCTTGACTCAAAACACACACCCAGAATCTTCATGGCTGCTCCCTCCTCTCATATTCATCTCTCATCATGTCCAGAACTGCTTACCATCCCTACCACCACCACCGATTCCATGTCTGTTTGCTTTTTTGTTTGTTTTATCGTGTCCCAACACGTGCCTTTGCTCACGTTGTTTTCTCTCTGCCTAGATTGCTGTTTCCCCCGATTTCTTTCTTTTTTCATCTTGCTAAATCCTGCAATGTTTTTTAAACTTAGGCATGGAAGATTGCCTCAAATATTGAATGTCCAGGGTTTCCAAGACCCTCTTTGATATGCTGTAGCCACACGTTCCTGGACAGCAAGGAGAATTTATAATTTCTGTTTACATCTTCGAATCTCAGCAGAGAGGAGATGCCCAGCCAGCTCTGCTTGTGGAATGGATTCTCAATGGGCCAGGTAAGGCACCTTAGAAGCAAGGGTTTACTGGAAGGAACTGGGTTTCTACCCACCTATATTCCTTGGTTTCTTAAGACAATTTTATATCTTTAAATGTTTCTAAACATAGCTGCTTGGTTTCTTTAATTAAATTAATTCTGAAATCAGTCTTGCCCAAGAAAAGTAGAATTCAAGTCCACGGCACAAAGCAATCTTATAGTTCACCAACAGGTTGAAAAATCATATAGATTAGTCAGCCATAGAAAATCTCTTTGTTCTAAAAGATTCAATGAAAAAAAGTCAAAAACATAAATTTTAAAACTACATATTCTGCCTTTTTCTACTTAACAGTCATGTAACATAAAATTTACATGAATTTTCTGAGTTTTCCTTTCTTCCTTTTTTCTTTCCTTCCTCCCTCCCTTCCTCCC
Source organism: Homo sapiens (assembly GCF_000001405.40). Classification (NCBI taxonomy): domain Eukaryota; kingdom Metazoa; phylum Chordata; class Mammalia; order Primates; family Hominidae; genus Homo; species Homo sapiens. The sequence continues at coordinate 7,335,180 of NC_000002.12, read as the reverse complement.
TCCCTCCTTCTCTTTCTTTCCTTCCTTCCTCCCTCCCTCCCTCCCTTTCTTCCTTCCTTTCCTTGTCTTCATTTCTCTCATAAAAGGAGACAATATCTCCTACAAAGCTTTGAGAATTCACAGAATAGAAACTGTAGAACACCATGTGGGAAACAGGAGGCACTCAACCAACACTTATTCCATGTTGTTCCTGGGACCTGCAGCTGCCGTCACTCCTGGTAGAATCATGAGTGGCTCCACCTCAGCACTGCGAACTTTTGATTAACACATACTTGGGTCTATCTTTTAAACAACTCTCTTCTTGAACAGAAGGAAGAAGTGTGTTTGATTTATTGTTAATTTTCTGTTACCTGACACTTGATAATCACTTAATAAATGTTTGTTGAAAGAAAAGGTAGGTGATAATACAGGGTTTACTAAGTGCCAGAGGATGTTCCAAAGCCATTACATTTTAACTCCTTTAATCCTTTCAACAATTCTATGAGGTAGGCACTATTCCCCTCATCAGCTATGGTTAAGAAAACTGAGGCAAAGAAAGTTTAAGTAACACCCCCAGGGCCACTCAACAAAGTGGCTATTGGGGGACCGACTGTAGAATCCAGGCTCTCAATGAAATTGAATAGTTTCTTAGTTAAAGCATTTGATTTTTAACAAAGCTGTTTAAAAATTTAACATAGAACTAAGGCTCTTTCTTATAACATTTTAATTTCTTCATTAAACCCTAGAAAATGAATTAGGCTTGAACATCATGCCATATTATTATATAGGTTAGCTTCACTGCTTAATTGAATAAAAACAATTCCAATCAAAGCATCTCACTTTCGTCTTTTCAGCTCCTGCATGTTGGTGTGTTGGTGCATGTCAGACTGCCATTCAACAAAAGGCAAGACTCTGCCTCCACTCTGGGTATTCTGGAAAATGTAAGTAATTGGATCAGACTTTCATATCACTGCCTCCTAGATGATTAGAATCTCAGTTTTCTGCAGAGTCTATCAGACGTTATGCTCCCCATATCTCCCGTCAGTACTCACTGAGTCGCGAGGGTTTGGAGATGATTTATTACATGTGACACAGGTTTCTGTTTATGCACTCATAAAGGCCATGCCTGCAAGATCTATAGAGCCAGCTTGCACCAGTACACTGAGCTGAGATGAATAAATGAATAATTGTTTTGATAATATTAACCAAGCATGTGTGATGTTTCTTTGCCACATCTGTTATTAACAACATAAACAAAAGGAGTCTTCAGTGGTTATATGTTGCTTTCAGGAACAATGTAATGTGCCCAGTTTGGTAAGCCTTTGTGGGTATTGATTAGAATAAGTCTTTTTCTGAATATCTCAGGATCAAGTGGAATGCCAGTGCGTTTAAAATATGGCTGGATAACAATAAGTTGGTGATTTTATTCAAAATGTCAACCATGTCTCTTGCCCCTTTAGATTTTAACTTAGTGCATCTCAGAGCAGGGTAAGAAAATCAGTGAATGTTTTAACAAACACCAGAGGTTATTATCATTGTCTTGGCTTAATCCCACTTTCTACTGAGCCAGCCTCTAACATATTGCTTAAAATTTTCAACAGCCTATGAGACAAGTGACTGATGAGCCTTTGACTGATCATGTCTAGTGATGAGTGACTCACTACCTTGCAAGGCAACTTTGCAGCTCTGGCAATAGGATAGTCCTTCTGGAAGGAGGACATTCTGAAATATTAAACAGCTTCCCTCTATACAGAAAACTGCCCCATTCAGAAAGCTGCTAGGGCTTGCCAGGCTTGTTCTAAATGAAAAAGTGTGACTCAGCAGAATTTGGGGAAGGGGGAATAACACTCAACGTTATCTTTCAAAAAAATAGGGTATGAGGTGAGAAAGAAAAAAGTGAGAGAATGCTTGCTGAGGAGAACATCGTTTTGTTTATACTTCTACTCCATTCTAATTCCAGTCTGAGGGTGAAGGTAAAAGGAAACCAAGATGAGCCTGAGTTTCATATTTTCCAGGACCGGCAATCAGCCTGCCCTAGGCACAGAGAGCTGTCCTGGGAAGCCCTCCATTGGAATGAGAGTGGACACAGAGCAAGTGGTATCCCCTGTGGACTGGTGACTATGTAGTCAATGGAGTTGGGATGTTAAAACTGGTCAGTGTGGCTAGGTAACGGCACTGAAGGCCAGATAACCCCATCCAAACATGCTCAGCACCTTGGAAACAGGAAAAGTCTGCACCAAATGTGGACACACCTCCTAAAAGGTGAAGTCACTGAGTAGCCTGAGAATGCATTTCCAGCACTGAGGGTGGGCAGGGGATGCTGAAATAAAAATTAAATTCTGTTATCAAAACAAAGGAAGATGGCATCTTTGCATGTCTGAGAATATAGACTACCATTTATTCCAACTACTTGTCCAGAAAGCAAAATCTATTTATCTATAGTTTTTGCCTTTTTCTATCCATTGGGCCAAAGTAAATTTTTATTTTGCATGCTTATATTTTTATTTTCAAAGTAAATTTTTCTTTTGTGTGTTTTCTCTTGGCTAACGAAAGATAGAGATTGCTAGGAACTGAATGTTTACACATTCCTCCCCGCATTCATGTATTGAAATCCTAATCCCCAAGGTGATGGATTAGGGGGTGGAGCCATTGGAAGGCGATAAGGTCATAAGGGTAGAATTCCCACAAGTGGGATCAGTGACCCCATAAAAGGACATATGAGAACTTGCTTTTTCTCTCTCTGTTCTCCTCCATGTGTGGACACAGCAAGATGACCATCTGCAATTCAGGTAGCAACCCCCCACCAGACATGGGATCTGCCAGTGGTTTGATCCTGGACTCCTAGCCTCCAGAGATGTGAGAAATAAATGTTTGTTGTTTAAGCCACCAGTCTATGGTAATGTGTTATAGCAGCCCAAACTAACTAATATGGTTTGGCTTTGTGTCCCCACCTTAATCTTAACTTGAATTGTAATTCCATAATCCCCACATGTCATGGGGAGGGACCCAGTGGGAGGTAATTGAATAATGGGAGTGTTTTTTCCCCATGCTGTTCTCGTAATAGTGAGTGAGCTCTCACGAGATCCAGTGGTTTTATGAGAGGCTTCCCCCTTCACTCAGCACTTCTTTTTCCTGCACCATGTGAAGAAGGATGTGTTTGCTTCCCATTTTGCCATGATTGTAAGTTTCCTGAGGCCTCCCCAGCCATGTGGAACTGTGAGTCAATTAAACCTCTTTTCTTTATAAGTTTACCCAGTCTCGGTTATTTCTTCATAGTAGCATGAAAATGAACTAATACTCTAATTAAAACAGATATAGTGTATTTTTATTTTCTAGAGTACAATCTCAATTCTGTCACATTGCCTCTGGGATATCTGTAATCTACTATTCTAGGTACAGTATAATTTGTACACATTTTCCATAAGATGTATAACTGAATTATTATTATCTACATCCAAAATATGGTCCAAGGTGTTATTTTTCTCCCAGTATGGTGAACGTAGCTTGGAGCAGCAGCTGCTCTAATATTAATAATAGTTTTGAAGATAATATAAAATCATAAAGTAGTCATAAAACATTATTTAAACACTATGTGAACAGCTCATTCCAGAGATCATTAATGTCTTAGTTTATTTTGTGTTTCTCTAACAATACCACAGACTGAATAATTTACAATTAACAGAAATTTATTTCATTAATGATTCAGGAGTCTGGGAAGTTCAAGATCATGGCACCAGTACTTGATGAGGGCCTTGTGTTGCATCATCCCATGGCATAAAGAGGAAAGGCAAGAGAGGGTGTGTGTGCGTGTGTGCCTGTGTGTGTGTGTGTGTGTGTGTGTGTGTGTGTGTGAAAGACAAAGAGAGATAGAGACAGAGATAGACAGAGAAGCAGACAAAGAGAGGCTGAACGCATCCTTTTATCAGGAATCTATTCCCTTGATGACTAACCCACTCTCACAATAATGGCATTAACCCATTCCTGAGGGCAGAGCCCTCATGACATAATCATCTCTTAAAGGATCCCCCTGCCAATACTGTTGCATTGGGGATTAAGCTTCCAGTGCATGAACTTTGGAAGAGACATTCAAACCATAGCAATAGGGGATGCATACAGGTCTAGATAAGGTTCTGTCTTAGAGATTTTATTGCACAAATTGTATTAATTGATCTGGTTAATCATGAAGCTTTTCTAAAAGGTGAATTTTTATTTTACTTTTTGGTTTTCCACATATTTGATAAGAATAGGTTTCTATAACAAAGACTTCCATAAAGAATAGAAAAAGTAGAAAAAGTTACTTGTCTCATGGATAGCAGTCCTGTCATTAACAGAACCAGGTGTTAAGGCAGTTTTGTTTCATATGGTACTTCATGGACCTAGATTCTTTCCAAAGCATTGCTCATTCATCTTCTTCCCTACTATCACCACACTCAGGGGTCAGCACACCAGACCCCTCATCTGGTTTCTGTAAATAAAGTTGTATTGGAATACAACTATTAATTATATAATGTCTATGACTGCTTTTGTGTACCAATGGCAGAATTGAGTACTAACACAGAAACCATATTGCCCACAAAGTCTAAAACATTTATTTTCCTTTGTATTTTATTTATTTATTTATTTTTTTATTTTGTTGAGGAAGGGTCTCACTCTGTCATACAGTGGTATGATCACAGCTCACTGTAGCCTCCACCTCCCAGACTCTGGAGATCCTCCCACCTCAGACTCCTGAGTAGCTAGGACTATAGGTGCACGCCACCATGCCTGGCTATTTTTTTTTTTTTTTTTGTATTTTTTGTACAGACTGGTGTATTAGTCCATTTTCAGGCTGCTAATAAAGACATACCCAAGACTGGAAAGAAAAATGAGGTTTAATTGGACTTACAGTTCCACATGGGTGGGGAGGCCTCAGAATCATGGCAGGAGGCAAAAGGCACTTTTTACATGGTAGTGGGAAGAGAAAAATGAGGAAGAAGCAAAAGCAGAAACCCTGATAAACCCATCAGATCTCAAGAGACTTATTCACTATCACAAGAATAGCATGGGAAAGACCGGCCTCCATGATTCAATTACCTCCCGCTGGGTCCCTCCCACAACAGGTGGGAACTCTGGGAGATACAATCCAAGTTGAGATTTGGGTGGGGACACAGCCAAATCATATAAACTGGGTTCCTCTATGTTGCCCAGACTGCTTGAACTCCTGGGCTCAAGTGATCTGCCCACTTCAGCCTTCCAAAGTGCTAGGATTACAAACGTGAACCACCCTACCTATCCTAAAACATTTATTATCTCTGACTTCTTACAGAAAAGATTTGCTGACTTCTGCCCTAGGATACTGTCATGGTCTGCATGTTTGAAACTGGGTCACCACTACATCTGGGCTCACCACTACATCTGGAAAAAGGAACATGGAAAAGGCACTCTCATTGGTGCCAGACCTAGAAACAACACATGTCACTTCTGTTCCTTTTAACCAGAAGGAAACTTTAGTCATTGGCAATGCAACACCAAGGGAACCTGTGAAATACAATTGAGTCAACAGTTCCACTCAGGCTATAAGCCTGTATTATGAAAGAAGAGGAAGGTGCTTTGCTGGATGGTCAGCAGTCTTTCCCACATTCAATAGAAAAGAAGCTAGTGTGTTTCTACTTTAGCGCACAAACACTGTCTTTTTGGACAGCTAAATTATATCAATCCAGTTGTCCCTTTTGATTTAATGTCTGTATTTATTTTAAAGAAAAATGTATCCATATATTTCTGCATCATTTATACCTCCCATCAAAATGTGGTTTTCCACAGCTATTGGGTATTCAAAATTTCTGGTAGAAAATGAGTAGAAAATTTGGTTGTGTAATATGAAACTGGGAAGTATATGTGGCATCTTAGCTCAGCAGGTCAGCATGTACCTGCCTAATCCCCCAAAGAAAGGGTTCATGCAAATACTGAATAGAGCAATTGCAAAGGAGACCTTCTTCTGCCCTCATCTGAGAAATCAGATTAGATAAGTCCATTGTCAGGTAATAACAGTAGAAAAAGAGACACAGTGGATACGCAGTGTCCCTAACATTGTATAAAAGATCCCAGTTTATAGAACGCTTCCGAATTCATGATCTCATTTGGATAGCATTAGACACTGTAAGGGAACTAACTCTGTTGTTCAGAGCAATGTCCCCTATCCTATTGGTACTTCCTGTTCCATTGACAAACTCTGTCCTATTAGTATTTACTGTTCTGCTGGTTATTTCCTGTTCTCTTGGCATCTCCTGTCCTGTTAGCATTTCCTGTTTTATAACAGTGGCATCACCTGTCCTGTTAGTATTGTCTGTCCTATTAGCCATCCCTGCTCTATTTTCTGTTCTGTTAACATCCCCTGTCCTATTAGTATTTCCTGTCCTATTAGTATTTTCTGTCCTGTTGACATCACCTCTCCTGTTAGTACTTTCAGTCCTATTAGCATCCCCTGTTCTATTAGTATTTTCTATTCTTTTAACATCCCCTGTCCTCTTAGTATTTTCTGTCCTATTGGCATCATCTGTCCTATTAGTATTAGAATGTCCTGTTGACATTCTCTGTCCTGTTAGTATTTCTTCTTCTATTGGCATCCTCTGTGTATTTTTCTGTTGTTGCATTGCTATAAATAAATACCCAAGACTGGGCAATTTATAAAGAAAAGAGGTTTAATTTGCTCATGGTGTGCAGGCTGTACAGGAAGCATAGCAGCATTTGCTTCCAAGGAGGCTTCAGGAAGCTTACAATCATGGTGGAAGGTGAACAGGGAAAAGGCACATCACATAGTGAAAGCAGGAGCAAGAGAGCCAGGGGGAGGTGCCATGCACTTTTAAATGGCCAGGTCTCAGGAGAACTCACTCAGTATCATGAGGACAGTACCTAGGGGGATGGTGTAAACCACTCATGAGAAATCTGCCCCCAGGACCCAATCACCTCCCACCACACCCCACCTCCAACACCGGGGGTTATATTTCAATATGAGACCCTGTCCTATTGATATCTTCTGTTCTGTGGGTATTCTCTGTCCTATTCGTATTTTCTGTTCCATTGGCATCCCCTGTTCTATTAATATTTCCTGTTTTCTATTAGCATCCCCCAGCTCCTTATTTCCTACTATGGAAGTTCAAGAATCCACAGCTCAGCCAGTCACTAGCTCTTAGCAATTTCAATACTGAGAAGGGGACAAACAGAAAGCAATCTTTGGACTTCAAGCCTCTTGATTTAGCAGTGCAGCGGTCAGCATATCTTTGTCCACTTTCTGTTCCTAGTCTTTGAAAACTCCCTGGATTCTTGTCTTTCTTCCAAGCCTGGTCCTCCAGCCACACACTGAAACTGTGATCCCACTAATGCATTTCCAACAAATTCTCTTTTCATTGAGCCATTATCATACATTAGTGTTGTTTGTAACTAAGAACCTGAATTGAAACAAGCTGATTTTATCACCCCCATTATGGATAAAGAAACTGAGATTCAGAAATATTCTTGTTCACTGTCACACTAGTACTAGTAAGCTAGTCTTCTAGTAAGCTATAGAACTGACCAGAATCCATGTTTTTCCTGCTTACTGTCTTCTAGTAAGCTGTAAAACTGACCAGAATCTTTGGTTTTCCTTCTGTATCCAGTGAAGTTTTACCCTTTCATGAGTAATTATGTAAACTCTCCTGTCTCCTGCAAAGCTAAAGGAAAATTTCTAGCATAGCATGAGACCCACTTTATTTGAGAAGGCCCAGTTTTAGTGCCTTCTCTTTTCTGAGGTCTCTGCCAAAATAGGCCACAGCTAGTGGCTCCCTGATGTATGTTTCCATAACAATTTCTCCCATATATATTTTTTTCATATATAACATTATATATATATAAATATATAAAAAACATACTTTGCCCTATATATTTATCATAGAAATCACATACATCTTAATGGGATATGCAATTTTTAATATAGCTCATTGAAATATAAACTTCTCTGGAGGAGACGCACTCATTTCTTACTATCCTGTCTTCTATATCATGGGCACTCAGTTGTGTTTGTTGTGTAAATAAGTGAGTAAATGAGCAAAAGCATGTGGAAGAATAAACTGTCAGAAATCTCAAGAAGATTTTCTGAAGCATTAGGGTTTTAGAAAAGCAGAATCAAGCATAACCTTACTCACAACCTAGCATCAGCCTCTCATCAAGAGCCAGAAATTCCACTGCAGCATCCATAACTGGAAGAAGCTAATGCCATGTCCGTGGGAGTCTAAGGCTTTGTCAGCAGCTGTTCTGCTCAGAGGTTATAGAAGAAGAAATGTGAAACCTGTGAAGGAGTTGTCTCAACCCTCTCTTACAGCTAAAGATGTTATGAGGCCTAACTACCCAGAATTTTTTCTTCTGTGAGTCTCCTAGGGGGTTCTGATCTGTGGGACACTTTCTGAGACTGAACTCATCTCTAGAAGGCCTTATTAATATGAAAATCTCTTCCTTGGCAGGATCATCAATGCATCCATGCAGGCATGGCAGCCTTGGGTCATCAAATAAAGGCTGAGGAGCTGCAGGAGAGAGCAAGATGCACTGCTGTGTAAATGAGGCTGATCCACAAAGGCAACAACAGGGATCGAGAGCGATGGGCAGGAGGGATGGGGATGAAGACAAGCATAAGGAAGAGCAGAGCTGTGAGGGAGGGACACAGACAGGGTGGGGCACATAGAAAATAGCACAAGAGATGCTGCAGATGATGAGATGCTGGAGGGTTTTGCCTAGGAGAGATATGACAGGTTTCCCTGGCTTTTCTGAAATAGTCCACAGAGGTCTGTGTCCTAGAAATTAACTCAAAAATGAACTCTTCTCAGGTGCCAAGCTGGATCCATGGGGGGAGAATTTTTTTTTCAGGGTAGTCAATTCAGAGTCCACATGGGAGACAAAAAAATCTTTACAAGCTTGTGTGAGATAATAAAACACATAGAATATTAACTTACTTCAGCAGCACAGCTGTTCAGGAAAGGCTATAAGTATCATCAGCTAGTCATGAAGTCATGAGTGTCCATTCTTACCTCCTGTACTCTGCTGAGTTTCTTTATATATTCTTTATATATATATTGTTATACATGGTGGTTTGGCTAGCAGGAGATTGCACTCACACTCTGGATTAGGCAGGCTTTCAGTAGACAATCTAAGAATCTATCAGCCATCTACGAAGGCACTCTGTGTAGAAACAGTTTTGACGTCCCAGGTTACAGCTGAGTTTTGAACATTTAAACATTTTGAGAAGTGTGTCTGTTCCTATTTGTGTGTTTGTGTAATTACATGAGTTCCTTTCACCAAATTTTATCTGTGAAACCAGCAAGACCATCAGGTTGGAGCCCAAGTAGTAACCAGGTTACTGAAGCTAAAAGATGCTCATATAATTCCTCTGCTTGTGTTTCATGAAGGCAGAGGAAGAAAACAATCCCTCACTCCTCCTTAGGGCCCTCAGTGCTGTGGACAGCTGGAGGCATGATTGATCAGCAAGTTTTCAACACAGCAGGAGATACATGGAAGAACTATGAGATATCTGAGAAGCTCTAAAGACCAGAAGCAATTTGGCTATTCATAACCCTTTGGAGAAACAAAATGTGTGTCACTTGCCCCAGTGAAAAAGAACAAACCATGAGGATTTTAGGACTTTTCGGGGTGAGCTAGAGATGTTGGCTTCAAAGACCAGGAAGTGCATTCAGATCTTCACACTCTCTAGGGTAGAATCAATTGTGTGTATTGCTGCTGAGATTGCCAAGTGGCGCTAAGCACAGCACTGCAGGTGAACCTGATAAATCCTGTTAAGTTCTCAATGCAGCTACTGCCCACTTGTTATGCGGGGTGATTTTTCATGGGCTGGAGATATATATCAGGATGCAAGGTGCTCAATTTGGGCCAGCTGTGTTCATAACCAGACAGCACTGTGATGAATGCTCCCAGAAGGAAACCAAAGAAGCTACTGTGATGGAGGACAGAGAACACGAAGCACTGTGCAGAAAATATAGGAAAAGGGAGGCTTAACCCAAGGGCCCTCACTTAGTAACTGGTGAGTTTCGCCAAGGTTACGCTCTGTGATTCTTCTGGTGAATGCGCCACTGAAGTACACGGTCCCTTAAGAAAGTGCATGAGGTTCCCGCACATGCCCACCTGCCGCCGCCCTCAACGCCTTCTGGCAATGTCCCCTGGCCTTCCAGCAGCATGGCGACGTCTTCACAGTACCGCCAGCTGCTCAGTGACTACGGGTCACCGTCCCTAGGCTACACCCAGGGAACTGGGAACAGCCAGGTGCCCCAGAGCAAATACGCGGAGCTGCTGGCATCATCGAAGAGCTGGGGAGGGAGATCAGAACCACGTACGCGGGGAGCGAGAGCTCCATGGAGAGGATGCAGCGCGGCGTGATTCACGCTGGAGGACTGGTGCGGGAGTGCTTAGCAGAAACGCAACGGAATGCCAGATCCTAGCTGCCTTGTTGGTTTTGAAGGATTTCCATCTTTTTACAAGATAAGAAGTCACAGTTAATCTCCCCCATTCAGATGAAACCCTTGTTTTCAAAATGGTTACAGTTTGGTTTTTCCTCCCGTGGTTCACGTGGCTCTGAAGCTACCGTCTCAAAGATTGAGAAAAGATTTTGCAGTTAATTAGGATTTGCATTTCAAATAGGAACTGCTCAGGTTTCTGTTTGTTTGTTTGTTGTTTTTAAGCACTGACTTAAAAGATGCACCTAAAGTTATCTTACAGCAAACTGTAGTTTGCCTCCAAGACACCATTGTCTCTTTAATCTTCTCTTTTGAATATATTTGTTACACACGGTGTTCTTTGTTCCTTTTCATAAGCTTATACCACTCCAGGGATTTTGTTTTTAAGGCATACTGACAGCATGCTTTACTTAGTAGCCGGTTCCCATTTCCCATTTGCCATCTACAGTGTAGATTCTGCTTAAAGTAACTTCTTTTTTGCTTATGCATTTGCATGACTATTAGTGCTTCAAAGTCAATTTTTTTTAAATGCACAAGTTATAAATATAGAAGAAAGAGCAACCCACTAAACCTAACAAGGACCCCCGAACATTTTCATACTAAGACTGTAAGTACATCTTAGCTCCGCGTTTAAGTTGGTCAAAACATCTGGAAGAAAATGACTAAAACTGTTTGCATCTTTGTATCTATTTATTACTTGATGTAATAAAGCTTATTTTCCTTAATAAAAGGAAGTGCATGAGGTCTGTCTTGCTTTTGTGGCTCTGAGAGGGGATCTTAAGGAAACTTACTGTTCTCTATTTCTCTTTGTTTCTCCAGATTCTTGCACAGGAGTGGAAAAACTATGACCCATCGCCAGTTTTTGTATGGACTGCGAGCTAAAGGTTCTTACATTTTTAAATAGCAAAATCAAAAGATTGATATTTATTGTGTATGACATTATATAAAATTCAAACTTTAGTGTCCTTGAGTAAAGTTTTATTGTTCAACTTGGCACTATTGACACTTTGGGTTGCATGATTCTTTCCTGTGGGGAGGGAAGGTTCTGTGCATTGACCTTTAGCCGCATCCTTGGCCTCTACCCAGTAGGGGCCAGCAGCACCCCTTCTCCATTCCTGACAATCAAAGTCTTCTGCATATCTTGCCAAAAGTGTCCGGGAAGGCAAAATCACTCCCTGGTGAGAACCGCCTTTTTGTTAAAACACAACCATGTTTGTTCATTTCACTGTTGTCTATCTGCTTTTCTGCAAAAGCAGCAGAGTTTACAAGTTGTAACAGAGACTGTCTGCCTCTTCAAGACTAAAATATTTACTCTCTGACTCTTTACAGATAATGTTTCCCGACTCCTGGTCTAGCACATAGAAGGAACTCAGTGTTTGAAAAAGGAAGAAGGGAGGGGAGGTAGAGAATCATAGAGTAGGTTGCTCTCTGGGGAAAAATGAGTTGTTGTTGTTTTTCTGACACAAAGACCAATGCACAGACGTCAGGCGGCAGGCCAGCCTTTTCCTGAGAACACCATGAGCACAAGTTTATTTCTAAAGCTCTAAAGCGATGCGTCTGAGTCCCTAAGATGAGCTTCTTCTACTTAAACGCCAAAAAGCGACCATTCATCATAGAAATTATAGGTCAACTAAAAACAATAAAATGGGAGAACACATAAGGACTGACTCTTGTAAGCAACTCCGGATCTTTTTTAATAGATTAGCAACATGTTGGTTCATCAAATTCCAAGTTAACAGATGAAAAATGTTGTGAAATTCATGGAAGAGAAGGGCGTTGATATTCATTGGCCATTCAGCATGTACCAGGCATTCAGGGAGAATCCATACATATATGAAACCAGAGAGCTCATTGAGAATGGGATTACTTCCTCATTTTGGCACGAGGAAATGTGGATCATAAACATGAAGGAACTGTCCAAGGCCTTATGGAGGCAGGAGCAGAGCTGAGGACTCTGATTTAGATCCAGCCAAGATCTTTACTTCTGCGCCGCCATGCTGCATCTACTGAATTATATGCTGTAAAACTGGATTAGCCACATCCGCAAAGGTGGGAAATCTGTCTCTGGGGTGAGTTGATATATCTAGAAATTCTGAGCATCAAGGGAACAGAGTCAGAGTCAGGTTAAGTCCTTTTGCCACAGTGCAAAGCTCCTGCAGAGCAGCCAGGGCCCAGCTCTCCCAGGTTCCTGGGAGCATGAACTGACACCTCCCGTTGTTACCCGGCCTGCCTAAGAGTTCAGTAAAGTGTTGGAGTTTCCATACGGCATGCTGAGCTGCTCTAGAAAGGCACTCTCAGACAATCTGAGGAAGGAAATGGACTGAAAAGTCATGTCTGTAGAAGCAGCAGTAAAAAGAGAGATTTATCACTTGTTCTGATAAATTGACAGTGAAATTAAAAAGCTTAATTATTTCAGCATGAATTTTGAGAGGCTTCTTTTCCCACTGAACATATGAAAAAGTTTCAAAGCATTTTGCAGCAATAAAACATCTGTGACCCAATTTACATAAAACAGAATAAAACTGAGAGTTGTTCTGGTAGCAAAGAGCACCAAGGCAGTGTGAACCCTTGTTTCATCTTGCATCAATAAACGGACCCTTGTGCATACAGTAGGCAGTAAAAAATGTCCTTATAAATCTCGAGTGTCTGGGGAGATGGGGAGGGAGGTTCTGTAGGACCCAAAACACTGAGAAGAATGTTTAAAGGTATGTGGCAGATCAAAGTCCGATGGAAGATGTGTACTGAGAGTTCACTAATGGAAAGATAATGGCCTCCAAGAGGCTGGTGGGAAGATAAAACAGAATGAATAAATTTTAAGGACAAAAACACACTTGAAAAAAATATGGCACAAATACATTCTCTGAAAGTGTTGAATTATAATAATTCCAAGAAGTTTATTTCATTCCATTTTGTATGTTGCTAATGGAGAAAGGTGAGAAGTAGAGTCTAAAGCATTTTGTGTTTTTTTTAGAAAGGTCTTGGCTATGCCTGGAGCTTTAATCACAATGGACTGGGCAGTGCTTTAAAAAAAAAGTATCTTTTGAGGAAAACTGAGATCTGATCCGATATACTCAATTCATATTCACGATTCTTGAGGGATTTGAAGTAGATTATTTTAAACTGATATAAAACTTGACAAAAATCTGTTCTAAAGGATGTATAGAATATTGACATATGGTAATTTACTAATTAGAGAAAAATAGGCAACACTTATTTCTGTAAGATGTGAAACTTAAATTGTGTAAAGAATTAGCTAGATTAAATCAAGGGTGAAAATTCTTGGACTTTGTCTTTCTCGTTCTTTCAATTTGAAAGTCCTATTCTCTGATAGATTTTTTGGCAAATCCATGGTCTTAATAAACAGAAGATGAGTTTAAAAACATAATTGGTTATAGACACATTTTAAATTACATTTTTTTACCTCAAAAATTAACTCACCAAACACTAAAGCAGTGGTTCTCAAAGAGAGGCAGCATTTCTTGGCTGGAAGAATTGTGAGGAATAAGGTCTTATGGACTTTTCAAAATACAGCACAACAACCTGCCACCACTTACCCTTAAGCCAGGAAAAAGATTCAAATATACATCTTCAAAGTGACGTTAAATGCCAGCAACCCACGTCCAATTCTTATTAGAAACCAGGGCCTTGTGGAAGTCAGTGTGGCGATTCCTCAGGGATCTAGAACTAGAAATACCATTTGACCCAGCCATCCCATTACTGGGTATATACCCAAAGGACTATAAATCATGCTGCTATAAAGACACATGCACACGTATGTTTATTGTGGCACTATTCACAATAGCAAAGACTTGGAACCAACCCAAATGTCCAACAATGATAGACTGGATTAAGAAAATGTGGCACATATACACCATGGAATACTATGCAGCCGTAAAAAATGATGAGTTCATGTCCTTTGTAGGGACATGGATGAAACTGGAAATCATCATTCTCAGTAAACTATCGCAAGGACAAAAAACCAAACACCGCATGTTCTCACTCATAGGTGGGAATTGAACAATGAGAACACGTGGACACAGGAAGGGGAACATCACACTCTGGGGACTGTCGTGGGATGGGGGGAGGGGGGAGGGATAGCATTAGGAGATATACCTAATGCTAAATGACGAGTTAATGGGTGCAGCACACCAGCATGGCACATGTATACATATGTAACTAACCTGCACATTGTGCACATGTACCCTAAAACTTAAAGTATAATAATAATAATAATAAAAGAAAATTAAAAAAAAAGAAACCAGGGCCTTGATGACTCGCTGTTATTGGTGAGAATAAGTTATTTTCCTCAAGCAGGTTTGGAACATGACTGTTAGCTCATTTGACACTATCTGTGTGAAGGACTGGATCCCACTTTCAGCTCAAGTGAATGGTAAAGAACAGAGCTTCGCCTTTGGCTGGAATTTGCCCCAGAGGTGCCACAGGAATGATCTTAAACCCACTGCCATTTAAAACCTTCACAAAGCTGGGCAGGAAGAAGTGATATTAATGGGAGGGCTTGAAGAATAAGTGGTCAGTCTCATTTTGCCTCTGGAGAAAATTTGCTGCCAGCATGGAGATCTCGGTAGTTGACATGGTGAGTGGAATGGAAGTGTTCTGGAATAGGATGCAGATTAGTGAACACTGGGCCAACAGGTGGTGCACAGCAGCTGACGGTGTCAGGGGAACTCTCCAGCCAGGGGTTGCCTTGTGAAAATGAAAGTCTAGTGTTGCCAGGGTCTCACTTCACAAGGATGACTGACAACCTGGATTTTTGTGTGAACTCACCTGTTTTTTATATAATGACAACTAAATTTTTTTTTAAAAACCAGACATGGTGGGAACCAATACCATAGAGTAAATAAGCCTTATGTGTGTGTCAAATTGCCAGTTTGTGATCTCTGCCCCAAGTACTCTGAAATCTGTCACAGTTTAAAGCCAGACATGAGGAGTCACTTGCCTGAGTGACATCACATTTGCCTCCATGTCATTGTCCTATAGTTTGCTTTTCTGATTCACTGTTTTTGTTTTTGTTTTTGATACAATGAATAATTGAAGGATATGATTAAAGTTACCCTGTGAAACTCATCTCAGCATTTATTGTGAGGGTATTATGAATGATGCCCATTATGTGATACAATAAGCTCTCAGCAGAAAAATGTCTTCTTCAGTTTAATTATCAGATGTAACTGTGCTTTTAAGGGGAAAATACTTTGTTTTTATGCTTTACTGGTTCTGTGACTTATACAGACCTTCCTTGTATCTTGTCATTGAATGCTGGAAAACAAAGCTGGATTTGTGTGTTTACACTTCGGAATTGTTTCTGCTGTTACTCACTTTTCTTTCAATATACCTCACGTGCTAACTCCTTTTTCTTTGGTTTATCTACCTCCTTCTAAGGTATAAGTTGTTTGTTATGTAGGACCAAGAGTAGAGGAGTTATTACGTGTCCTGGTTCTACACAGAGGACCTATGATTGAATAAACTCAGAGGACTTGTGACTGGATAGACTCAAGCTAAAAACTGAGGGAGAGGGAGGTAGAAGGGATGGCATGGGGGAACAAGAGCACTGAGAAAGAGAAAGAAACACCCCTCCCCCCACCACACACACAGATCCTAATAGGAATTCAAGATCAAGATGGTTCTACAAATCAAAATTCTGAAATCCACATGTAAAACTAATACTGAGAAAAACACCCCCAAATTCAATATTTAATGTGAATTTACTTCAGATGAACTAAAATTAAGGAAGAAACTAGAATATAAATGGCATGATTGTATTTACAATGTTTATGAGCTAAGGTAAAGAATAATATTTATAAAAATAAGAAAATATATTAATAAAGAAGATAAGACATTTAAAAATGAATTATTTAAAACATAGGAAAAGTCCTCAACAAATAGAATAAACTTCAGATTGGATGCATTTGAAGATATGATATGTAAATCTGAAGGCTGAGGAATTGATCCAACATGAGGCATGGAAAATACAAAGATACAAAAATATAAACTTCATTTAAGACAGAAGACATATTTAGGAGATTTGTACAGGAAAGAGTTCAGGAAAAACTAGTAAAAAATAATTTTAAAGGTAAGTTAAAATATTTCATGAATGCTCCGATTAAAGACACAACTAGTCCTTAGCAGGATAAACATAAATAAGTACATATCTGGACACACTATATTAAAATTCTATAAAATTAAGAATAAAGACACAATCTTCAAAGTGTCAGAGAGAAAAAAACACACTTCTTCAAAACAAAAAGGAAAAGAAAATTGTACTGACACCAGACTTCGTGACAAGATCAATACATTCTAGAACATAATAATATAATATATTTTGACGGCTGAGCTTACTACATAATGAAAGTAAACCTAGAATTCTATATTCAGATAAATCATCATTCAAAGATACGTGAAAAGACAACCTTTCTCAGAGGTACAAAATTTGCCCCCCAATACTGATCCTCTCTGAAAGAAACATTCAAGTACATACCAAAGCAAAAAAACAAACACAAAAAAATGAGAAGGGGGAAAAGTATGACCCCTAAAATAACACAGAAACTGGTAAACATGTTGACAAATTTGGTTATATACTGATTGTAATTAATAGTAAGTTATAAAAAGATCGAACAAATCTTTTAACAATTAAGGGAGATGACAATGTTGATGATGAAGATAATTGGTGACTATCAGCAGAAGTCCTTATATGATTGGCATGAGAATATAAATAACAAGTAACTTGATCTTGTTAGAAAAAAGTATAATAGGCATTTAATTAAATGTTCAGATATAATTACTGCAATAATAGAAATATTATATAAAGCTTCTAAGAAGTGGGGATGAGGTATGCATGAAGGGATTTTGTGTATGTATACATAATATATATTCACATATATATATATATAAAATATATATTCACCCAAAGGAGTACAGAAAGAATATAAAGTAAAAAACAATAAAAATTGCATGCACACCAAAGAATTACAAAAGAATATGGTGGAAGAAAACCTAGCTATACCAATTAGAGAACTTTTTTAAATCAACTATGTAGAGCTCACCAGAGATGGGTAAAATAAAACATATGGAAAGATTGAAAATAAAGTATAAAAATGTTTCTCCAGAAAACCAATAAGCCAAAAAAAAATTGTGGAAGTGATTATATTGATATTGAAGAAAACAGAATTTGAGGCAGAAAGTATTGATAGATATTAGGAAAGATACAATTAGATCATAAAAGATTAATCAATATGATTTTTAAAATCATGAATTTTGGTAACCTAATAACATAATGTTACAAAGAATAAAATTCAATTCGCATTTTGTATTCTGACCAAAGTGAACATGATTATTCACATGATTTGCTTTTCTGAGGTAAATATTGGTGGTCTCCAAAAATTAGAGGAAGGTGAGTACTGCAAGCTTCCTTCCTGGCAAACTTTCCACCAGGTGGGACATTGCAATGAAAAATAGTCTCAACCAAATTCTTCCAGCTGTTCCGTCATTATTAATAAGAAGGTACGAGCTGAGGGCGGTGGCTCATGCCTGTAATCCCAGCACCTTGGGAGGCCAAGGCACGTGGATCACCTGAGGTCAAGAGTTCGAGATCAGCCTGGCCAACATGGTGAAACCCCATCTCTACTAAAAATACAAAAATTAGTGGGATGTGGTAGCAAGTGCCTGTAATCCCAGCTACTTGGGAGGCTGAGGCAGGAGAATCACTTGAAGCCAGGAGGCGGAGGTTGCAGGGAGCCGAGATCATGACATTGCACTACTCCAGACTGGGCGACAAGAGCGAAATTCTGTCAAAAAAAAAAAAATTACCAAATCATAAAATCCGCCCTGTAAACTTTCTGTTCTTTAAATGCACTGACAGTATCTTGCAGATGAAGTTTACAGGAAACGGAAGCAGCATACTTAATGGCAGAATTCAGTCAACCTAGTGGAGCCAGGTGATCAAACTCATCTATAAGTGGGAAGATGCAGGGACACTCTGATAAGGTGTAATTCTTAAGAATATGGACTTGCCAGATTCATATACCAAAAAAGTACCCTCATGCAAGTGTGGAAGGGCCTGTATAATTCCAGGCCAATCTACACACCTTGAACCCAATTCAATCCACTTAGAGTAACAGCTTTGATGTTGGCTTTTTTTTTTAAAGGACATAATTTATTTTTAGAGCAGTTTTAGGTTCACGGAAAAAGTTAGCATTAAACGCAGAGTTCCCACATACTCCATGCTCCCACTCCTCCACACCCATACATCCTCCCCAACTATTGATATCTCTCACCATGGTGGTATATTTGTTACAATCAATGAACCTGCCTTGACATATCATTATCACCCAAAATCCACAGCTATGCACTCTCTGGGCTCTGACAAATGTATAATGACACATCTCCACTATTCTAGTATCATACAGAAGAGTGTCATTGCCCCAAAATTCTTCTGTGTTCTGCCTTTTCATCCCTCCCTCTCCTGTAACCCCTGACTAATGTTTTCATCGTCTTCATAGTCCTTTCTTTTCCAGAATGTCATGTAGTTGGAAAAGATAGTAGGTACCATTTTCAGACTCACTTCTTGCATTTACCATATGTATTTAAGGTTCCACCAGGTCTTTCTACGGCTTGATAGCCCATGTCATTTAAGTGCCAAATAATATTTCATTTTCTGGGTATACCACAATTTATTTATAAATTCTCCTACTGAAGGACATCTTGGTTGCTTTCAAGTTTTAACAATTATGAATAGAGCTGATATAAATATCCACATGCAGGTTTGTGACGGGAACTAAGTTTTTACATCAATAGAGTAAAGTCAAAGGAGCAAAATTGGCTGATTATACAGTAAGAATATGTTTAGTTTTATAAGAAACTGCCAAACTGCCTTTTAAAGTTGCTGTGCCATTTTTGCTTTCTCATGATGTTGACTTTTGATTAGAACAGTTCAAATACAAAGTAAATATCCTTGGGTTATATAATCACAATTAAGATATTTTTATATAAACATGCTACTAATACATGGATTAAAATGTAACTCTAAATACATATTTCCATGTCATATAAATTTTTTATGCTGCAATCCTCTAAAGAAAATTATATGACTGAATTTTAAGGATAAATGGGATAAATATAAATCACAGAAAAATATTTTAGTAATCTTTTCTCAGATGTGTCAGCTTGATAGCTCAAGCTGGGAAAATAAATAACAAGAACAAAAGCATTTGAACAGTATAATTAATAAATGTGATCTAACATTTATTAATAACAGTATATTATGCATATAAGTGGATATTTATTAATTAACATTTAACGTTTATTTATTAATAATGTAATTAATAAACATTTAATAAACATTTATTAATAACATCATATTATGCATATAAGTGGAGGTACATACCCTCAAACTACAGAATATGTATTTTACTCAAGGCTATATAAAATATTTGTAAGTGCACATATTAGAAAGAAAATCTCAACATAGTTTAAAAATATATATAATTAAAGCCCTCTGACCACATGCTTTTAAATTAGAAGAAAAAAAATATATAATATATGTTTTTGTGAGTAACCTTTCCTTTACTGATGCAAAGAGATATTTGAGAAGAAATTACCCCGCACCCAGTTTTATGATATAGTTAGATGACCTTGACAAGTTTTTTGGATCTATGTCTAAACAAATTTACAGGCAAGACCCAATATTCTAAGAAGAGCATCAAAGAAATTTGGAAAGTTCTGTTACACTGATGATATTTTTGAATCAATGAACTAAGCATCTGTATTTCTGTTCTACCTCCAAATTCCTTGGCATGTGAGATGATAAATGTCCATATTGTCCCATACATTTTTATTAAAGTGTTTTTACTTGCAGCAAAATCAACCTCACTTACACAGCTATTATCTACTACATTTCTTTTTCTTCCTTTCCTAGTCAATATTGAATCTAACACTGGGTTTCACTGACACATGGGACTAGTAGAAGAGATTGCACCTAAACAAAAATTTACTTTTAGAGAAAAACATAATCTAAGCAACTCCTTTCTGAAACACAGAAAACTAAAATTATGCAAAGAATTGATGTGTTTGATTTAGACAGAAAATTGCCAATTCTTTTCAATTTACAATCACTTTATATTTCAAAACATGTAAGACATTTGTATATCTTCATTTTTTAGGGTAATCATCTGTGGCAATGGTACTGAAGAAAATCCTTTGTTTTTGTATATTCAAAAATGTGTCTCATTTTCAAACAATGTGATGCATGCTTGTATTTGGATCATCTAATTGAATTTCTACAGCAACCCCACATAGTTGGAAATATCCCCATTTTAATAATGAGAAACTGAAGTTGAAAGAAGTTAATTAGGAGAACCTGACAAAGCATTATATGAGAACTTGCCAAAATAGTAATAACAACAGTGGCATCAGCAGCAGCAACAACAACAATATCTTCAGCCTGCACTTCTTGGTTTCTGGATATGGAAACAAAAGACACCCTGAAGCACCATTAATCTTTTCTCAGTAAAATAAGTAGAGGTCATGGCTGTGGTTATACTGTAACACGAAAAATAACATTAGTTCAAATATTGCATCTTGGTCTAATAAAAAAATTGACTGAAAAATTGTTTACTTTGAGTGTCATGTTGAACCCAGTGTCAGACAGTCAAATCGACTTTATTTCACTTGAGATTTTTTGTCTCTTTTACTTATATTTGACTTTTCTCTTTAAAAAAACTATTGGAGAGTCACAAATATCTTTTCCCAAAAAGTAAAGTATTACATATTGCACTCAGAACAGCAACAGATGGATTCTTTTCTAAAGAAAAAGAAGACCATGACACCAATGTGGATGACAAGAGAATGTCATACCACTCCTGGGAGGTTGTTCTTGACAATAAATTAAACAACAACACGATATCACAGCACACATATTAGAATGGCTAAAATCCAGAACACTGACAACATTACATGCTGGCAAGGATGTGGAGCAACAGGAACTCTCATTCATTGCTGGTGGGAACACAAGATGGTAAAGCCTCTTTGGAAGACATTTTCACAGTTTCTCATAAAAACTAAACATACTCATACCATACGATCAGCAGTCAGACTCTTTGGTATTTACCCAGAAGAGCTGAACACTTATGTCCACACAAAAACCTGCACACAGAAGTTTATAGTGCCTTTATTCATAATTACCAAAATTTGAGGGGGGAGGGAGAGCTTTAGGAGATATACCTAATGCTAAATGACGAGTTAATGGTTGCAGCACACGAGCATGGCACATGTATACATATGTAACTAACCTGCACATTGTGCACATGTACCCTAAAACTTAAAGTATAATAATAATAAAATAAAAAAAGAAATAATAATAATAATAATCATAAACATAAAAAAATTTTTGAAAGAAACCAAGATTTCTTTCAGTAGGTGAATGGATAAATAAACTCTGGTATAACCAGACAACAAAATATTGTTTAGTGCTAAAAGTAAATGAGATAGAAGCCACGAAAAGACAGGAAGGGAACTTAAATGCATATTACTAAGGTTAAAAAGCCAATATGAAAAGAGCATATAGTGTGATTCCAACTGTGCCACACCCTGGAAAAGGATGGCTATGGAGACAGTGAAAGATCGGTAATTGCAGATGTTGTATGGCAGGTGAGAGTAGAGGGATGAATAGGTGAATAACCAGAGCACAGGAAATTTTAAGGCAATTAAACCATTTTGTATGATACTGTAATTATAACAGGTGTCATTTATACATTTGTGAAAACCCACAGAATGTGCATCACCACAAGCCCCCATGTAAACTATGAACTTTGGGTGATAAGGATGTGTCAATGTAGGTTAATCAATTATAAAAAGTGTACCGCTATGGTGTGGGATGTTGACAGTAGGGGAGGTAGTGTGTGCCTATGAAGACAGGGGTTATATCTTTAAAAAATAAAGTTTAGTAATTAAAAGAAAAAAGTAAACATCAGATGATCAGGACAGACCAGATATCCAAGACCAACCCATATGTTAAGGAGAAACAGAATCATGCAGTTAATATCCATTCACTGGGCCTCCAATTTGTACCTATGCAAGATATTTGCATATTCTCTTATCCACAATTTGACAAAGCTATTTTTGCAAAATCATCTTTATACGCAGCTGTGTTACCTTATATTCTTTTTACTTTTATTTTAAAGGTTTATTTTAATGAATTGTGCCCATTTGAAGTCACTGATTTTTTTTGCCCGTGCTGATTCATTGTTTGCTTCAACAACCTTGCTTAACACCACAAAACTGTGATTTTAAAACTTTTCCTTATTTTAATTAGTCTTTATCATTTCTGTGTGCTCCTAGTTCAAGCTTCATGAATCAGTCCTGTTAGAACATTCATTGACCGCCTCTATACTTTGAAGAGCTTTGGAAAGGTGATGGTAATTTGCATTACTAACAGCCTATATTTGAATTGAGCTAAAACTTGAGTTGGTTTGTGAACAGCCTTCTACTCTGCTTTAGGCAGGGCCCATCTGACCATTTTGAGCTCAGCTCCCTGTCTGCTAATATACAGGCTTTCACATATCAATGACAACATAGAGGAATGAACAACCTCTCAATTTCTGCTGACTGAACAGTGCGTCATGGCCACAAATCCAGCAACTGCAGCACTATGCATTGTGTTGGAGTTTGCCGTCCTTTATTTACAGACGAATCAGTTTGGGAATATTATTCTTTTCTGGAAATGTGGTGGAGAAAGAGAAACACAACGTAGATTATTTATATACACAATGGATGCTTTGGGGTTAGAATGAGAATCTTGAATAGCGTAGTGGAGATACAACTATGAAGAATAATTTCAATTTACTCCAAGCCTTAGGGGTTTATTTTTGTAAGTTATAAGAACTGCAAAGATCTCACATGGACCACTCACCAAGGCTTGGCAATTTACACTTGGGATACTTGCAAATATATTTTTATATCTGGTCGAATAAGTTTTTTTAAAAAAAAATATGTTTGGCTAAGAAAGATTAATGAGACACAGACACATCTGATGGCTACAGCAAATCTGACAGCCATGATAAAAATTTTGCAGAATGGAAACCACAAAGGAGAAGGCTGGTGTCATAGACAAAGAGTGGGTTTGGCAAACTTTGCGGGGTGTAACATGAAAGTAGAAACACAGAGGTGTTTACTCTGAGATCACATGTCTAAGCTTATGTCCAGAAAAGAAAATGCACACTCAAAGACAGAGCCTCTTAATGAGAGGCTCTAAGCCCATAAGATCACAGAGGTAGACAGATTTGGCTTGGGCATTTCTTGGGAAGAAGTGCCCCATCATATCAAAGGGTCTGATGCTGAGCCTTTTCCTAAATATAGCTGATGTCAACAGTCTATTTGTCTTGCACATCAGAATTCTGCATAGCTGCTTATTTATTCTCAGAGATCTATTGATAGAAAGCAATGGACTCAGGGGAAACTAAAACACTGAGTATTGGAAAGTTGAACTGATCAATACTGTCCATATGCTGCCGTGAAAACAGACCAGCCTTTCATGCAGTAATGTTCATAATCTTAAACCTCCTAATATTTTTCTGGCAATTAAGAGTTTCCAAATAAGTTTCTTATTAATTAGGATATTGGACTTTCATTATGATACTACAAGTTAAGGAGGTTTAAACGAGTCGATCTAGGAAATAGTACTCATGGTTTCAAGATTATCTCCTGTGCCCATACCTCAGTCATCAATGGGATTCCAGGCTGCTGGGGTGCTTGTTTTTGTTAGTAACCCTTGAGCCCTTCAAGTGACCTTTCACGCGTGCCTAGCTGTTTCTGGTGTCACCTCTGCTGTGTTGTCAGGTCACTGCATTGCCTAAGTTCATTCAGTTACTGCTATTTCCATACATATCCCTGTTTTATTTTCTCTTGTCTTCTTTAGAATAATCCCATTTCATGACAACTGAGCAGCAACCATAGGAAAATTGGGTATCCCTAGCCAGTACAATGGTGTAATCATAAAGATATCTTAGAGCATACACTGCTTTTGAGTTTTCCAAGCACTCTCCTATTCTACTTCATATTACATTCTCACAGCACCTCAGATTGGTGGATATTATTCTCACCTTGCTGGTGACCATTGTGAGACACAGGGATTAATTGCTCACAAGGGATATTTCATAGTAATGAGATGAGACAGATCTAAGACCAGTGTTAAGAAAGAACTATGTAAAATATCTGAAATTTACTGAGTCTTGTTAGCGTTTGACCTCCTCATATTAAATAAACAGCCTTAAATGTATGTAAAATACTCCGGCAATAACCAGTACCTCACACTATGCATTGTGCAAGATAATGTTGGGTGGACTATACTTCTAGCCCCTAAGAAATCCTGCTGACAGTAGGAGAGGTAAAATATGTTCACAAATAAATGAAAATGCAGTGCAGACAAGATAAACACTTTAACAAAGATGTAGATAGAGTGCTTTGAGGCTTCAGGGGAAAAGTAACTTTTGTTTTACTAGGAAGAATTCTTCACATTATGGAAGACTGGAAATGTGTACCCTTTTTAAAACGTCTTATGTGCAGATAAGAGAGATATAAATTTAACATAACTTGTACATGATGAAAAGACTGAGATTTGGAAAATTAGTGAATTTTGCAGCATCCAAGGTAAATTGAGTCTGAGAAAAGCCATTTGTTTGATGAGAAACCTGGTGGCACATCTTACAATAAAACACACTTTCTTCTCACAGTGAAATGCCATTACGATTCCTGTGAAATGGCATGTTCTCGAGAGGTAATTGCAAATTTCTTTCCCAAGCTGAAATTTAGGAATAACCAAGTAGGCCTTGAAATCAAAAGCACCAGTTGGCTCCATGTCCCTTAGCAAATTTTTTCCAGAAGTAAATAATTGTTACTGGCTGAAATGACATTCGGCTGAAGCAAAACAGGCCTTCCGAGGCCCAGCGGGGTGCTAATGGTCAGATGGTGTGTCCTCGACTTGCTGGGGTGTAGAGAAGTGCATTGAATCTTGCCCATGCTATTTGAAACACTTAGCTTTTCAATAGGGAGTGCTCAGAAGGAGATGAAAATTGCACTGGCATCAGAATGAAAACAAAGAGGAAAAAATGGAAACAAAATTGGTGAGCATCACTCTCAGAAGCTGAGGCTTATTTCTTCTTCATTGTTAAATTTTCGGGAATTTATTTTTGAAAATTTCTATAGTGAAATGCCAAGCTCAGTTAAGAACAATGGTGTGTTTAGTGACTATTAGTCAACAGCAATACTGATAATACATGCGTTTCAAAAGGAGAGGAAAGAGAGAGGAGAGGGAAAAAAAAGGAAAAAAGAAAAAGATTAAAAAAAAAAAAGCACCTACCCAAAGCACAATAATAGAACTAGTACAAAAGTCACTCTCTTCTAATCATCAAAATTGGAGTCAGGAAAATGGTACTGAGTTGTTATGGCACCCCCCACCTACCCCGCCCCCGCCGCACTGATTCATGGCAGACACAGCACAATCTCTCTAGGTTTTTGAGCTGGAAATCCTCAGCCTGGAAGTTTCCATAGAAAGGATCACTTGCTTCCTGGAAATAAGGCAGGGAGATAAGGGAGGTGTCCCTGAACTAAAGTGATGCCCTGCTATTTTCGTCGCTATTCCATGTGGCTCCATCATCCCAGTGTTGCTGCCGATTGTCAATGAGTTGCCAAAAAGGATGTGCTGCTCCCCAGGGATGTGGTTTCTTCCCTTTCCAAGTTTATTTTCAGTGGGAGCCCGCAAAGGTAGAATCACTCCCCAGTGTAGTAGATGATACAATGCAGAAAAATTTACATCTGTGCTACCTTTCAGATACTGAGAGACCTTAAGATGGCAAATGCCTGTTACAAGATGTCAGTCATTCTTGGGTTGAAGATCTTTGTAGGGAAGATACAAAGATTTAAGTATCTATAATGTGCCAGACGCAGAGCTAAGTTTTTTCACAGATGCCTATTGTTCAATATAATTTATCCTTGCAAAAACTGTGGAAGGTGAGGATTAGCCCATTTTGTAAATGAAGAAAATGAGATTTAGAGAGAGTACAGATCCCCATTCATGGACACATAGTTAATAAGTTGTGGGTCTTGTATTTAATCCAGGTCCAAAGCATTTCTTCTGTGTGGAAGTACAGAGTGGAATGAGCTTGGCTGCATTTTCTGTTGTGTCCTCGGTTGCCCACATTCCTAGTTGGTTCTCTGTCTAGACAGTCTGTTGATTTTTTGAGTGACACTGAATTCTTTCAACAAATTCTTTTTCTGTTGCAAGTATCTATTTTTGCTTCAGATTCCTATTCAGCTTACCTGTTGTTTGCACCCAAGAATTCTGACTTATGTGAAGTACAAGGGAGCCATCCAGGAAGGGAGAATACTTCTGTCTGGAGGACGGTGGAGAGAGCCAGGCAAGGTTCATGAAAGAGGACTGGGTCTAAGATGATAAGAAAGTCAGGGTAAGGGGATAAGGGAGTGCCAAAGGCAAAATTACAGGGTAGGCAAGTATGTGATGTTATAACACAGACCTAGTTTCATAATTGTTAAGGCTAGTTCTATTAATTTCCTGTTGTCTTTTTACTTTTATTTCAGTGAGAATTCTGTTAAAATGGGTGACAGTGCTTCCCCATTTCTCTATCTTAATTTCTATGGGGTTGAATTTGTCAGAAGCAATCTTCTGTCTCTTACCTCAGCTCAGAAATGGCTGAATAAAAGGTCATGTGTGCAGCTAAATAAACATAGTGACATTTTTCTGTGCACATATTTTGCTGATGTACCTACAGACCTTTAAAAAATAGAAACTTTTGAAGCAAAAATGATTTAAAATTCTGTTCAAACATGTTGGTGGGAATCTAGCCAGAAGCTAGTAGGATACTAAATAAAGAAATAGCTTTAAAAGAAAGAAAGGGAGAGAGAAGGAGGAGAGAAGAAAACTGTAACCTGCTGCTTTTATTTAAAGAAAGAAATAGATAAAAATGCATGCATTATTTTTGCAAGGAAAAGAACTCTCAGCCACAAAAAGATGAAAGATAGATGATACATAAACAGACAGATAGATGATAGATAGATAGATAGATAGATAGATAGATAGATAGATGGATAGATAGACAGATAGATGATACATAGATAGATAGATAGATAGATAGATAGATAGATAGATAGAATGGAATAGAATAGATAGACAGAGGTGATCTGTTAGGGGAATTGGCTCATGCAATTATAGAGGCTGAGAAGTCTCATGATAAGCAGTCTGCAAGCAGGAGAACCACGGAAGCTGACAGTGTAATTCTGTTCAAGGCCAAGGGCCTGAGAAATTGGAAGGTGACTGGTCTAATTCCAGGAGTCTAAAACTCTGATGTCTGAAGGTAAAAGAAGATAAATGTACCAGCTCCAGAAGAGACAACAGCAAATTCTCCCTTCCTCCTTCTTTGTGTTCTATCTGGGCCTTCAACAGATTAGAGGATACCCATTCACAGTGGTGAAGGCTGACCTTCTTTACCCAGTCCACCAATTCCAATGTTAACCTCTTCCAGAAACATCCTCACACATAACCGAGAATAATGCTTTGCCAGCTATATGGGTAACCCTTACCCCAATCATCTAGATTGACATCTAAAATTAAACATCACAGATGGCTAAACATAAAACACATTCTTAGCCCTCAAGGTAAAGACACTGAATAGACAAAAAGACCTATATTCAACATTTAAGAAAATCATAATTCAAGGGATATCAAATGACCCTAAACAAGAGAACTAGAGAACATTTTATAGAAAATGTGACATTTACTTAAATATTATAGGATGAGGAAGCATTAGATTCAAAAAGAGTGAAACCCAGAAATAAATCCTCACATATATGGTTAAATGACTCTTGACAAGGGTGTGCCATGACCTTTACCTTTGGGGAAAGAACAGTCTTTTCAACAAATGATATTGGCAAAACTGGATATCCACATGCAAACGAATGAAGTTGGACCCTTACCTTACACCATATGCAAAAATGAGCTCAAAAAGGATCAAAGACTTAAACATAAGAATGAAAACTAGAAAAATTTTAGAAGAGAATATAGAAAAAAGCTTCATGATACTGGATTTGGCAATGATTTATTGAATATAATGCCAAAAACATAGGTAACAAAAGAAAAAAATAGATAAATTGGACTTCACGTAAATTAACTTTTGTGCATCAAGGTTCACTATCAACCAAGTGAAAAGGCAACCCAGAGAATGGGGAAAAGAATTCTGAAAAAAACTATATCTGTAAATGGAATTAAAATTCAAAATATACAAAGAACTCCTCAACAACAACAACAAAATATGATTAAAAACAGGGCAAAGGGCAAATGTATTGAATAGATTTTTCTCCAAAAAAGATATACAAATTACCAATAAGCACATGAAAAGATGTTCAATATCACTAAGGATTTAAAAATGCAAATCAAAACCACAATAAGATATTACTTTACATCCATTTGGTGAAGTAGGAAATATACAAAAACAAATAGAAGAGAAAGAAAATAATAAGTGCTAGCAAAAATATGGAGAAATCGGAACCCTTGTTAATTGTTGGTGGGAATGTAAAATGTAAAGTTAGTTTGAAAAACATGTTGGTGATTTCTCAAAAAGTTAAATATTGATTTACCATATGATCTAACAATTCTACTTCTGGGTATATAACCTAAAAAACTTAGAAGCAGGGACTCTTAACAGATATTTGTATATCAATGTTTATAGCAGATTTTTTTCTATTAATCAAAAGGTAAAAATAAACTAAATGTCCACACACTGATACATAGACAAACAAAATGTATAAAGACAATAGAATGTTATCCATCCTTAAAAAGAAAGGAAATTCTGGCACATGCGAGAGCACAGATCAACCTTGAAGACATTAGGTTCAGTGAAATAAGCAGACACAAAAGGACAAATAGTGAGTGATTCCACTCATGTGGTGTACCTAGAGTTGTCAAAATCTCTGAGAAAGAAACCAGAATCATGGTTGCCAGGAGATGGGGGTAAGGGAGGTTGGGAAGCCATTGTTTAATGGGTATAGAGTTTCACTTGGGGAAGATGAAAGAGTTCTGGAGATACATGGTGGTGATGCTTGCAAAACAATGTGAGTATAATCAATGGCACTGAACTGTACACCCTAAAATGATTAAAATGAGAGAGTGAGAGAGAGAAGCAGGGAGACAAGGATTGATTGACTCCAAGTGGGAGGGACACCAAATGGTAAGAGTGTAAGGCGCTTGAGAAACTAACTTGGAGCCATGTTGCAAAATGTTCCTGTGACCCAACAGTTAGAACTTTTCCTATGGACGTCTACCAGAAAACCAACTGAGATTATTAATCAGGGCAGACTCTCAGTCAGTTTTAGGCTTTGAGTAAATTACTTCAAATTAACTGAAAATGGATGAAAAAGCATCACATTAGAGCAAGGCCAGTAATGAGGCACCTGCAGTAACAAAGTCAGGACTGAAGACCCATACAAGGGTGCTGGCACCGGGGGTTGGGAGAGAAGGGACAGATGGAAGATGAGCCTTGAGGAGGTAGAATTGGCAGAGCTCAGTCAACCCATGGTAGTATTTTGAGAATTTCCCAAAGACACTCCCAAGTTTAATCATCTGATTGCCAGTTTCACACACACCAGTTGACATGTGTATCATTATCTTATCATGACTCTCCTGAGAGGGGAACAAAATGCAGGATCAATGTCATAAGCACAGCCCTCTGTGCCACAGAGGTTAAAAACATGGAACAGATTTACAGCAATCTTGATAATCACCGATGCCTAGCTTTCTTCTTGCTCATTACCTCTGGTAAGGACCCATGGGTTGGCCCAGAAAACACCAGTAGTATAACTAGGCCTCTGAGTACACCCCTCTGTGCTGCTTCTAGACAGCCAATGGCTCTGGCTTTGAAATTTTTGTTCACTTGGATTCAGCTTGGGCCAAAGACAATCTGCTTGCAGGCTTTGGGAGGACTCCCAAAACTCAGACCACCTCTCAACTGCTACTCAACCTGTGTCTCTCCTTACAAGACTGGTCACGGTTCCTGCTAGTCTGTACTTATGGCAGAGATGATGTGAGGGCATATGAGATGTGGCTGTAAATCACTGAGGTCATTCCTGATTTGTAGTAAGGAACTAGTCATTTTATTTCCTGTTCTAACTTCTAGCATGATATGACTTCTCTGGTCCTTTCTATGCCAGATTTTCAGGCCACAGTCTCACCTGGTCATCATCCTGATACATTGCAGACCTCAACAAACTGGGCCTTCTGGCTCCTCACAGAGTGCTCCCTGCCAACTTCCTGCTGCTGGTCAGAGAAGTTCTGCCAACCATAAAAAAGAACTATGGATCTGACTCTAGACTGCGTGGCTAGCCATCTTTTCTCATAGCTTGCCCGTCCGAGATAGGATCTATCCCATTTTAACAGCTCAACAAATACTGATGTACCTCTATTCAATTCAACATGCCGTTATGTAGGATCCACCCTGGGCCAGTCATTTTACTGAGCACTGAAGATACAACAATAAATGCAGTAGCTCTAAGTGTCCAGAAGTTTTTATCTAAATGAGGGAACATCAATAAATCAACCAATTTTAAAAATAAAAAATTACTTAACTGCTAAATAGAATACAAAACCACTGCCAGGTCAGCCATAAGTGTGAAATAAATCATTCTTATTAGTGAGGATGTGAAAAGCGTGGATCAAGGAGTTTTTTAATTAATCAGACATACTGAGGCATAATTTGCAATCAATAAAACATATTTTAAGTATACAGTTAAGTAAGTTTCATGGGTGCATACAACAATCACGATCAAGATAGACAATGCTTCCACCACGTCAACAATTTTCCTTGTACTCTTTCCATCAATTCTCACCCAGAACCCACCCATCTCCCAGCACACCACTGACACTGTAGACTGTAGTGAATAAAGCCATTAGGAACATTTGTGTGCATGTCTTTTTGTGGATACGCATTTTCATTTCTTGTGTGTAAATACCTAGGAATGAAACTGTTGCATCATGTAGTAAGTTTCTGATTAACTTTATGAGAAATTGCTGTTAGTTTCCAAAGTGATGCTAATAATTTTATTACCAATTTAATTCAATAGTGAATGACAGATCCATTGGTTCATATAACACTTGGTACTATCAGTCTTATTGACATTTTAGCTATTTATGTGACTATGTAGCTATATTTCATTGTGATTTTAATTTAAATTTCCTTAATGATTCATGATGTCTACCAGTTATTCATGTGTTTATTGATGATTCATACACCTTTTTAGTATATGAATTCGTGCCTGTTTAATATTTTTAATTGGGTTGTTTGTCTCCTTATATTGACTTGTAAGGGTTTTCTATGCTACATATTCTGGATATAAGTCCTTTGTCAAACATGCATTGCTGTTATTTCCTGCCACTATATGGCTTGTCTTTTCATTTTTCTAAGGTGTCTTTTTAAAGGCAGAAATTTTACCTTTTGATGAGATGTGCTTTATCATTTTTTCTCTAATGGGAATTGCTTATTGTGTCTTAGCTATCAAATTTTGCCAAACCCCAGTGATTAAAGTTTTTTTTTATATTTTCTCCAGAAGTATTACAATTTTTACTTTTCCATTTAATGGAGTGATTCATTTTGTTTCAATTTTCTATGTATACCATAGGGTTAGAGGTAAGGATTATTTATTTTCATATGAATATCTCATTTTTCAACTCCATTTATTGAAAAATCTACCCATTATCCATTTAAATCTTTTTCCCCCTTTGTTGAAAATCAATTAGCCACATATAAATGGTTTTATTTATAGACTCTCTTTTTTTGTTCTACTAGTCTATACATCTTTTTAACTTAAAATTGTCTTGATAGTAGTAGCTTTTTAGTAAGTGGTGAATTTAAGTAAAGTCCTCCATTTTGTCCTATCTACAATGAGCTGTTTTGAATTTTCAATACAAATTCTAGAATTTGCTTATCTATTTCCACTACAATCATTTGGGATTTTAATCTCATTTGCATTGAATCAATAGATCATTAAGTGAAAATTGACATTTTAACCATATTGAATTTCCTAATCTATGAGTAAGTGTATTCGTTTGCTAGGGCTTAATATTGATGGAGATAGCAAATATTAATGTGACATGTATGTTCCAGGTGCCATGTTAAGCACTATATACAGGTGTCTGTTGGTTTAAATATACACATCTGAACATAGAAGCATTGTCCTATATGTAACAACTTATATTTACTTATGCATAACATGTAAATAAATTCTCTCTCCTTATACTTATTTTTTTCATTATGTAGAGTCATCATACATTGTCTTCACAATTCACTTGAACCACTGTCATACTAAACACTTGTTATCAGACTCATCTGTAAATATGAAAGAAACAAACAGAGGTACATTCTGCTTATCTGTTCCTTCAGGTCACAGACAGTGAAACTGCTCGTGAGA
Source organism: Homo sapiens (assembly GCF_000001405.40). Lineage (NCBI taxonomy): Eukaryota > Metazoa > Chordata > Mammalia > Primates > Hominidae > Homo > Homo sapiens. The sequence continues at coordinate 7,302,256 of NC_000002.12, read as the reverse complement.
AGCCTCTGGACTCAGACAGAATGAGGCTCAATAACAGGGCACTCAGAGTCCCCTCACAGTTGGTCTGATGATGGTACTCTCTTAACTGAGTTACAGAGAGATGCGCAAACAAATTTTAGAAGAGTGGGAACCAAATGGAGCATCTCTAACTTGCAGAGAGAAAAAGCTATAAGTGTGTTATACATCTTTGTATTTGCAGTGTGTCTGCACTCATCTGATCAAGCGTTGCAGACAAGGTAAAAATGAATACACTGAATAAGAACTTCCCCTTTCCAAAGAATAAGAACAGAGTCTGTGATACCACAAAATCCTGCTGTTCCTATACTCTTTGGCAAATTATAATGGCATTGTGAAGTGGGCCTCAGACCTTGAACACTTTATCTCTCCAGAAGCAATGAGGCTGGTGCATAATTATGGCTGACTGTTTTCACATTCTTCAGTTTCCAAAATACACTTTGGGTGGAGCTGAAGAGTATGAGATTCTCTCTAACATAAGAAACAACATATCCTGGAAAAGCAGCCAAACTTAATCATTAATTCCTTAATATAACACACAGCTGTCGAAGGTCTATCCGTACCAGATACCTTGCTCTGCTTTGGGAATAGCAAAATGGAACTTATTCCTGCCTTCTTGTACCATATAATTGAGAAGGGAAAACACAATTAAGGAAGAAATGACAATAAAGTGGGAAATGAAGGAACAGGTGCTGTGGTCAGACATATCCACTATACTTGGGGCCCCCTCCAGAAAAAGCCAGAAAAACTTCTGTGGAAAGTGACATTTGAGTCGCGCCCTGAATGCGAAGTGGAATGCTGTGGACATGTTAACAATCAAGGAAAACAGTCAGAGATTCAAGAAACAAATGCCACGACCTGGAGGTCAAGAGTCCGGATTTTGAAAGAATATGAATGGCCACAGCTAGAATCTGGGGTTTGTGGGTGTAGGAGGAGAGATAAAAAAAAATTGACAGAAGGCAGTAACCCGAGTTTAACTTTAATATGGAAAAAAAATGTATCAGTTTGAGAGCAGGTGAGACAAAGTCATTAGAGGAGGCAACTGAAGATTTGAATCACAAAGGACACTGGAGAAAGTGTAGTGTCTGAGAAGGTGGGACACAGGCCAAAAGAGGCAGGCAGAGGCACCAGCTGGACACATGTCTGGGAACGCCTCTCCCAGTAAATTAGGTGAGAATGGAGTAAGATTGAGTTTCAAGAGCTTCACATTTGTAGAATTTGTGCAGAAAATGGGAAGCATTCACACTGGTTAACTTTGCTCAGTGATTGGTGAGGTTCTCTGGTGACTGATGGGATGGGGAAGAGAGGAGGAAGAAAAAGAGAAGGAGAATGTTCGAGGCAGACACACTGGACTGCCCAGAGACTGGGCTGTTGACATGTCGAAAGCTACTTGCATGTCTGATGGCAAGAGGAGGGCTGTTGCTTCTCATGTCCACAGGCCCCTGGACGTGATCATGGGTCATTCTCCAGAGCTCTCAATGCCCAAGTGCAGTCATGAAGAGGGAGCCGGTGAGATGTATCCGGGTTCAATATTTTCCAGGAGTGCGGGATGGGATAAGGAGCCAAATGTTGAATATATTGATAAAGAGAGTTGTTGGGGGATAAACCAAGCGAGTTAAGCTAAAAAGAAAAAGATAGATGTGGTGAAATTGGGGGGTGGGGAGAAATAGTCATATCTACAGACTACTGTTTCAGATAGAAATTGAAGTATTGTGTAGGCACTTGTTGAATATCATCAGGATGTAGAGGAATTTGGAGAAACAGAATGAGCTAATTAATTTATGATTGCAGACTCATGGTTACAGGGGGCAATAAAGTCCAGAGTGGGTATCAGAACCTTGGTGTAACAGATAACTAGATGTATAGTTACCCAAAAAGAAGGAATTTATAATATGCATTGAAAGTACCCTATAAAATTACCTTATGGTAAAAAACCAAAAGGATCCTAGCATCTCCTTTCTTCTAGAAGAGTTGGGCTGTGGTAACAACCCCCCACCCAAATCAAAGTGGTTCAACAAAATTGCAATGAATGTTTGCTTCTTGTAACAATGCAATGCAGGTGTTTGACAGGTGGCCTTCTATGCACTAATTCATGTGTCCAGGCCACTTTTGCACGTTGGTTCTGCTAACCCATGGTCTCAGAAAGACAAAGGTAGGATGGAGCCATTCTCACCTGGTAATCCCTTACAGCAGGGTGTAACCCACCTTCTCCTCAAACCCCGTTGGCCAAACCTAGTCACACGGGCTCATCTCTAAGCAGGCAGTCCTTGGCTGGGAAGCTGCTTCTCAGAAACACCTGCACACTTGGGGAGAGGAGTGTGGACCCCTAATGGCCAGCGGTCCATTCCTGCTACAGCAAACACTTAGAAAAAGGGAAAGCCATTTGAAGGTAACATATAGAAATAGAATGCAAATGTGAAAGGGAAGAGATAAGATACAAGAGAATATTTTTATTTGAAATGAAAGATAAATCAAAGTAAACTAGATAAGTAAAGTAGAAGTCAGGATTATAGGATATAATATACTTGAGCACATCTATAATGCCATGTATGAATTCTGTACATGTTTTGTGTACCACTAATAAAAATGCTACCAATTATATAATGACACAATATTTTCTAATAATATCAGTTATAATAAGCACTCCAATTTCAGAGTTATTAACATATGAAAAAACCTTCTCATCTCTGAATAGAGGAAATACGGCAGAAGAGATCTTGAGAAGTTCTACCTTCCCTCTTCCAAAATATGCAACCTGGTCAATTAAGGGTTTCAGTAAACCATAGAATAAATGACAGAGTCCGACAGCTGCCTCTTAATTAAGACTGAAAGAGATTCATACTCAACTTAGCCTTATTGTGACCATAAGATTTTCTTTAAAGTTTTCAATTTTTATATTTTAAAGTTGGTTTATTTTTTAGTTTTGGCTTAAAAATACATAGTCAACTTTCCTTCGTTCTGTGCACACGTATTTCAGTTCCCGAACTTTTCTATAAATCTTCTTTAATCCCTGAACATAGAAATTTTAAAGTCACCCAGTCATATTCTCCCTCTCAGGTAAAAGCAAGAAATAAACAGCTTTATATAGAAAATCTAGGCCCTTTCTTATAAATACAATCTATAATTTAGCACCCTATAGTTAAAGTTTTATGATAAATAAATGTAAATGTCTTAATAATGGTATATATGTTGTTAATTTCTTGGGTTTTAAATATGGAGAATTTAGACTTGACCCTTTAATTCAGTTTAATGTTTAGTGTGTTTATGACAAGAGAAAGAGAAACATGAAAATCTTACTGTTGTGACAAGTTTGAACAACTGAATATAGGACATTATTGCTATTATTACAGCTACCATTAAAATCCAAATGATTGTGCTATCAATCAATAAACATATTTTTTCTGAATACATGCATAATGAGTAGGAGCTCATTATTACTATATGGACTCCATGGGTCAAAATCCTGCCACCCTGCCTTCTCTCCCACCAACTGCACTGATGGCCTCATGGGGAGTTCCCTATAATCAGTTGACAGAGGAAGAGAAGACAAGGGCCTGGTTTACAGGGCGCTCTGCACAATATGCAGGCATCACCCGAAAATGGACAGCCGCCACACTACAGCCCCTTTCTAGGACATCCTTGAAGGACAGTGGTGAAGGGAAATCTTCCCAGTGGGCAGAACTTCAAGTGGTGTACCTGGTTGTGCACTTTGCCTGGAAAGAGAAGTGGCTAGATGTGTGATTATATACTGATTCACAGGCTGTAGCCAATGGTTTGGCTGGGTGGTCAGGGCCTTGGAAGAAGCATGGTTGGAAAATTGGTGACAAAGAAATCTGGGGAAGACGTATGTGGATGGACTTCTCTGAATGGTCAAAAACTGAGAGGATATTTGTATCTCATGTGAGTCCTCACCAACACATGGCCTCAGCAGAGGAGGATTTTAATAATCAACTGGACAGAAAGACTCATTCTATGGACACCACTCAGGATCCTTCCCAAGCCACCCCTGTCACTGCTCAATGGGCCCATGAACAAAGTGGCCATTGTGGCAGTGATGAAAGTTATTCATGGTCTCAGCAACACAGACTCCCACTCACCAAGGCTGACCTGGCTATGCCACTGCCGAGTCCCCAGTTTGCCAGCAGCAGAGTTCAACACCCAGCCCTCGATACTGCATCATTTCTTGGGGTGATCAGCCAGCTACTTGGTGGAGGGTTGATTATATTGGATCTCTTCCAACATGGAACGGGCAGAGGTTTGTTCTCACTGGAATAGACACTTACTCCGCATATGGGTTTGCCTATCCTGCACGCAATGCTTCTGCCAAGACTACCATCCGTGGACTGACAGAATGCTTTATCCACCATCATGGTATTCCACAAAGCATTGTCTCTGTCCAAGGCACTCACTTTATGGCTAAAGAAGTGTAGCAGTGGGCTCGTGCTTATGGAATTCACTGGTCTTACCATGTTCCCCATTATCCTGAAGCAGCTGGATTGATAGAATGGCAGAATAGCCTTTTGAAGTCATAATTACAACGCCAACCAGGTGATGATACTTTGCAGGGCTGAGGCAAACTTCTTCAGAAGGCTGTGTATGCTCTGAATCTGTGTCCAATATATGGTACTATTTCTCCCATAGCCAGGATTCACAGGTCCAGGAATCAAGGGGTGGAAGTGGAAGTGTCACCACTCACCATCACCCCTAGTGATCCACTAGCAAGATTTTTGCTTCCTGTTCCCATGAAATTACGTCCTGCTGGCCTAGAGGTCTTAGTTCCAGGCGGAGGAATGCTGCCACCCGGGACACAACAATTCTATTAAACTGGAAGTTAAGATTGCCACCTGGACACTTTGGGCTCCTCCTGCCTCTAAGAAAACAGGCGAAGAAGGGAGTTACAATGTTGGCTGGGGTGATTGACCTGCAATATCAAGATGAAATCAATCTACTACTCCACAATGGAGATAAGGAAGAGTATGTGTGGAATACAGGAGATCCATTAGGGCATCTCTTAGTATTACCATGCCCTGTGATTAAGATCAATGGGAAACTATAACAGTCCAATCCAGGCAGAACTACAAATCACCCAGACCCTTCAGAAATAAAGGTTTGGGGCACTTCACCATGTTAAAAAAATGACCTGCTGAGGTAAAGGAAATACAGAATGGGTAGTAGAAGAAGGTAATCATCAATACCAGCTACGACCACATGACCAGTTGCAGAAACAAGGACGGTAATTGTCAGGAGTATTTCCTCCTTATTTTGTTAAGAATGTTTGTGCATATATACACTTGTACTAAGAAAATACCTTCATTTTATTTTCTTTCTTTTTTCTTTATCATGTGACATAAGATATATTGACTTCCTATCAGCATTTATGTGTTGTTAACTTTATGTAATAGCATTTGGGTTGGCGATTGGTGTGTTTCTGGTTGTACGAAGGATGGCTGTATTACATTAGGCATAATTATGACATTATTGTCTTTATTTGAAGATTATGTATGATTTCAGGAGATGTGCATGGGTTCAGGTTGACAGGAGGTGGGCTTGTGATGGTTAATACTGAGTGTAAATTTGATTGAATTGAAGGATGCAAAACATTGTTCCTGGGTGTGTCTGTGAGGATGTTGCCAAAGATTAACACTTGAGTCAGTGGACTGGGAAAGGCAGACTCACCCTCAATCCAGGTGGGCACAATCTAATCAGCTACCAGCGCGGCCAGAATAAAAGCAGGCAGAAGAACATGGAACGACGAGACTGGCTGAGTCTTCTGGCCTCCATCTTTCTCCTGTGCTGCATGCTTCCTGACCTCAAACATCAGACTCCAAGTTCTTCAGCTTTTGGACTCTTGGATTCACACCAGGGGTTTGCCAGGGGCTCTCAGGCCTTCAGCCAAAGACTGAAGTTTGCACTGTAGAGGTTTCTCTGCTTTTGAGGTTTTGGGACTGGGACTAGCTTCCTTGCTACTCAGCTTGCAGACGGCCTATTGTGGGTGTAAACCTCATGATTGTGTGAGTCAAGTCTCCTAGTAAACTCCCCTTCATATATACATCTATCCTATTAGTCTTGTCCCTCTAGAGAACCCTGATTAATACACTTGGATTTTTAATATGGAGAATTTAGACTTGACCCTTGAATTTAGTTTAATGTTTAGTGAGTATATGATAAGAGAAAAAGAAACATGAAAATCTTACTGCTGTGACAAGTTTGGACAACTGAATATAGGACATTATTGCTATTATTATTGCTACTATTAAAATCCAAATGATTGTGCTATCGATCAATAAATATTTTTTCTGAATATATACATAATGAATAGGAGCTCATTATAACCATATGGGCTCCCTGGGTCAAAATCATTACAATCCTCTGTCCTCAGGAGATAGAAATTTATTGGTTGATATAACAAATGTTTAGACATTCTGCATTCTTATTTTGTTGCCAAAACATGTTATTATTACTCAGATTAATCAGATCTTAGCACATTATAACAATATTAGTCATCATCCAAGTATATTATCATAATAAATGTCCTGCTATATAAATCTTCTAGGATACATTTTCAATATCAGAATATTTCAGGGTTGGAAGAGCCCTTAGAAACATCCGATGAAGTGCGATCCCCTACTCAGCGTTTCAATCTATTTTGGTTCTGAGTTATTTAACCACAGTCTGACTACTTACAAAAAGTGGAAACTCACTATTTCTAAAAGCTGCTCATTTTGTTGTTGAGTGATTCTAATTAGGAATCTCTCACTGTCTTCTGACTCTCTTTTTTCATCCATTGGAATAGTATGTACCTCCTACGACTATGAGGACAATTAAGTAAAATAATGCTTGTTAAGTGCTTTGCACAGTCTGGGACATAATAAAGCATCAATAAAAGTTTCCTTTTATTATTTTTATTTTTCATTTATTCTCAGACTTTTAGCTAAGATCAAGTGTCTTATTTTTATTTTTCTTCTACCCAACTTTCAGCCATGGAAATTGTATTTACATTCAGGATTTTGCTGAAAAGTGACTTCCTCCCAGAACCCCTTTCAGACTCCTGAGACTGGATTAAGTTTCCTTCCTCAGTGTGCTTACAGCATGTTGGACTTACTACCACCAAATCCTGTAGCCTTCTCTGTAATTCACTTTCTCCTATTAGCTTCCTGAGGTCAAGAACATCGTCCCATTTGCTGTGGTGTTTCTAGTACCTAGCCAATTAGTTGGCACATAGTAGATGATTAATATAATTTTTGAATAAATGGATGAATGAGTGAATAACCACTATAGATACTAGGTAAAGCAGTGACTGTTGTTACAGGACAGCTTAACATGCGGAGTCATACTGCACGGCCTTAATATGATTTATCAGCATCAACACTGTGTTAGAGCCCTGTGTGTCAGTATCTCAGCAGATATAATCAAAATCATATTTAAATTAGGCAAGTTCAAGATTATAGAAATATGCAGCGGCTGGGAGGAATGAAAGCAAAACCAGATCTTAGTTTCTTTAATGCTTTGATTTAGCTGTGATGCAAAATGTTTCTGTAATACCCTTCCCTACAGAATTTGTCCTTTAATGGGACAATCAGTTCTTCTATCATCCTCAAATCAATACTCATTATTTTATTATGTAGATTTTTTTCCAGAGGCACTGTTTTTCCAGGTTCATATGTATTCCTTAATAGTTTCCCCTTTAGAAAGATAGGCTGAATGCAGGGATACAGTAAGAAGGCTTTGACTTTTATGTGAAACATAGATCTTTGGTATTTGTCGATGGTGATGTTTCTCTTGCTTAACGATAAGCTGGAAGAAGCAGCCCTTCGTAAAGTCATATTAAGCTCTGATCCCATCTCTAGCACTCTTGTCATATGTATGTGTCTAATGACATATCTGAAATTAATGGAATTTTTTCAATCTCAGTAGCTGCTGTCCCTGACAGAATCCCATGCTTATTTTCTTTCCTGTAGAGATTCTTGCAATCAATATTTTTTGTTTCTTTTTTCTTTTAAAAGTTTGGCTATTATTTATGTTTGTCTCAGTCAAGGACATTTATCAAAAAAATAGGTACCAACTCAAACTAGCATAAATTCAGGGTTAAGGAAAGGGAGCCAGCTTACGGTAACATCAGAAGAATCCCAGGGAACGCACTCCTCTGCGTAACTCCACCTTTCTCCAGGATGACACGGTTTTCCACGGATGTTCCACGGCATCTTTCTTTATTTTCCCTCTCTGGCTCCCAGCTTCTCCCCAGGGTTCTTCACTCTTGCTTTCCACAGCATTTGCTCAGATGTGTCTTGAGCTGCCATGACAGTGACCCTGCCTTATCTTAAAACTCCAGGGCTCAACCCCATCTGATCCATTCTTGTTTGCCACTTAGCTTGACAGAGAAAAATTTGTGTGTGTGCAAACCTTGGTAATCAGCTGTCTCTGGAAGGGTGGAGCCACCTGGCCCAAATGCAGACACCTGTGTCCATGCCCTCTGAGAAGTTGCACACAAAACCACTCTGCTGCAGTACACACCCTTGCATTTAGATGGTTTCTCTTTGAAGAGCTACCAGACATCAAAACTATGTTACCACGTTTCAGCAGGAAAAACTTCTTGATATTCACTCCACTGAAAAATGTGGGTGTTCCATCGAAAACAGGGTATGTGAATCATCAGTTCTGTTGCCCAATGGAAAGGTTTGAAATTATTTTTACTTAAAATTTTTTTTAAATAAAGGAAGTCAAGTAGTTTCTAAACCAAGAATTTTATGTGTATATGAAGCATTTGCTCTTCAGTTTTCCAGTGTTCATTCCCAGTGAGATGTGATATTACATTGCCCCATCTATTTTTTGACATATAATGAATATTAGACAACTTTATGTTCAAAAGTGTTTATATGGCATCTTGATTAAAATACAGACTATCACAAGTGTATCTGATGCTCAGAATCTCATCTAAAACTCATATATCTCCATTCTGAGGCAGACATTATATGCCGTAATGTAGTTCTTCATTTTTAAAAAACTAATATTCATTACATATAGATGAAGACACTGATCATACCTATTTATAGATGAAAGCTGAATTATCAGCTATATTATATTTACTTACATTTTTCTCTTTGGGGTATCATTTTGTTTCTCATCTTACAGAAGCTTATATGCTATAAGGATTTAATAAATTACTTAATAAATTAAGCATTTGGGAATAGTGATGTGTATTGTTTTTCCTGCTCAGTAGAAACATACAACTGGCTGGTTGGTAATCTACCAGCTACAGTGGTTGGTAATCTACCAACTACAATTTGAAGTTGGCTTCTGTATCATTGGGTAAGGTAGCTGGAGTGTCTTTTCATCCTCATGCCACCCTATCTCCACTTATTTTCCAAAATGCTGACTATGTCCATACATGCATTTCTCACACAATGACTATTCTGGGTCTTCCTCACTGGGTCCAGTGCCTATTCTGGGTCCTCCTCATTGGGGAGCTTTTTAAGTTTCCCTCTTGTTTCTTTACAGCCATTTCTCAAACTTATGAGAGCTGTTTAAATATTTATATACTTTCTGGTAGAAAATTCAGGCATGTCTTTTCTTCCCTCTAATATTCTCAGTTTAGTTATACCTCCTGTACCCCTTAGAAATAGGATTGCAAATGCATAACAGGAGTGCCTGCAAGCCCCAGCCCTACCCGTAGGAGACATTGCTACAGGAACAGGGCACTGTTTTCAGAGAGGCCCAGGGAGTCTCACTTCTCAATACCGCCCTTACGTCATCAGCCGTCTGGAATCAATAAAGAAGATGAAACCTATTTAGAATTTTTTGCCTCAAGTTTTTGTTTTGTTTTCCTCTTTCTTCAAGCCTTTGTGCAGAACAGAATGAATCTCCACAACATCCCACTCCACCACCCTTGAAGACAGGCTCGTGGGCAGCTAACGTCAGATGCTGTAGCATAAAGATGTTTGGAATGAAAAGACTGGAAACAACTACAGAAGAAAACTGTGTCAGGGCGATGTAGTAAGTGTTCCCTGGAGAGATTGTTTTTCATACCTAAAAAAAACTGAAGTCCATAAAAATGTTTCCTATGGAAAGTTCCACCAAGGGAGAGCTTTTGTAGAAGTCATTCATGAATGTAGGTCACCTGGGTTCCTTCTTTCCATGGATTTTGCAAAGAAAACAAAATTAGCAAAAAGCGTTGATATGGCACATACAGGTTCAGAGCTCTGTGAGTTAAGGTAGAATCTTTCTTTATTTTAAATGCTGCAAGCTAATCAGCTGCAGATAGAAACTAACAATACTTTGTAAATATGTGGAAGCCTTAAGCAACCCATCAGCCTGGTATAAAGATGCATGTCACATAGGCATGAGGCACAGAAACAAGATGACCAAAAAGGACATGAAGCAGGGTACTATCCCAGATCCGGGCACCATTGACTCCCGATGAAGACCACTGGGAACTAACAGGAGACTCACGCTGTAATCACAACTTTCACTTCACGTGTTATGTAATGATGTCACCAGCCAATGTTTTAAGAGCTTTATAAATATTAACTCACTTATTCCTCATAACAACCTTGTCATGTAGTTACCATCATTATCTCCATTTTTTTCAGTGAGAAAACTGAGGCACAATGAAGTCATAGCTAGGCTGCCTTTTATCTGTTATTTATACTTTGAGAATTTTTTTTTAAATGCGTGCTTATTTTTCCTCTTAGCAAATTGTACATAATTTGTTTCATGAAGAAGGCTCCATCCTTTATTGGAGCTCTGATAAAATACCGAGATACAAGAATCACTCCAAAGTGTATTTCAGAATTTACTATTCTACCTGCCATCCATATAAAAAATACTATGTACATATCTATATGTAATATTTAAATATTTATATGCAAAATAAAATTATATACAAGCAGCTTTTAAACATAGACATGTTTATAAATTTTTTTAAACTAATGAAAAATTATAAACAAATAAATTTCATTAGTTAGAGCACCTCAAAAATTGTAAACCAACGAATTTCATTTGTTGCAATTTATAAACAGAATACTGTGCAGTGGCTAAGTTTTGATCAGTTTAAATATAATCTGCATAGAGTGTGTGGGTGTGTGTGCACATGCAGTTTTGTGGGGTTTGTTTTTTGGTTTACTTTGCATGTTTTTTTGTTTGTTTGTTTGTTTTGTTTTTATTTTTGTATTTATCCTGATTGGAGTTCAATGTGTAGACCTCTGGTTTGGTTGTCTGGCATTATTTTTGAAAAAATCTTGACCATTATTTCTTCAGATATCTTCTCCCAGATTCCAATTTTGCAGATGTTAGAATGTTTCATGTTTTGTTGTTGTTTCTTGAGACACAGTCTCGCTCTGTCACCCATGCTGGAGTGCAGTGGTGGTATCTCAGCTCACTGCAGCCTCCGCCTCCCGTGTTCAGGTGATTCTCCTGCCTCAGCCTCCCGAGTAGCTGGGACTACAGGTGCGTGCCACCACGCCCGGTTAATTTTTGTATTTTTAGTAGAGACAGGGTTTCACCATATTGGGCAGGCTGGTCTCGAACTGCTGACATCTCGATCTGCCCACCTCAGCCTCCCAGAGTGCTAGGGATTACAAGTGTGAGCCACCGCGCCCGGCTGAATGTTTGATACTTTTGAGAACCTTGTAGATGTGGTTTTGCTTTCTCACTCTTTTCATCCTTGTGCTGAATTCAGAGCATTTCTATCAGCTTATTTTCTGGTGTTTATGGCTTCCTTCCTTGAGGGTCCCTGGACATCTGCTAGCCGGCCCTCGCTTCCTGTGAGGGCTGCAGGGAGGCTCCTTCTGGCTCTCAGCATCCCCAGGTAGAGGCTGAGGGTACAGCTGCTGAATTTCTGTTTATAAAGTATTTGAAAATATAAAAAAGATGTATATGACACAATATAAAATAAAATGTAATTGTAGGAGTAACTGTAAAAAGTGAGACAAATCCATGGCACAACTACAAATATGTAAAGCAATCCGTATTTTGTTCCGACAAAAGTCCCAAGTTCTTAGGAAATATCCCTCACTTTCTGATTGAAACATGGGATCTGCTGGGAAAGATTTTTCCTTTTGATTTCTATTTTTCCCATTATTTATAATTAGCATATGTCACTTATTTCTTAAAATAATTCCTGATTATCCACAAGACATTATACCAATAAGTTCACTTCCATTCTGCACTGTTAAATGTCTCTGAGTTTAGGGCACTCGTGACTCATGTTTGAAAGCTGAATGTTGTGCTTCTTGCGGCTTTAGCGCAGCACCACTATGAAAAGACAGAAAATGTGCCTGCCAGGCAGTGGAGTCAGGGCCAACCCACTCCAACGGGAATGGGCTTTAGGGCCCTTGGCTGCAATTGGGATTAAGCCACCTGGTTCAATGTTCTTTCTTTGTCATGTAGACTGAAAGGCCTGATGAGTGCCCTGTGAGGAGGCTTTCCTTAGCTGTATTTTTTTTTTTTGAGATGTAATTTCGCTCTGTCACCTAGGCTAGAGTGCAGTGTGCTATCTTGGCTCACTGCAACCTCCGCCTCCTGGGTTCAAGCGATTCTCCTGCCTCAGCCTACCCAGTAGCCAGGATTACAGGCATGAACCACTATGCCCAAATAATTTTGGTATTTTTAGTAGAGATGGGGTTTCACCATGTTGGCCAGGCTGGTCTTGAACTCCTGACCTCAGGTGATCCACTCCCCTAGGCCTCCCAAAATGCTGGGATTACAGGTGTGAGCCACTGCGCCCCAACTCCTTAGCTGTCTTAATGGTACTTGATGTTCAGAAAGAATGGTTTCATTCACTCATGTGTTCCTCCAATAAGCATCAGTGGGGAACTGCTTGGTGTGGAATTGGGAGAGAGCGACAGGGTCCCACCCTCAGCAAATGCACAGGCCACTGGGTGAAAGAGATGTCAGCTTATCCATAGCCTGACAATCAGGAGTCCAAAGAAGAGTGGCTGGTACAAGAAGGAGTGACTGTCTCTGTCCATAGGGGTGAGAGAAGGCCTGGAGAACCCCACACTCAGGGAGATAATGGAGTCTTGACCACACTCTAAAAGAAACCAGGACCTCCCAGGCAACACAAGGCAGCACATGAGAAGAGGCAAGGAGGCTCAGAAACGGGCATGTGACTTGTAGTCATGAATAGAGAATGTGGTCACCAAGATAACTGGGTGGAATTGTTACCCTAGAACTCATGTGTTGAAGTCCTAACCCCCCGCCATCAGGATGTGACCTTACTTAGAGATGGGGTCTTTCCAGAGGTCATCAAGTTAAAATGAGGTCATTAGGGTGGGCTTCATCCAATATGCCTGGTGTTCTTATAGAAAGGGAAATCTAGAGACACGCACACAGGAAGGATGCCACGTAAACATGAAGACAGCCATCTACAAGCCACGAAGAGAGGCCTGGAACCGATCGGCCCTCACAGCCTCAGAAGAAACCCCTGCCAGTACTTTGACTGTGTTCTTTGCCTCCAGAACCGTGAGATAAAAATGTACTATTGTTTAAGTCACTCAGTTTATGGTATGTTGTTATGGCAACCCCAAGGAACTAGTACAGTGGGTGAAGGGCAGCATTGGGTGCCATGTTCCAGAGTGAGTCATTTAATATGTTGAAGTGAAATGCTCTCAGAGGATGTCAAGCAGCTCAGGACAGGCAGCAACATGTACTTCAGGAAGGGTAGTATGAACTCAATGACTGGGGCAGGTCACAAGCCAAGCCTTCCCTGATTCTCTTCATCTTGATGATCTGGATGCTTTAAGTGTGTTTGTTTCTTTGTTTGTTTGTTTGTTTTTTTGAGACAGAGTCTGACTCTATCACCCAGGCTGGAGTGCAATGGCGAGGTCTCGGTTCACTGCAACCTCTGCCTCCCAAGTTCAAGCAATTCTCCTGCCTCAGCCTACCAAGTAGCTGGGACTACAGGCACATGCCACCACACCCAGCTAATTTTTGTATTTTTTTCGTTGAGATGGGGTTTCACTATGTTGGCCAGGCTGATCTTGAACTCCTGACCTCTTGATCTACCCTCCTCAGCCTCCCAACGTGCAGGAAGTGTTTTTAAAGACACAGTGTCTGCCTCCAAGGAACTCAAACTAGCAGACCAAGATTAACTGTAAAATCAAAAGAGGAGAAGCTGAAATTGGGATGAGTACAAAGTGCTACCCAAATACAGAAAATGAAGAAATTAACTTTGATATGTTTAGAAAAGCTGGGGACATATTATAAGGAAAAGACACAGTAGTCTTTTGGCAAGGAAATAGGCTACTATTCCAAATATTATTGGAATGATTTAAATATTTGAATAGAGAAGAATTATCTCAGTTGTGGAAGAATTAAATACAGATATGTTAATGTAAAATTTCATACAGACAATATACTCTACATGCAAAAGAAAAAATGCAATAAAATAAAGTCATTGTTACTGGTAATGTTTTATTTACTTATTTTAAAAGACAAAGTCTCACTCTGTCACCCAGGCTGGAGTGCAGTGGTGATCACAGCTCACTGAGTCTTGATCTCCTGGGTTCAAGCAATCCTTTCACCTCAATAGCTGGGACCACAGGCGCATGCCACCATACCCAGCTAATTTTTTTTTTTTTTTTTGAGACGGGTCTCACTCTGTCACGCAGTCTGGAGTGCAGTGTCGCGATCTCGGCTCATTACAAGTTCTGCCTCCCGGGTTCACGCCATTCTCCTGCCTCAGCCTCCCAAGTAGCTGGGACTACAGGCGCCCACCACCACACCCGGCTAATTTTTTGTATTTTTTAGTAGAGACGGGGTTTCACCATGTTAGCCAGGATGGTCTGGATCTCCTGACCTCGTGATCCACCCACCTTGGCCTCCCAAAGTGCTGGGATTACAGGCGTGAGCCACCGCGCCCGGCCCACACCCAGATAATTTTTTAAAAAATTTTGTAGAGATGGGGCCCTCTATGTTGCCCAGGTTGTTCTCAATCTCCTGGCCTCAAACAGTCCTCCTGCCTCAGCTCCTTAAGTGCTGAGATTATAGGCCTAAGCCATTGCACCCGGCCAACTAGTGATGTTCTAAAAACACCTTAATGTTGCCCAGTAGACGAACAAGAATTTTTAATCAACAGGGAAGATGAGAAGACTGCAGAAAATCTTGAAAAAGTAGCCAGATTGCTGACATTTGTCTGATGAATCCCAAGATCTGATTTTAAAGGAATCCCGAAGTTCTCATCCTAGTTCTCTCTCCTGGGTGTACATGTAAGGGTTCAGCCCTTCAGACACCTTTGATCAGACATTGTGAGCTGTGCCTTGATCTTCACCAAATACTGGTTTTTATTTTTGAGCATATCTCCGGCTTGTTGTCTCATCTGTTGAGTTTCTGCTAGGAAAGATCATCATCAGCTTAAATCGTAAAGGGCCACGGGTTTTTCAAGGGCTTGTTTTTGTGTCCTGTTGAAGTCTAACAGCTTATGGAGGAGACAGGTGTGTGTCTGCGGGTGATTGCTAACTAGTCTGGTTACTTCATGTTTATTGCAGTTTATTCTACCACGCTGACTATAAGGTGTTACACGTTGAAATGGAAGTTTTATCTAAATGACCCTAAAAGTCTGTGAAAATTTCCTGTTGGTAACGGAAAGCATACCTTTTACTTTATATTATTTGTGAATGAAAGCTTAAGTTTTCTATCCTGTGAGAATAAACTCTGGGATTTCTCCAGAGGCTGTTGAAAGAGGATTACCCCTGGGTTTGGCAGTTCAAACGTTGTTGTGAGCAGTGGAAAGAGTTGAGAATGATGGTAAAAACCACAGACAAAACATTGAGAGTCACCGAGGGGTGGGAGTATGGCCTTGCATGTCCCCTTCCAATTTTCATGACACTGTGACATGTGAAAGCTCCAGGTCCCTCCTATCAAAAAGTAATTGTTTATTCTAGGCCTTGGGGCAGAACACCTGTTTTTAACGTCTTGGCTGACCACTAACTGGGTCAGGGATTTTCAGCACTGTCTGCATGTGAGAACCACCTGGGAAGCTTTAGAAATCCTCGGTGCCCGTGCAGCGCCCCCAAACCAATTAGGTCAGAATCTATGTGGTCGGGACCCTCGAAGCAGCATTTGTAATGTTCCTCGAGTGAATACAATATGTAGTCAAGTTTGAAACCAGTATTGACTTTATGTCCGGGATAAGTCATTTCAATTCTCTTTATCTAGGCCTCATCCATCTGTACAATGGAATGTTTTAGATGTTTTAGATGTTTCCATCTCTTCCAACTCAGAGTCAGGCTCTATCAAAGGAAAAGACATTAATATGTTTAGTCAGAGGGATTTCTTTTTTCTTTTCTTTTTTTTTTGAGATGGAGTCTCACCCTGTCACCCAGGCTGGGGTGCAGTGGCACCATCTTGGCTCACTGCAACCTCCACCTCCCAGGTTCAAGTGATTCTCATGCCCCATCCTCCTGAGTAGCTGGGATTACAGGCATGTGCCACCACGCCCAGCTAATTTTTTGTATCTTTAGTAGATACGGGGTTTCACCATGTTGGCCAGGCTGGTCTCGAACTCCTGACCTCGTGATTCGCCCACCTTGGCCTCCCAAAATGCCAGGATTACAAGCGTGAACCATCCAGCCGGTCAGAGGGATTTCTAAGCCTTCCTAGGTAATAAAAACAGTCCATGTTTTATGGCTCCTTAAGAAGGTCTATAGCAAAGAAGCAACACCATGTGGCTGACCCTTGGACATCTTCAGAAGGTGAAGAGTTTGGCCTCGTGCTGAGATTGACATTCTGAAGCAAAAGAAGGGCAGAGGAAGCACCAAAAATTTGCTAATTTGCCCATCAACATCCTTTCTACCCAGCCAAATTCCTCTTATCATCCTGGCTTTGGCACTTTCCTTCCTGGGGTTGAGGCCAGAGGCGGAGGCAAGTCCAGGGAATACGAAGCCGTGGCTGAGGTCACTGACGCTAAGCCTGGAGAACCTCATAAGGAAATCAATGGGAGCAACACCCAGGCCGAGGAAAGAAGACTTAACAGGAGCTGGGGAGAAACATCTGAAAACAAAACCTGACTCATTTAGGTCCGGAAGGAAGCTAGAGATGGGATGGACCCCAGCAGGCAAGAAGCAGGCCCTGTGGGGGTAAGATAAGCCCAGGTGAGCGGACACAGAGACCCAGGGAGGAGTAAAGAGTGAGGTAGTGGCTTGATCAAGGGATGCATCTCAGCCACCCCAGGCATCTCAACTGTGAGTGGTTTGGTGCCCTTTTGTCAGAATAAGTTCAGGAGTTTTAAGCAGCCGGCTTCCCTCCATGGGGATGCCCAGAAAGCTCTCTCTAGGTTGCAATTCTGTCTTTGGGCTCCCCCAATTTACTGTCTGTCCCATTCACATGGAAATCAACCCTGAACTGTGAAAGCCTTTTCTCTATGTTGTGCCCTCACCTTTGTATGTTTGCAGCCCCACATTGAGGTCTGATTCATCTTCCACTTCACTTAGTGGCCAGCATAATGCTTTTCAAACTATAAACAAAAGCACTTCGTAGCTGTTTTTCCTCCAATGTAATAATACTTTGGGGAAATCCTTCAACTGGGGTCGGGAGGGCTAAGGAAGTATGTGTCCACATGGGATGGAATAAAATTGTAAGTGAATTTGGGATAGGGAAAGGATTGAGACCTCTCTTCTTTGGTCACAGGATGTCACGTGTGCACCTCCATCATCAAAGGTCACTTTGATGTTACAACCATCTGTTTATAGATCTGTTACCTCCACTCGTCTGTGGGCTTTTAGAGGTCAGGGGTTCAGTCCTCTTCTTTCCAAATCAGATATATACTAAGCCTTAGAAAGAACTGAGAATATTAGAATAGGAATGGCACTGGGTTCCAACATTCCAAAGTAAACTCAGATATCATTTTAGAGATGATCATTGTGAACACCAAACTTTTTAATACTATGAGCTAGGCTCTTGAGAAGGAAAAGTCTTCCTCTAAAATATATCCAGAACCTGGAGACATAGAGCACCAGTCTATACCAAAACATTATTTGGAGGACATAGGTTGATGCATTAAGAAATTTTTCCACCTCTGGAAAGGGAGCTCAACAATCAACCACTTGGCTGGAGGAAGGAGGATCAGACAAGATGCAGCTGAAAAGCAAAGGGGCTCTGAGAGCTCTGAGCTGTAACCGTCCTGTTCTGCCTGAGCCCCGCAGAGGGTGCAAGAGCAGGACAAATGAAACCCCCAGATGACTTGGAGATCCCCCAGCAGAGGGGCACTGAGGAGCTTTCCAAAGTATTTCCCGAGAGATTGTATTCTCATAGGAAGTCCCGTCTCCATCCACCAGGGCACAGGAACAGTAGGTTGAGGCAATTTGGTCTGAGGGCAGCCTCTCAGAGTCCATACAAATGTCTTGTGTGGGGAAGCTGATGGGTTCCACCCACCCACAACTACCATCCATGCAATCATGCCTGAAACATGGCCCCCAGTCTCAAGGAAGCAAGGGATGCTGAAAGAAAGTTGCAAACTTACAAGTGTAGGAAGGTGGGGGTCGTTGTCTCAAGGAAGCAAGGGATGCCGAAAGAGAGTTGCAAAACTTACAGGTCTAGGTGGGGGTCGCTGGATGGAGCAATGTTGTGAAGGAGTGAGCCACGTCTACAGGGAGAACAGAAGCCCACATCCAAAGTGAACACCTAAGTGGGGGCCAGGCTGACCATGCGCTTAATCTACAGACCCTTATCTAGAGCCAAGGCAATACCTGACTCAGAAAAAAACAGTGAGATGGAAAGGACCTTGACTGAATTGTTTCCAAAGAGGGAGCAATTGAGTTCCAACTGAAGCCCTGAGGCGCGGGAGGTGGTAAGATGAATATCCTGTTATAAGGAAAAGTGGAGCTCATAAGTTCTGTTGCTCATAAGCTACCTAGTTTGGTTATAGAGAGAAAAAGCAAATTGCATTTTTACGCCAGTGAGTATGGCGGACTCACATTCCCGTGGCTACACGATCCGTTGCATGTTGTCCTCCCAGGCTTAGGACCAGCTAGTAGTCCTTGGTGCCAACCTGTTCACTGGTCTTCACATTAGGAACCCATAGCCTTAAACTATCTCTACTAAATGCATTTTGAAAGTTTGGTCAACAAAGTCAACATATTTGAAGGATTTAAATTATTCTTCCAGCAGACATTTTCTGTAAAGGTGGAGGTAGTAATTATTTTTGGCCTTGTGGGCACTGTCTCTGTCACTACTACATAACTCTGCCATTAGAGCAGGAAACCAGCTATGGACAAACAGTAAATGAATGAGCATGGTGATGTTCCAGAAAAACCTTATTTGCAAAGACAGGTAACAATGGGCCAGGTGGGGCCTCAATCATAGTTTGTCAAAGCCTTCTCTAAACACTGTCAAGTCTATTCCTGGACTAACCCGGAGAACAGGGGACAGTGATTTATAGACTGCGTGATTTCACTTTGCAGAAGTGTTTAACCATTAGCTGGAAATGCCATTACCAGACTATAGTAATGGATGTTGTAAGAAGCACCATTCTTTTGGCTAAGGTGGGATGACATGCCCATGCCTAGCTGCAAGAGAGGCAA